>NC_000011.10:40969090-41272121 GCF_000001405.40 Homo sapiens | reverse complement strand
AGCATATTTTGATGACTCCTTCAAACTTCCTTTCCTTTTTTTCCCCTGTGGGATAGAGTTATTTGAAAGAATGTGGGCCCTGAAGTCAGGTAGATCTGGGTTTTCTTTTTTATGTGACTTTAGGAAAGCCATTTAGCCTCTTTGTATCACATGTAGGAGAAGTAATAGAGTCTACCTTATGGGATCAGTGTGAAAGTTAAGTGAGTTAGTATGTGTAAAGAAAATAATTAAGCATATAGTGGTAGTTTAACAATTAGCATTCATTCCTTCCTCTCTGCCTCTTTTCCTTTGAGACATGATGATGCTATGCTTTCATTCAATAAACAAACACTTTTTTTTCAACCTACTATGTTTCAAACACAGGTGTAATAGTGGGGAATGAGTGACAAGCAAAACAATTCCTGGTCTCATGACACATACATTCTAGTGGGGAAAGAACAATGAACATGCTGAAAACTAATTAATAAATACGGTATTTTTTTATTTTGATACATACTTGAAGAATAGAAAACAGACTGTGAACAGAGAGTGACTATAAGGAGAGGGAGCTAGTTCAGTTAGTTTAATGAGGGGCAGCTTCTTAGTGGAAGTGACATCTGAACAAAAAGTTGAAGGGTTGAGAGCCAGCCCTGCAATAAGCAAAAACCAGCTGGGGACAATCTTGGGGAAGAAAGTGTAAAAACCTGTTGATGTCCTTGTAGAACAGAGAGAATGTGAATGAGAAGGAGAGGACTGTTGTAGAAGTTTGGGAGGAAAATGTCGAGGTTAGGTTCCATAGACTCTAACCCACAGGACAGGACTTGTGGCTTTGTTCAGCTCTACAGTCGAAAGCCTTTGGAGTGGTTTGAGTACGAGGGTGATAGGATCTAAATCACATTTTTAAAAATACTTAAGTTAGGAAGGAGGAAAGTGGACTGTGGAAGCACAAGAACTGGGGAGACTTGCATGACCTTTACCGTATGTGAGGCAACTATAGAGGATTGAACAGTGTCCCCCCAAATTATATGTCCTAGTCCTACCTGGTACCTGTGAAGGTAACATTATTTGGAAAGACTATTTCTGCAGATGTAATTAAGTTAAGGATCTCAGAATAAGATTATTCTAAGATGGGCCCTAAATCCAATGATTTGATTTATAGGAGAAAGGGGAGGGAGGTTTAAGATACAGAGACACACAGAGGCAGAGATGAATGGTGAGTCTAGGATTTCCAGCAGCTACCTAAAGCTAAGAGAGAGACATGGAGCAAATACCTACACAAGTAACCAAACCTGCCAACCTCGTGATTTTAGACTTCTGAATACAAGAATGGTAATATAATACATTTCTGATGTTTTTGATATACCAAATTTGTAGTCATTTGCTATGGCAGACCAAGGAAACTGATATAGCAACCAAGAGATCATTTATAAAGAGGAAAGGTAAAATGCCTGGCTAATGGCCACAGAATGGTGGAATTGAGGACTGAAGAAGAGAAAATGTCTTCTATAAGCCCCACTGCAATGGTACGGTTTTATTTGGCAGTAATATCAATTTCTCTTACTTTGACTGAAAATATCTTCTGTGGGGGTGAAGAGGCACCTAAGAGGCAGACCCCAAGAGCAGACCCTGCCTTTTTAAGTGGGCCCATGCCTATTCCCAAAAGGAATCCCTTCATACTCTCTGAAGGCTGAGCAGACTCTGAAGCCAGTTCTTTCACATATGTGACCTGGTTATTTCTAATACAACTTTATAATTTGTTTATATTATAATAAGACTAGCAATAGTTGGTAATGAGAACCATAAAGCAAGGAACCTTCTTTAATATAAATAAATTATTGTAGTTACCTGCAAAATTGCTATAGTCAAGGAAGTAATTACTAATGGGATACGTGCAGAGTGAGGTTTTGCACTGAAGGAGTATGAAGGAAATTTTTGGATAGGACAGTTTTTTTCTCTTGATATTTCCCAGGTGTGATAATAGAAAGTTTTCAGTTATTGAATTTCCAATATCAAGGCCCTATGCTGTAGCTTGTATATCTGAAGTCTAATTCTTTCAATATTCTGTAAAAATAGATATTACTAATTACATTTTAAAGAAGAAACAGCTGAGGCTCAGAGAGATTCAACCAATCCCCCGCTAAATATTTCTTACTAATAAAAACAGGTTTATATATTTATCCCTCCAGTTAGTAACTGGTAAAACTAGGATTTGAATTCAGTTCTTTTTGAATCAAAGCTTTTCTGTGCCTATGGATTATCACAACCCTGCTAAAATGATTCAGCCACAGTCCTCCTTTGATGGACACAGTAATCTTTTAAAGTTTGGATGCTAAAGGCAATAGTTGGTTACAGAGACTGATGCTGAAGACATTTAGAAACCTGTATGCATGTAAGCCAAAATTATTATAAAGGAGGGTGGCAGAGGAGTGGAGGAAAAGTCACTGTCTACATTCTTCCTTGATTTACTCAGGAAAATCAGCGTGTGTCAGTAGCTCCCACAATTGGCACCAGAGAGACAGACCAAGACAATCGACCGTGTCATCTTCCCTCTTCATGTACTCTTTCTCTTCAAGCCAGACTACCTTCTCCCTGGTGGTCCAGGGCTGACATTCTGACTTGAGCTCAGTCATTAAACACTAATTAGATTGGCTCTTTGCTCTCTTTCCAGTTCAAGTTTTAATAAACTGGTCCCTTCTCTCTCTCTGTCCTTTTTGTGAAATCTCAGGGTCACCTGCCTCTCTCTGTGGCTTGAACTCTCAGTCTGGGTGTGTTCAGGCTGTGGGCAAGGCAATTTAGATGAAGGGAGAAAAGAACCAAAGCACCTAAAGGAATGAACACATTCCTTAGGAGGAAATAAATAATAATAAAAGGAGCCCAATTTGCTTCTTTGACACTGCCCACTTATTTCTCACTGAGCACTTTGGATCTTACACATTGTAATTTGCCCATTAAAAACCCAGCATCATGGTCTCTGGGCTCAATTAATTTGAAAGCACTTCTGGATGAATCACTTAGATATTGTTTTATCTTTTGCCTCCAAGATATCATCAGGCTTTAGCCTCTACCAGTTACCCAATGCTATTAGTATAACCTAATAATTTGATCCCAAAGTATCTTCCCTTTGGATTAAAAGAGAACACATTTATGAATCACAGCTTGGTCATGATTAACTGTGCCCAGAGCACACTTAGTTGAGAAAAGATAATTTCCTTTGTAAGTCTGTAGATTTTGTGCATTTATGCTGTATTTTGTCTTTTTCTGTGTTTTTTTTTTCTTTAGCTATCTATGATTCTATCAAAACAAGTGTCTGAAGAGCATATTTTCTTTTTTCAAAGTACAGAGAGATCTGTTTACTACCAGCATCAAGCACTGAGGAATTTGGGATTTTCATATCATCTATTGCATCAACTACTGAAATTCTGAACTAGTTATTATTAACCAAATATGATTTGTTGGTATATATTGGAAGTAATATTTGTATCCCAAACTGTTTTATTACTGGTAATTATGTGGATAAAGGGATTATAAGAGTTCAATTTTTAATCCAAAAAAAGTGCTGTGAATTAAGTACAGAATGAGGTACAATTTTTAAAAATAAAGTTTGAAAATAAATAGTTTTCAAGATGAAGAGTCTGGTTGCTAAGTAAGCATGATAGCATTACCTGAAGTGTATTCTGTGGTATTTTATTAGTACCTATAACTTCATAACAATATTGCCACAGAGCCGATGTCTTAATACACATTTATTATCTCACAATTTCTATGGGTCAGTAAAGCACACAACAGCTTAACGGGGTCCTCTGCAAGGCTGTGATCAAGGTGTTGCCCAGGGCTTAGATCTCATTTAAGGTTCAACTAGGGAATGATCTACTTCTAAGCAGTGATCCCATCCATACAGTGGAGACTGCTAAGAATACGACTCCAGAGCATGGCAGGCCCCCAGCAGAACTGGGGCTCTGTAAGATAATGGCCTCAACCTTGCTTTGTGTGCAATCACAACACAGACCTAACGAATGTGACATTGTGTAGTGTAGCCAGGTGTTAGTATACATTGGAACACAGCATTATATATATGCATTGGTATACAGCATTAGTATAGCACAAGTTTAAGAAATAAACACTTACCTGCATGGTCACAGTGAAAAGCCACCTCTGAAGTAGCATTAGAATGATGGTAAGCAGGGTACTCAAAGTGTTTTAAGAAAACAACCTGTGGCAGGAAATATTTGTGTATTATCTCTATTATTACTCCTCATACTAAACAAAAAAGCTAAAATTATTTACTTACATTTCAGGCATTACATTATTAGACATTTTATCCTTACGGTTCGATGATGGTGGGTACTATTATTATCCTTCATTCTAAAGCAATTGAGATTTAGGTGATTAAACAACTTACATACAATCACATAGTAAGCAAGGAGAGATCTGGAAATCTAAGCTTCCTTTTCTTAAAGGAATATTATGTTTCAAATCTGCACCATTTCCATGCCAAAAAAAATTGGCACAGTGTAAGAAAATTATTCAAGAAGACTTTTTGGCAGATTCTAAGCGTAGAGCTGTTAGTAGCAATAGGTCTTACAAAGCAGTCATACATTTGTTATCATTTACTGGTTACCACGCATCGTGCTAGCCACTTAACCTTTATTGATTGTACCTGCAACAGTCCTGCAATAAATATGTGGATGGGTTTCCCCTTTCTTAGATGAACAAACGCAGGTTTGAGAGATTGTCATTTCTCTATGGTCACAGAGTACATTTTAAGCTGTGTTTATTTGATTTAAAAGTTATTTACGTTCTTTTCACTATAGCAGTCTACCCCTTCTAAGTGGTAGCAGGGAAGGGAAAAGAAGTCTCAACAAACTTGTGGGTATGGTAGCTTCTAGAAGCAGATCTGTTTTTGGATTCAAAAGGATAGCAGAGATTAATTTGAAAGAGGTTATAAATATGTACTGATAAACTACAGCCATTTTAGCACAAGGTTTTCACTTATCTTATAATACTTCTCAGTGTGAAAGTACTATCTGCTAACAGCTAGATACTAAAATTTTGAATGCTGAAGGAAATACAGAATGAAAGCCAAGAACATATGGAATTTTAGGTCTAGCCCAGTCCATGATGAGTGGATTAGCCTTTGTGAGTTGTTTACTGGACAGTTTTGTATATTGCCTTGTATAGCACTTAACACGGTTGTGCAGAATTGGTAATTCACTTCCTTTCCCAAGAGGTGAAATTCTCCTTGAACCAACACAACAACATGCATATATTTCATATCAATCATTTATCATTTGGTTGTGCACTTGCCTAAATTAGATCATTATTAAGCACAGAGAAAACAAGAGAAGGGAGACTTGCTCCTACAAGCCACTGGTAGGGAGACTAATTTTGGCACCAAAAAAGCCAACCATTTGCATTTTGCTGTGTGGGGCTTAATGCAAGAGCTTCAATCACATTAAGAGGATTTTAAAATCAAGATAAAGCTTTTTCTTATGCATGTCTATCTCTAGGAAAAATTATGAAAGAACCTGTAGAACACCTAATCACATTTCATTCTCTTTAATTTTGTCTCTTTTCCTCTCATTTCAATTGCTCTGTCACTTTTATTCTTTGTGAATTATTGTAATAAATAAAAGTTTCAAAATTGTCTATTCCTTTTTCTCTTTTGAACAAATTATTTTTATTCTAAGAATAAGAATGGAGAAAGTCAGGTTTATAAATTCTGTTGGGTTTACCTTTAGCTCCAGTCATAAAACTCTATCAAACTGAAAGAAAGCCAAAAAAGTGTTTTTCTTATTCTCAAATTTCGCAGGTTTTGATAAGGTTTGCAATGAGGTCCTGCATAGTATCCCATCTCTGCAAAGTTGTAAAGTATCAGGCATCTAAACCTGTGTCAGAGGCTATTTGCCCTTGGCCAATTAAAATAAGTATCTTATTTGATCAAATTTCCATGTTCTAAGTCTATTTATATCATTTATTTCTTCATTGTTGGTGATGCTGGTAAGTTCATAATAATATGAAGGAGATTAGTTAAAGAGAAACTGAGCAAACTCTCTCCAATTAACATAGTATTATTTGTTTAGGTTATATGCCAAAAACAATAAATTTTATCGTCATTTTCTTTATCTCCCAGCTACCATGTGATATAACTAAGCAAAGCAATAGCAAAGTGATTGATTTTTATCAAGTGTTGTATCTCATCCACCAAAATTTGAGAGTTATGTTGGAGAACTGACTATTAAAGAATGTAATTATTATTTTTTTTTTAAAAAAAGAAAAGACCCATGGGCATTACATCCCTGCTTCTAGAAACAACAGTGTTATGGTATTTTAAGGAAGGCAGGTAATATGAGTTACTAATGAGAAATTTTTTCAGAGTCCCTCCTAGCTGTAATTGTAACTCAGTTGGAGTTTCTTGAGTAAGAGGATCCCCACACTGACTTGAAGTTTGAATGCCCTGCAGAATTCCATTATGCTGATGAGAACAATATAAAGTTGATATTTCTTCTCTGGCAACTAGGTTTTTCCCCATCTCTTTTTCTTTCTGATTCTTCCCTTCTTTCTTTTTCTCTCAGTTAAGCTAGATAGTCCTATTAGATTGAACTCACAAGGTTGGTAAGATTATGGCTTTATTTACCCTTTGTTCCAGTAATTTACACAAGGACTGTTTTCTCCTGTTTTGAAGGCAGATGCCTTGACTTAAGGTCCCCTATTCTTAATTTTAGTCTTCTCACCTAGTCTTGCTTTCTCAATCTTACCAATCAGCCACCACTTTAACCAGCCCAGTCCTCTCTGCTATAGTGTCTTTTAAGTATCGTCCTCTTGGTTTACTCTAACGTACCTTTAATTTTTTTGATCATTGGTTTGTTCACCTGCAGAGTGAGCAGAATAACATTCTTGAGGTCAGAGTGTTATTATTGGGACTGGATGAGCTACACAAAGAGATATCACATACTCTAAGTTATAACATGCTAGCCATTAAAATAATGCCATGTTCATTCCTACTTTAAGGTGTTTAGTCACATATTGACTATTCTGTTCATTTATTTATTAAAATTATGGAGCTTCTGCAATAGGACAGTCATGGTATGAAATAGAGAGGAATTACAAATCAATAGCAGAGTCCTTACCCTCACAATATTTACTTGTCCTTCTACCTGATGGCATGTGGGAAACAGAAAACACAGCAAAAGACCTGCATTCTAGGCCCTGTTCTGACACATCTTTGCAATCTTGAACTTACATCAAGGAAATTACATGTCAGACTATGCCATCACACTATTTTAACTACCATTTGTAATTTTAAGCCTGATACATGGTTGTACGCAAGTGTATTCTAATTTGGATTTTTCTCTGTTTCTAAAAATATGTCTATCCTCTCTTTCTACCTCTGTTTTAAGCTCCTTAAGGGCAGAATACCAGCCTCAGAATAACTTCGTCTAGATATCTTGCCTGATATCTAACACAGAGTGAATATATACTACTTGTTTCTTATATCTACATTCAAGTAATGTATCATTCTTTCAAGTGTCTATGGTACAATTCCCAATTCCACATTTTCCATTCTCTTGCTGCTATAAATGATGATGTGGGTCTATATGTACATGTGTATGTATGTGACCTTTCTCTCATTCTAACTGAAAAATGGTATTTATTGCCATATATACTCCTTTTATGTATCAACAGTTTGAGCCATTTGACACCATCCTGAGTTCCTACTTATGAAATTGCAAATTGTCTTTAAAAGGAAATTTATGGCTGGGCATGGTGGCTTACGACTGTAATCCCAGCATTTTGGGAGTCCGAGGCAGGCGGATCATGAGATCAAGAGATCAAGACCATCCTGGCCAACATGGTGAAACCCCATCTCTACTAAAAATACAAAAATTAGCTGGACGTGGTGGTGTGCACCTGTAGTCCCAGCTACTCAGAAGGCTAAGGCAGGAGCATTGCCTGAACCCAGGAGGCGGAGGTTGCAGTGAGCCAAGATTGAGCCACTGCACTCCAGCCTGGCAATAAAGCGAGACTCCATCTCAAAAAAAAAAAAAAATTAATAAAAAGGAAATTTGTATGTATCTGAAAACTATAAAAGTAACCATTTGCAATTTTTGTATTATACTTTATGATAAATTAGAAGTATCAAGTAGATTGATTCTGGATGATAGACAAAGAAAACTGCATCAAGACTGTGATTCACATCTTTCTGGCTTCTTATCTCATCCCGCACATGCTATCTTCCCCCAATCTTAAGTCTAAAATGGCTAGTTTGTTGCATTTCCTTATCTATCTGTTCAGTCATCCTATGTATACTGAATGATACAGTTACTTGTTTTTTTATGCATTGAATATGTTTTGAGTTTCTACTATGAGTAGACACTGTGCTTGGTCTCAGTCAATAAGTACTAAGTGCTCTGTGAACAAATAAGTTGACTGTTACCCGAATGACCTGTCTTACATCAACAACTCCCCTAGCAGTCTTCTCCCCTGGAGAAAAGAACTGAAAAAATATTAAATACTCAAAGCAGAAACTCAAAACATATTCAATGTGTGAATAAACAAATGACTGTATAAACCTTACTTGTTTCCAGGCACTAGCAGAAAACAATTATCTTAACAAATACACAATAATCATAAAGCCCAAACCAAGACTGCGGGTGTTTTGACGCTTTCTCTAAATGCCCCCTTACTACACATTAATAGAGGGCTTTTACAGAATCTGTGGCACTGAGAAAAATTGTATGTTCTAGTCAAGGCCAAATTTTGATCTCAGAAAATGAAAATTACATTTTTAGACTGTTCTTAATAGTAGAATACTCACTTGTTCACAAATCTTGAATTATTGCATGTGATTTTATAGTGATGAGGGTGCGGATGTTAATTCTTTTTCAAGTTATTTTTGAGTCAAAAAATCAATAATAAATGTTGGCATGAAGTACTCCCAGAAGCATAGGTTTCACTTGCTCTGAAAGAATTATTTTCAAACCAACAGTTTTGGTTAGTAAATTTCATTTCTAACACGACTGATGTTGAAACCTTAGATAGAGGCAAGGAATGAAAATCTATTGACCTCGTAAGGTGTTATTTCCTGTGTGACCAAAACATGGTAGCTTGTTGTCGTTGTCGTTTTAACTAGGTAGCTTATTAGGAAGCATATAAGCAACATGACACTAAGAGGCCATGCGATGTGTTAAGATAATGTGATATGAAAGCAATTGAACAAGAAAGACATCGATAAAATATTAGGCAGCATTCTCCCCGAGGAAAACACTTAAATTCTCAGGTAAGCAATGACTGTTGGGCTCTGTCATTGAGTTCCTCTGAGAGCCACATTTTCAGAAGACTTTTACCTCCTATTTTATTCTTGCTAATAGACCTGTGGGTGGGTACACAGAAGCTATTATTTCAAAAACATTTCCAGAAAACCTGCAATGTATATTTTGAACCAAATAGACAACTGAACAAAAACTGTTGAATATCTAAAATAAAATAAAAAATAAGGACTTGCTTTGCTTGATTTGAAGCACAGAGTAGATGTTTTCTTGGATATAGCAACCATTTTGTTATCCTGGCTTTAAGTAGGATAACTGATAATACGTTAGAGGATAAAAAAGTTATGTCCGTGCAGGACTCCAAGAAAGAGAAGCCCTCAATTTTGTTCAACTCATCATTCCAGTACGTAGAAGCGTTCCCTGTTTGGAACGTATTTGACATCACTATTTTTCTATTTTTTTTTTTTTTAATCAACTGTTCATGTCCGTAGTAGTATAGGGTAGCAGTCAGCAGACCTTTTTCTCTATAGTGCCACATAATAGATATTTTAGATTCTGTGGGCTATATAATCTCCACTGCAACTGTTCAACTTTGTAGTTGTACTGTGTAAGCAGCCAGAAAATATGAAAATGAATGGGCATATCTGTGTCACTGGAAAATTTTTTAATTTTTTTCAAACAAAATCTGGCCATTGAAATTTGGCTCAAAGACCATAGTATGCCAGCCTTTAGGTTAAAAGGTCAAATAGTGCACTAGATTTGTTATAAAAATAAGAGTTCCTGATCCTATCATTTCCTACTCTCTAAAGTGTATCTCACTTATTTTAGAATAGAATCCTGCTTCTATTCCAGGATTTTATTTTTAACCTTTGGGTGTTATCTATTGACTTCTCCCCACAGAGAATGAAGATTTTTCTCTCCTTTAGAATGTCCCTAGTTCCATCCTGGACATGCACACTTTTATTTCTTCCAGCAGTTTTGGTTAAAATTTGAGTAAAATCTTTATATAGGTTTTACCTTATTTTAATTTGTGAATGTTATTCATAGTGAAAACACATTGAATATGATCTCCACTGCAGAACCAGCTGATCATGCTGTTTCCTTTGGAAATCCTGAATGTTTTCCTCTTTACGTATTTTCTCTTGCATTCTTCAGTGTCCCTCAGACAAGATGTCTAATCTCTCTGCCCACTAGAGTTCGAGGAATGAAGCCCATAGCCCCCTACAAGCCCCAGTTTTCCTGGTAGATGTGTACTTTATAACATGTTCTAAAATAAATAACTATTAATAGTATTTCCTTTTTTTCTCAAGAGTGCACTGGCTTGAATTATAAATTATATATTCACCCTATCTGTGAGCCAAATGGGGGAAGAAGATTGAGGAATTTCTCCACTCAGTACCTCTAATTCAACTTAATCCCTCTATTTCCCATTTGCTATTCCACTTTCAAATGTGTCTAATGTCACCCAGTTCAGAGACTTGATTTTAGTATGTTCCTACTGCTACAAAAAAAATACCTTATACTGGGTCATTTATAAATAATAAAAATTTATTCTTCAACTGTTCTGAAGGCCAGGAAGTTTAAAACCAAGACTTCAGCAGATTAGCTGTCTGATGAAAGCTTACTCTCTGCTTCAAAGGTGGTGCCTTGTTGCTGCGGTGGAAAAGGTGAATGCAGTGTTCTCACCTGGCAGAAGGGTAAGGGTTGTCAAAAGGGGGACAAGACTCTGTCAAGCCCCTAGGACTTAATCACCACCTAAAGGCCCTATGTCTTAATACTATTACATTGGGAATGAAGTTTCAACATGAATTTTGGAGGAGCACAAACTTTCAAAACAGCAGATCCTCCATTTATGCTGGCAAAATAATAATAAATACCCAATATTCTGCCTTAAAAGAGAATAATAATAAATACCCAATATACTGCCTAAGAAGAGAAAGTACAGTTACCAGGCTATGAAGACTAGGGGAAGATCTAATAATGTCTTATACATACTTTCAGTCAATTTTCCTGGCTTGGGCTTCTGCATTGAAACTTTTAGGTACCTGGAGAATAGCAAGTTCTGTGGTATGAATGAGGTTATCACTATTCTCTACTGCTAGGTTTGGGTTCAACTTTTTCATTCTGCTCAATCAGTTACCACTTGTCTTTTTCCTATCTATCTTCCTAAGTTTTGTTTTTGTTATTCCCCATTATCTTTTTCCTTGTGGCTTATTACCTTCAAGAAAAGAAAAACTATTTTATTTATATATATATATGTGTGTACACATATATATACATCTATATATACACATTATATATATTTTTTCCTGTACTGTCCTTATGGTGCTTAACAGTGGGTCTTAGAGGAAGTAAAGATTTGATTTCTGTATTCCACCTGGCATCCTTAACTGGAAAATTATGCAACTGCAGTCAATCTCACTGCTTGTCTCTCATCTTCATGAATGGACGGAGACGATCTTCATTTCATTTCTTTATCTTTATTTCTAAGAAGACATTTTGAATTCCACCCTTGGTTTTCTGCGAAGTATCAAATGATCCAGTGTCTTTAAAGCTTCCTTCACATATCCTATTTTCCAAGCCATTAACTCTCCTTGTAACTCTTGTAAACTTTTGTGAGTTCTCAGTTTCTAAATTGTAGGATCTAGAAACAGGCAAGGTATCTTTGCATTACGTATTTTGGGGAAAGAGTACAATTGAAGAAAGTTATAAACAAGTAGTTAATGACAGACGACAGACTACTATGTGAAAGGCAGCATATCCCTATGAAAAAGTCCTAATTCTTTCATTTAAAAAATGACAAAAAATAATCTCCAGAGGGCTTAAGAAATTTGTCCAAAGTTATACAGCTGTAGAGTAGCAAACCTGAGATTTGCACCTACAGATATTAGATGCCAAAGTCCAATCTTCACTGCACCAAAAAATTCACTAGATTAAAAATGGCATATTAACAGAACGCAGGGAATTGGACTCATAAAGGTCTATTGGCTTATAATTAACTAACAGTCTTTTAAAATGCATATATTTTCTTTATCTTATTTGATTTTTAAAAAAAAACCACCAAAGAAATTATCTTACTACACTTTGCAAGAAGAGTGAAGTTCAAAGATGGATAAGTAAATAGTTCGCAGCTACACAGTAGTAAGATTTAGAGACTAGTCTGAAACCCAGGATGTTTGACTGGCCTGAGAATGTTCTGCTAACTTACAACAGGCCATACTTCATAAATCAGACATGATTAGGTCCAGTGTGGCTCACAATAGAGTGATTTACTTTAAAAGTCTAAACTGCATTTGCGCATATGTGATTAAACAATGCCTTCTTTTTCTGTATCCCAGATTGTCAAGCCTAATACGCAGAGCTTAGAAAGAAAAATAAGGAATACTTGTATTCCTTAAAATCAGCTTCTAGATATAATTGTTTCATAAAAGATACTTAGAGACAAGAATAAATTAATCTGACCATGTACACATTTCCAAAATCTATAGGGAATGTAAATTTTATAAGAATAATGTTAGATAGTTAAGTAATACAACCATGTCTACCAGGAAATTAAAAAGTTAACTCACATGTGCTGATGTCTTTCATGAGAAAAATAACACAAAATACTAGAAGAGAGATTTGAAAATGTTCTTTATGTGGGAAAGAGAAGAAGAATCTGTGATCAATAAAGGGTCTCTGAGTTATCTCTACTTGAGAAGTTCGAACTCACCAGACTTTTAAGGTTCCTTTCAAATAAACTCTCACTGCCCTCAACAAAATCAACTGTTACTGATTAAAGTTGTGCTCAGTATATGATACAGAGATTAGAAAGGATATAGTCTGCTCTTACGGATGCTTTTTAGCAAGCAAATTTCTTTAGCATCCATTCTGTCTAAATAAATGGTGAGCTGAAACTTCTAAGCCATGTTGCTTAATTTACAACCCCCAGCAAAAAGTGGGAAGTATGTTTATTTTTAGATTATTTGTACTAGAAACAGTGGGGATTATTTTCATACCAGCCACCCCAGTACAACTCAGCTCTGAGAGCCAAAGGCAGACATTGTCTAATATCAGGGCATCCTAATTTCAAGTTGAAGGCATAACATATTCTAGAGTGTTAATGGGCAAATTTTGATGTTGCTGTTCATTAGTAAAAATGCCTATGTTTTATTTAATCCCAGTGAAACTAGTTGATTTTTATGTCAATTACATTTTTCCTCAATTCAGCTAAAATTTATTGAGTTCCTTCCTTCTATAAGATATAAACATACTCTTGTTCTCAATATTTATATATATTTAGCAAGTTAGATGTTACACATGACTGTAAAGGAAAAAAAATTAAAACACAATAAGGTAAAATCCAAAGACTATTTTAAGATCTATCCAGATATTTTCTTCAGTTGTCTTTCTTATGTCATGAGATAATATAGATATTAAAACATTTTAAAATTATATCAGATCTGTTTGTGTTGCTACTTGTCCTGGCCTATTCAAGTGTCAGAGAGAAGGGTAGGTGGTATGAAATAGATTGCCAAGTTCTTAGAGAACTCGTGAAGGCTAACATATACCAGTGTCTTCTTCCCTTGAAGATATATCAAGCCTTCCTAACACTCAATGCCATAACTAGAATACCAAATATATAATGTAAGCTTTCTGGAAAATCTATTGATTCTTCAGGAGTTTAATTATCCTGCAATTTATTCCCTAGGCGATCAGGGATCTGCATACTCCGGTTAAAGCCATCACAGAAACTCAGATATTATATTTCAGCACCATGTGTTGAAATCGGGTTCCTCTTATTCTTTTTTTGTATACTGACTCATTCAGTCTTTACTTACTAATCTACAAGTTTTGTTTTAGAATTATATATCGTTACCTAGCTCATGAGGCTTTTCTTTCTTTTTCTAAATAATAAAAAAATTTAAGCACGCAAACACACCATGAAAAAATGGATTTATAGATACAGGAAAAGAAAAAGAACTCATATTTATTGCACACTTCCTCTGAGGCAGGCATTACTAACTAATTTCATATGAAGGATTGGTAAATTTTCATGAAAACAGTGAAAGCTGAGCTAGATGCAGGGAGGTGGCAGATATGAACAAAGTCACTCTGGCAAAGTAGAGCCATGGATGAGAACAGAAAGACACATTTGGAAATAGTTTTTAGTATCGGCCTACATCTTATTGTCTCCCCAGATTCACTCTTCACCTTCCAGCTCCTTTGCCCCCTGGTGACCTGTTGGATTTTCCCAGCTTAATGCCCATTGGCAGGAAATGGTAGGAAGAAAGCAAGATGTGTATAAGTCATAAACCAGTGTTCACTAAATATCAGAATTCTCTATCTTTATGTTCTGCAAATCTCTTCAGACCTAGTGAAAATAACTGGTGTTCTTCTATCACTCAGGTAGGCACTGAACCATACCTCATGGCTTCCCAACAGCTAGCTACACCTTTATAAATATTTCCTCCTGAAATTAACCAAGTTAAGTGTGCCATCTATTTCTGTGTGGAATGTGATTGTGTCTCAGCCTGATGGTGGGGCTGCATTTTGAATCTTACTCTTTTCTTTTTAACCACAACTCCAACTTTTTATAGTATATTTCTTGTCTTTCACATTTTTCACCTTTCCAAGTTCTTTTCCACTTATTTCTCCTACTAAATAGTTGAGCTGTATTATACACTATTTTGTTCTCTGATTTTTTGTAGGGGGTGATGGCTGGTTGTTTGAACTTAGTGGGATACTCAGTGTGTGATAGTACTGTTTTATCTACCACAACGCCAACACAAGAACAAACCCTGAACACTCATGGGTGTTCATGGTGGTTTGGTTGTTTGATATTTAGTGATAAGTTTTCCTTTTAGATTGGGTCCCACCTTTATCTCAATTTTTGTATTTTCTATCAAGCTTCTTAATGAAAGCTTAAAATGCCAATAACCTATGATCATCTTGCATGTTTGGTATAATAAAGAGAAATTAGGTCTGAAGACCTCTGGAGCTTTATATATAATGTGTACTGTTCCACTAAGTAGCCACATGACCATTAGAAGTCACTCTTGAACTTCAATATCTTGATTAATTGCATAAAGACATTTTCTGTTCTGAAAGATTTTTATGGTCTATGGCCTTAAATTGTTGTAGATTTTCAGGGTGATCTAAACAGACTTTGATCACTTCCTCTCAATGTAAGACAACACGCATGATATGAGAGGTGGTTATTTTAATGTTAATGAAATGTTCCTCTATTGTCCAAAACTGAATAAATCTCCTTTCTACATATGAGTTGATCTGTGTGGATAGATGCTGATTACTTTTTAATGCTATGAATCAATTTTTTTAAATTAATCTCTGGGTTTGCTGTAACCACTTTCCTTTTTTGGATTTCTAACTCAGTACAACTGCACAGATGGGCATTGTGCAGCATGGTGGGTCTTGATGCCAGTTGATGTTTGGAATGGTTGACGAAACAATGCAATTATCATTTTATCTACCAACAGTGGTAGTATGAGGGAGTAACTGATTGGTTTACTGATTTGGATAAGGTTCAGGAGAGTAAGAACAATAGTGTGTTACTTCCTGTAGAGTGGGAACCTGCTGAGTGAGACTTGCTCATTTTCCTGGATGGATTGATTGATTGATTACTCTGAACACAATACTTGGTTATGTTATCACCCGGGGTGACTGAGCTATGCGGGAGTGTTGGCAGCAATACTGTGTTTCTGTAAAAGGTGAGAATGCTTTGGATAAAGACACAAACAGACAGAGCCAGCCTTTAAAATATCAATCTGCTTTCTGTTAAACTACCATTTGGAATTTATTTTTATAAAATACATTTTATCATATTCAGAGCTTTAGATTTTAAAAATGTTTCCTTCTTGTTACAGATACTCCAAAGAAGTTGCCCTTTTGTTTTTCCTAAAATGAGCTTTCAATTTGGTATATTTGATATTATCAAGCTACTCTGCTTCTTGTGGTTGAGAAAGAAGTTGTATTGACTACCTGAATTCAGATTGCTATTGTAGGCTGACTCCTAGAAGGGCACATCTAGAGAATCAAGGCATTCCCACTTGATCCAGACACGTAGTTGGCAGCATACTGGGACTTAGCAGAGTTGTTTAATCTGTGTTTAGCTTAAGAGTTATAGAAAGGGTAATTTTTTTTTACATAATATGCTATGAAAAATTCCCTTCTACCCTTATTCTCAATTTTTCCAGGGTATCAGGAGGATGTCAGAGGGGGGAATAATAGCTATGGTTCCACAGTTGTTCTCTTTTACAATTTCACCTCTTCCTGGAACAACAAATTTGCCTGGCATGCAACATGCTGCCTGGTACATAAAAATGAATACAGAAAAAGATTTAAGGGGATTAAAAGGTCAATGGATTATCCATTAAGCAACCAAGTCTCAATATGCCTCAATTTGTCTAGATGGTGATTTATTGCCTGGGATAAATAAACCAAGATCAGTTGGTTTTCCTCTGGGGTCATTCCCTTTAAAATCTCTACTATAGCCAGGTCTTTGAGCTTTCTGTCACTATTGTGTTTGTTTTTATTAGTTGACAGTATTTTAAAATTACTTCTAAGCACCACCCAGCTCAGATCGTTTTAGATGATAAAGGCACAAGGCTTTCTGAAGGTTAAAGACAAACAACTTGAGGAATATAATTCAGAAAACAAGAGAAGAAGATCCATCTGTATTGTGCTTCATTCATTTGGCAGGTATCCAAATAGCTGTTCATTGGAACACTGGCAGGGGAAAATTCCAAGCCTTGTTGAGCTTTTAGGGAATGGTATAGTATTCTAACTTGCATTACCTCTTTAGTTTTTCATAGGTTAATTTTACCCTTGCAAGAAACTCAGGAAAATAAGCAGTTTTCTGTGCACACTAAACACACAGTAAGTTTAATCGTTTTAACATTCTGAAATGTTCTCAGACTCAGATGTCATACAACCTTGGTTTTCCACTTGGGGAACAAGGGCTGTGATGGAATCAGTTGCTTGATATATTCTATTTGGCAGTCTAGGATGATAAAAGTTTTATAACCACAGTCCACTGAAGCAAAGCAAGAATGGTTAGAAGCATTTTAAATTAAAAAGCTTTGCCATTGTCAAAGAATGTGAATTTTGAGGAAAATTCTATGCCATGGAGCAGGTGGAATTTTCAGTGCTTTCTCTAGCAAGTTTCAGCAGGGGCTGTTTTAAACCACCTCACATCCAAATTCCTTACACATTGTTCCTCAGGAGTAGATGGTCTTGGAGTAAAGAGAGTCAGTTATACAAATTTCTGAAGGGAAATATTAATATTATGGCCCCTTGGGTAACCAGCTAAGAGCACAACTCATAAAATGTGACTTCTGTCATTTGAGCAATTCTGATTTGGGGGTATATCACAAAGGATGTATTTCTCTTTAGATGACTAGTCCATTTTATTTAGGTTTGGGTCTTGCATTTATGATTACTCAGACTTTAAATGTGACCTGAGCTAAACAATATTTCAGGAATTTGAAGACGTTTCTCTCCACTCCATTAAAATGAATATATGTCAAACTCAGTACTGATTGATCCACGTAGACCAATGATTCCCGACTTTGAAAAATGAAGGTGATGGGTTGGTGTGCATTTATTGGAAAAAGGGTTTCTTGATTCTATGTACAAACCAGGCACATGTACTACCTAAATAAGTAAAATGCCTCCCATGCCTTTTCATTTATGTGTTCAAATCCATGAAGTTGCTGTCAACTGCATAAAATATTAATAAAAAGGATGAATAAATTCATATTAATTTCTTTCCTTATATATTTATACAGTGAGTGGACACTGGTGAATATCTTACTAGGTCGTATATATATTTTGTAATATGATGGAAACTGAGTGGGCCCTATACAAACAGTAAATTGACACTTAAAACTCAGCTGTTAATTAAGAGTTAAAGCTTGGCAATATGATTATTTCTAGAAACTTCCATAGAACGGGCTTAGGGAAATTAAAATGGCCCTGTGCCTGGTTCACTAAAGAGTGCTTTCAAGGATGGTGGATCCTTATTCTAAAACTGCCGCCGTCATTAGTCTTTTGACTCTTTTAGAGTGCAGAGTTCTATGTTATCTAAAACTTGAACAAACATAAACTAACTTTTGCCTCACAAGGATCTTGCAAGGTGGTAGAATCTTAGAATCATAAGATATTACAGCTGAAAGAGGTCTTAGCAATTTTGAAGCTTAACACTTTCATTTTACAGATTTGGAACTGTGCTATTAGGCCAGGGATGTGACAAGACTTGGTTAGTGTTATGTACCTATTTCATCATGGAGCTGGGACAAGAAACCAGTTCTCTTTATTCCCTGGTCAAGACTTTTAGCCTATTATCACAGTGGTTCTTGTAAAATGAAATGCAGCTTAGACTAAAAGCTCCTGGGTAAAAGTATGATAACCCTGTAATATTGTCAGACTCATGATATGAGTAAACGTGAACTCATATGAAATGGTCTTCAGAAGTACAGGTTTAAATACTTAATAGTTAACTGGAGTGACAGAAGCTACTTAGAGCAGCTTTGCTTAATGAACATTGAAATTTTTAGTGGGAAAGATAATTAAAGAAAGTGAAAAGAATTAGCCAAGAGAATTCTGTGGTTGTGTTTACTCATTTTGATGATTATAATGTACAGACCCATCCAGTAATCTGATATTTTACTTACTGAGGAATTAGAAAGCCAAAAGTAGGGGCAATGAATATCCTCAGATCTGTTCCATTGGTGCCTTCAAAGTTGGTCTACAGTAGGGAATATTGCACTCACCAACCATATAAAGTTATTCTAAGAAATAGCCATGTGAATGATCGTCTTGACTCTTACTCAAAATAACATTTTGGTGAGTTAAAAACCTAATGATATGGTTTGGCTGTGTCCCCATCCAAGTCTCATCTTGAATTGTAGCTCCCATAATTCCCACATGTTGTAGGAGGGACACAGTGGGAGGTAATTGAATCATGGGGATGGATCTTTCACGTGCTGTTCTTGTGGTAGTGAATAAGTCTCATGAGATCTGATGGTTTTATAAAGGGAGTTCCCCTGTGCAAGCTCTCTTGCCTGCTGCCATGTAAGATGTGACTTTGCTCCTCGTTCACCTTCTGCTATGATTGTGAGGCCTTCCCAGTTATGTGGAACTGTGAGTCAATTAAATCTCTTTCCTTTATAAATTACCCAGTCTCAAGTATGTCTTTATTAGCAGCTGAGAGCAGACTAAGGCACTTATTAAATAGGACATTTTTTGTTGCTTTTTAGATTTTAATTATAGGAACAAAATAGTATTACAAAAACAGAGTCAGTAGAAAAATACTACTTGTGATTCTTGCCCGAGAAGACTTTAATGTTCTTCTTGGCTTGACTAAACTTTAAAAAGTTTTCCTCCTGACTATTGGGTCCGGATTCCCTTTTCTTAGATAACTTACTTTAAAACACAATTATAAACTCTTTCTCTACTCCTTTGGGCTGTAAATATGCTTCCAGCTTGCCAGTTTGATAGCTCAGAAATGTATTTTCAAGGACCTAGGAGCCATCTCTTCAAAATGTAACCAAGAAAGATAGGGTACACTCTCCTAGTTTCTATTAAAAGGTAGGAGTCTAACTTTGTCAAGTACCAATTAGGAAACGTATTGACCAACCTCTCCTCGACATTTTCCAGCACTTTTCTACCAGGTTAGCCCAGCACTTAAAACCCTCCTGCTTTTTGTTTCAACAGAGTTGAATTCAATCCCTCTTCCTTATTGCAATGTCTTGAATAAAGCTTTTCTTGCCTGTTTAATTCCATGTAGTGCCTTCTTACTTTGACATCTTACAACCTTAAAAGAAAGATATTTTTTATTTCTTTATATTGCTGTTCAATTCTTTTTTTCATATTAACACCTGGCATGCATATATCTGAAGTGTGTCTACATGTTTTTTCATTTGTCCTAAACATTTTTCCATTTTTCTTTTTAATTATCACATGATACCTCATGAATATAATGCTTATATAGCTTATTTTTTTCTACTTGAGACAAATGTTAGCTACACAGCATAAAACATTCAATTACAATATTTATTCAAATGCTCCGCCTTTATCATCATATGGTAAAGCCACAAGAGTGGTTCATTTTTGTGTTACTTTGGTAATATGAAGGCCATGAAAATTAAACTCAGCTGTAGTGAAGAGGCAAGGCACGATAATTAATACTCATTTTTGTCAGTCAGTTCTGGTAGTTTGGCTCCAAATTAGTCCGGGCTGTTTCACAATTCTTAATTGCTCCCTACAAAATGTGATCATGCACATTTGGCCATATATTACTGAGTATATTGTTTCCAAAAATACTTCTATTAAGCTGTGAGTGCTAAATGGCTTGGAATAATACAAAAGGAGGAGTAAGTGATAAGCAAGGGGAAACAGGACACATATTTTAATGACAATGGACACACACTTTATACAGAGAGATATTAGGACTAAACAAGTAGGAAGACGCAGAATGGTGACTTGTGGGAGAAAGAAACAGACGAATCCAGGTCTCAGGAGGTAGGGCAGACGGTGAGCTCTACAGCGAAGAATTAGATGTTAGTGATGAGATTTAGAAGAGTTTGTGCTGTGATGTATTTTGTTTGTGTCCTTATTTGCTGCATCTCATGAAATAAAACCTCCTTCTTAATGGTAGGCATGAACTATTTCCCTAAGACATTTTAAATATGAAGGTGGTGATATGTCAAATCTGTGTTCAAAGAGTAAGCAAAATGCTTTTGTAAAATAAATACTTTATCATTTGAGGTTTGGGGTTTTGTATTGTTTGGCTTCTTATTTTTGGTTGAGTGTAAAGTAAAATAAGAATTGATAGATACATTAGTGGTCTACAAAAATTAACAATTTTTTCAGCTATATCATGTAAAATATAAGAGAACTATCTATAAATGTCTACAGAGATAATATAGAAAATGCTGCAAAATATTTTTTAAAATTTGCTGAACTGTGAAGACTGACAGTTGAGTCAAAAATCAGATTTTGTTTAACAAAGTTAGTACATCTTAAGCTTCTTCTGCCTCTAGAAGTAATAAAACAAGAATGATGAGTGATTGTGGAATTGAAAACAGATTGGCTTGCATTTTGAACCACGTCAAGTTCAATTTAGCAGAGCCATTAATTTGAGGTGGTTTTATGTTAATAGTTATGGAGAAATGTTATTGGGAGCAGAACACTCAGCCAAACGTACTGAGCATGTGCCTTATGGATTCACAGAAGCTAAAGATGGTTTCAAGCAAGCTAAAAAAATGCCAAGTCATCACAAGCCAGTAATTTTTGGCTCCCTGTCCCCCTATCTCAGAATGCCTGAACCACTGGATTTCTCTAAATCAATATTTCATAATTATTTTGCCAGGACTCACTTTCTATTATGTCAAGGAAAATTTTATTTCAAATATCTATGACCTTTACAAAGTGACACAAGGCAGTGTCAGAAGGTAGATTGGTTTGAAACTCTTCTCTCTGCTGAGATCGTCTTGCCAGTTTTATATATTTTGAAAGTCAAGAAACTCCCAAGATGTATCATTCCTAATGACTTTTAAAATATCCTTCTAAATCAGGTAGAGGAAAGTTTCATTTTGTTGATTCCACTAACTTTTGTGAAACAACTATTTAGGTAATTCTGGAACTTATTAAAATGCTCCTGGGTGCCAGGCACTATTTTTTTGTTGTTTGTTTGTTTTGTTTTTTGAGATGAAGTCTTGCTCTGTTGCCCAGGCTGGAGTGCAGTGGCATGATCTCAGCTCACTGCAACCTTTGCTTCCTGGGTTAAAGCAATTCTCCCACCTCAGCCTCCCAAGTAGCTGGGATTACAGGCGCTGCCATCACACCTGGCTAATTTTTGTATTTTTTTTTTTAGTAGAGATGGGATTTCACCATGTTGGCCAGGTTGGTCTCGAACTCCTGACCTCAGGTGATCAGATCAGGCACTATTCTATGCACTCAAGATATAAGTGTGGAGAAAAGGAAGTCCACATTATGTTCATATTTAGTTGGGGAAGATAGCCAGTGACAAATGCAAAATATGTCAGGTGGTAATAAGTGTCACAAAGAAAAATGAAGCAGAATAAAGTCACTAAAAATGATAGATCCAGGGATGCTATTTTCTATGGATTATAGAAGCTTTCTTGATAAAGGGATCTTTGAAGAGAAGCCTCATGAAAGCACATAGATAAGTGCTTCTAAGCAGTTACGGCAGCAAGTGCAAAGGCCTGCAGATGAAAACATCCTAGGGCTGTTTAAGGAACAGTAAGGAGCTTGGTGTGAACCTGATGTGTAAGCTGGGGAGGTACTGGAAGCAAAGGCAGTCAAAAAGGTAGGATGCTATAAGTCATGGTAAGTTTTCTGTATTTCACTCTGAATACCTTAGGAGGGCACAGGTGAGTTTCGAATAGAGAAATGAATTGATCTGACTCAAGTTTTAGAAGAGTGATTGACATCTACATGCCAAATAATACCTAGGTAAAAGTAAGGAGAATGGTTAGAAGTCTCTTGCAAGAATCCAAGTATAAGAAGATAGTATCTTGGCCGGGCGCGGTGGCTCACGCCTGTAATCCCAGCACTTTGGGAGGCCGAGGAGGGCAGATCACGAGGCCAGGAGATCGAGACCATCCTGGCTAACATGGTGAAATCCCGTCTCTACTAAAAATACAAAAAATTAGCCAGGCGTGGTGGCAGGTGCCTGTAGTCCCAGGTACTCGGGAGGCTGAGGCAGGAGAATGGCATGAATCCGGGAGGTGGAGCTTGCAGTGAGCCGAGATCGTGCCACTGCACTCTAGTCTGGGCGACAGAGTGAGACTCCATCTCAAAAAAAAAAAAAGAAGACAGTATCTTAAACCAGGGAGATAACAGTGGCTATAGTGAGAAGTGGGCAAATTCAGAGTATATTTTGAATCTAAAACCAATAGTATTTACTGATAGATTGGAAGTGAGATATGAGAAAGAAGAGTAAAGACTAAAGCAACGTTTTGGTCTGGTAGGATGGAATTGCCAGTTAATTTGATTGAAAAAACTGCATTTCGGATTCGGAGAGAGTAGATATAAAGCATGTCTTTGGGAAGCTTTAATTTTAAGATACTTATTAACTTTCAATTACAGTTATCAAATTAAAAGTTGTAGTTTAGAGAAGAGATTGAGACTGGAGATGTAAATTTGGTCATCAGCATATGAATGAAAATTAAAGTCATGCTATTGAGTGGAAGCATTTAGGAAGTAAGTATAATAAAAGAAGATTATAGATCTGTGGGTGGTTCCTGTGATATTCCATTTCATACAGGTAGGGACAATGGGGCAGATCCAACCAAGACCACTGAGAAGGAAGAACATTTGTAGTAGGAGGATAATCCATTCAAAGGACCCTCCTGAAAACCAAATGAAGAATGCATTCTAAAGATAAGGGATGAATCACTTCTGCCAAGAGTTGTTGATAGGTCAAGTAAACCAAGGACTGGGAAGAGATCATTGAGCATTTCAAAATGAAGAAGAGTGTGATTCATCAAGAATCCTTTGTATGTAAACAGAGGGTGAAGGCCTGCTAGGAATGGGTCCAGGAGAATAGAGAGGAGAAAGGTCATATAAACTCTTAGTATAGACAGTTCTTTCCAGGATTTGGCAGGCAGTGAGAAGGAACAGTAAATGTTATGGATATTGGTAAAGAAGTTAGGACTTGGGACAAGAGAATATTTGTTAGTTTATTAAGATATCAATATCAAAAAAGAGATAATTTGTTAAAGAAGATAAGCTTATTTACTTGATAAGAATCTGCTGGGTTCTTGACTCTACTGTTTCATCCACACCCTCTTTTCGCTTTGCCTTTAAGTAAGTGATTCTTCTCTGTGAGATGTACTCAGCTTGAGTGTATTCTAGCTCCCTGCCTCCCCCAGGGTCTCAGACATCGTTTGACATTGAGTTTGGCATCAAGAGTCCAAAGAGCTCTTTGCCAACAGAAAAATGTGTCTCATGCATTGTAATGCAACGTGCCCCAGCCTCAAAATGGGCCAGCGTGGAACTTCAAGTTGATTTAAATTGGAATCAAATGGACTCATAATTCTGCACAGCAAAGTTAAATTTACTACAACTCAGCCACGGATAGCATATGCCAGAGAATTTTGCCATCCGCACCTCTTTGAGTTTTGATTTACTGGAAAATGGTTTGTTGTTGACTGAAATGCAGACAAATGTTCCCTTCTAAAAAGTGAACATAATGGTGGCATTTTCCCTTCCTTCTCACATAGGCACTCTTGCTTTTTCAAACTTTAGTACCACTTCTGAGACAATTAAGATAATTTGGCCATTTAAGTACTAACAGCCACAGCAGTCTTAGAACCACTTATTTTTTAGTACTAAAATGTAGTAAAAAGACATCATTGCTTATTGGAATTTTAACGTTTTTTACTGGGCTTGGACTATAAAAAGCATTGGAGTTGACTTTGTGTTTGTTCTTAAGTAGACATTGAAAAGCAAGAAGAAAGGAAAGATGTTTATGAGAATTCACCTGAAATTACTCTAATTTTGAAAACACTTTGGTGGTGACTTGAAAACAGTTTTGATTTGGACAGAGAGGCTTGTGGACAGCCTGGAAGGGATTTTTAGGAAGGAGGAGGACATTAAAGCCAAAGCAACAGAGGGGTTTCTAGTCCTATCAAACTAAGAGCTTTCTTTCCAAAGATGAAAAACTAATTGTATTCCTTTTGTAGTTTTCATGAAAACACTTATAACACAGATTCACACTACATAGCCCTTTAATAATGTAGTTCTCATAATGTAATTAGGCAGCTGGAAGCTGACTGTGCCCTGCACTTCAGCTGAAATGAAGGCTGTAATGAGAAGGTAAGAAGGGGTGACCTACCTTCACCCGGTGGGGTGGAAAGATGTCCAAATTTGCAGTAAGTGGCATTTTCAGAGATGAATTTACTTTTTAAATGTTAGGAATGAACTTTCTGAAAAGGTGTTTCTTATAATTCAGAATTTCTCTACCCGAATGAAACACAAAATAGTGCCTGTCCCAGAGTGTTGACCAACTTTAGAGGTGGCAACCCTAAAGCTTAATACTAGCTTTGACATTTATTAATTGGGTAAACCCTCTCAGCTTCCTTTTTCTTCTCAGTGAAATGAAGAAAGGGATTAAAAACAAGAACAACAAAAATAATAGCAAACCATATAAGATGACAGGCTATTCTAAATACATGATATTGATGACAGTGGCAGCCAGTCTGGAGTGGCCACTGCCATGACACTGGCTGCAGTGGGGGAGGCGTGGCTGGGGCTGCATGCTCCACAGAGCTGCAGGAGCTGGGAACAGGTGGAAGCCCCGCCCGCTTCCAAGTTGAAGGGTGGGGAGCACCATTCTTCTGAGCTCAGCTATAGCTGCTCAGCCACGACTGCGGATGGGGCATCTCTGCACTCTCAGGGGCCAAGGAAGCCCCCCTACCCCTACAAGCTCAGAAGTGCCTGCTCCTGCTGCTTGGCCTCTCCCTACTCCCAGTGCCTGTTCTGATTTCAGAGCAAAGTTGTGGCCAAGCCCAGGCGCTGTCATGACCCAGCCAGGTGTGTACATGCTTGGGGCAGCACTGACACACACTAGCCCCCTGCTGCATCAGCCCACTCTGGACTTTGGGTGCCGATGAGCCTGGGAGGGAGGCTGGAGAGGGGATAAGGGCGGCTTGGCAAGGGACTGCAGGCACCCCCTCTGCAGGAACAACCTGGGCATCCTGGGTGCCATGGACGGCAGATAAACGGCAGCAGGAGGTGACAGGCTCCAGGGGGTAAGGGACAGGTCCCTGGTGAAATCCTACCTTCAGGCTAGGGAATGGCCTGAGGCCTGGGGCTTGGGCTACCAGTTCTGTGGACCCGAGTGAGAACTTACGGTGCCTTTTCCAGGGCTGTCCATGGCCACCCAGGGACCAATCAGCACACACTCCCTCTCCTCTGAAGCCTATAAAAATCCCTGTCCTCAGCCAGACTCGGGCAGACAACAGCACCACCTGCCTGCAGAGGAGCTGCCCACTATGGGTCTCCTCTAAGGTGTTCTGTCACTCAATAAAGCACCTCTTCACCTTGCTCACCCTCCACCCTCCACTTGTCCGCGTACCTCATTCTTCCTGGATGCAGGACAAGAACTCAGTACCTGCCAAATGGCATGGCTGAAAAACACAAGCAGGGCTAAAACACTCTCCTTGCTTGCCATGTGGTGGGCAATGGAAGAAGAAAAGAGAAGAGCTGCAGCCCTTTCAGGAGCCCAGACCTAGGAGCTCCCTGAGTCAGGGCTGTGACACCTTCTTTGGGGCTCCTGTCAGTTCCTGTCATCTCCAAGCTTTCAGGTGCCACCGTGTTCCCCAGTGCCAGCCGTGGAAGCTGCTTGTGGTATGCCTGGTCTAGCCACAGCCTCGCAGGGAGCCAGTACCCGTGCTGGTGCCTGGAGCTGCCTGCCATGCCTTGGCCGGGATGCCTGGCTGTTCACAGTGGCTGGACCCCAGGCTCCCTCACTTACACACCCCTCGCTGTTTCGTGCTCCATGCCTGGCTCACCCTTGACAAGCATGGGATCCAGGCCAGTGACATGAACTGCGTGCAGCCTGCCAGGCTGAGTGGGCGGAACAAGCCCAGCAGGCCGAGCAAAACTCAGGCATAGTCACCACTGGCCACAGAGGTCTCTGGCCAGAAAGTGACACCCCAAGGATCCTGTGACAATATATTTTAGCTAATAATTCTCAACACCTTAAAGAGGTGAATATTAATTTTATTCTTATTTTACAGATAAGAAAACTGAAAGATAGGAAAGATGAGCAACATAACCAACGTCTCAGGATGGAGAGGATGCACTGATTAGGTTTTAAACTAGGAAGGGTGACTCCAGAGTCCATTCCATTAACCACACCTTGTTTCTACTATGGGACTGTGAGACCTAACAGGTGATGTAGGCAAAATACCTGTCATGTTGTAGGTGTTTAATGCTAAGCATTATCGTTGATGGATAGAAAGCCTGAGCCAGTCGTGAGTATTTGTCTACTTGAGTCCCTGTGCCTGCAGTATGCTATAGCCCCAAAATCCAGTCTTACTCATCGAGTAAAGTTCTATGTTCAGTGGTCCCAGTAGATTTCATCTTCAATCAAAATTTGGCAGGCAGATACAGTAAGAAATAGAACTGTTAAAACCTAGTAAACAAAATGAAGAAAGCTGAGGCTTTTATTTAGGAATCTCAGCTAAAAATGCCAAATCTATACCAAAAAGAAAAGTTTGTAATTCAAGCAGTATAAGACCTTCTCCTCTACTGTTTTCTTGCCCTTGATACAATTGCCACCTTCATTCTTTATCTCTGTTGCTTTGACTTCACAACCTTCCCTGTTATTTCAGCATTAATAGCAATCAGTGTTATCCTCTTAGCTGGATCCAATGTACTCTTTGTTTCACTTTCTTTGACTTTATCCGAAATTGTTGTCACTTGCTAAATTTTTAGAAAGCTGTCCCCCACCCCAATAAAACAGGAATCTACTTCTATTAATTCTTACATAAAATATATTGCATCATTTTCTATTTGTTTGTACTTAGATTTACAAGTAGTTCAGGACATCTACTGCTTGGCATTTTAAAAGCATTTTTTTCCCTTTCTTTGTTTTTCCTGCCCTCTTTTCTTCCTTCTTCTCTCTCTCTTTCTTTCTTTTTACGATCGATAGATAGATAGATAGATAGAGAAAACTTTCTTGAAACTAACATGGTAGCATGAAATGAAGGCCAATAAACTGCTAAAGTCACCCAATCTGGCCTTCATAGTGGAAATTATCCATTCTCTTCTCATTATCTGACTATAAATTAAGTGTGCCTATTTAATTAGTTCCCGTTTTAACTTGGTAAACAGGCAAATTTGGAGAAACCATTTTGTACCAGAGCTGTATGAAGAACTGTGATTCTAAACCATGGATTCTGTTTTGGTCTTAGGTCAATCACTTAAAATCCCTGAAGCTTTATATCTTTCTTTGTATAATAGCGATATTCATGCCTACTTCATAGTACTGCTATGAAGTTTATGCAATATATATATTATATATCACCAAAGGTAGAGCCCAGAAGTTAGTGGTCTAGCCCTGGTTAAAGCAGCTCTCCAAATTCTTTCAGAAAACTTGTCTCCTAGATGATTGCTCCATTATCCCTAGGCTGTGCTTCTAATCCTTGTTAGCCAAGTTGGTTGCTAGAACTTCAGTCATCACATTCACCTTCCAGGAAACAGAAGGGCAAAAGGAGTTTAGAAAGACAGGTTCCCATTGACTTTTAAGGCAATTTTACAGATGTTAGATGCATCTTTTAACTTGGTCATGGCCACACATAGCTGTAAGGAG
This sequence comes from Homo sapiens, assembly GCF_000001405.40. NCBI lineage: Eukaryota > Metazoa > Chordata > Mammalia > Primates > Hominidae > Homo > Homo sapiens. The sequence continues at coordinate 41,243,528 of NC_000011.10, read as the reverse complement.
GAGAAGGAAATACTTATCTGGGAAGGAAAGGACCTAACTAAAATTTGTCTTCTTAACATTGAGGAAGGAGAGAAGAATAGTTATCAATAGTTGGCTTGAGTGTCTGCCACAGATAGCAAGCATACACCTATGATTTTATCATTTAACTTGAACTGAAAAAGGAAAGTGAAATTGTTTGACAAAATATGTGTTTCTATTCCAATGCTTTATCTTTTAGTTAAACAAGATAATGGATGTGGAAACTGTTAAAAGAAGTAAAATGCCTAAATAATTGTTAAGAGAGATGTTTTTGTTTCCTTCTTTTATGATGAGTGGTTTTCTAAGTGGCTGTGTGTCAAGATATTAAAGAATCACTGAATCATGAGCTGAAGGATAATTTCACATAAGAGAGTCAGAAATACTTAAGAAACATAGCTAAGCACAGCGTCAGAGGGATTTGACATAAACTTTGATGCCTGAAAGAAGACACTTCGGAGTTTAACAGAGGGTCATAATTTTTGACGGAATGTGCTTTTATTTTTCAAAAACAGGGATAGAATTTTTTTCCTTTACAAGCCTAATCATTGAACTCACTCAGTATTGCTTTTAAGAAAAACCAAGTTAATTAGCTGTGTGAATATAGGGGAAAAGAGCATTAAATAAATACAATGCATTAATATGTTATAAATAGCTATTAAGATACCCAGGATAGCATATGATATACCAGGTATAGCTTATTTCCATAATTGGAATTGGTGAACTATATGATAGAGATTTGTCCCAAGACTTTATCTGTAAGACAGGATTAATAGTAAATTGCTAACTCCTAAGGTGATTTTAAGGTCAAGGATGAAGTAATAAAAATATCAATAGGGGAGACAGACAGACAGATAGATACAGAGACACAGCACTAGCACCTCATGAATGATTAATAAATTATTCATGTGATGCTTAATAATTTATAACTCCTTTAATTTATAATTACTTTGTTATTTCCTCTATACATGATGAGTAAATGCACAGGATATCTGAGTTCTTAAAAGATAAGATACATAACCCTCTAGGTGTTTCTGAATTTTCTAGGTGCCATCCATCTCTCATAATCCTCCAACTTTCCTCCACAGATGGACCTGCTGACCCACTGCATGCCTGTAGCACAAATGGGTGTGATTATCTCATGAAAAATTTCAAAGCAAAGAGGGAAATAAATGTGGAAAAAACTAGGGTATGTTTGAAAGTTCATGAAAAATGCTTTTAAAAAGTGCTTTGAAAACGTGGTTGTCCCCTGGAGATAATAATTCACTATCTAAGGTTATAGGTTTGGCTATACAAAACAAAAAAAAATCAACACTGGAAAATCAAAGTAGTGTCCTTATTTTAATTCTAGTACTGTATCAGCCTAAAAGCTCTAATCTTAAGTGGAATGGCTTGCAAAAAAGGCAAAATACTATATGTTAGAGAGTTAAATTAGAATGACTTTTCTTTAGAATGATTTTGTAAGAGGGAAAAGATTTTGTTTAGGACTAGACAATTCACACATACAAAAAAAACTTAAGCAAAGAAAATGATGATGTTGAGACATATTTTAATAACTTTATTAGCCAACTGTGTGCATTGATGTCAAAGAAATGTCTGCAAAGAATATTAATATGGAATATTTGGGGAATTCTGATTTGCCAGTGAAGAGACTCTTTCACTGACTGGGCTTGCACTGAGCACAACAGAGAGAAAAGAAACCATTTCTAACCATTTCTTCCTTTCAAAAGATAGACCGGTCGCCACAGACCAGATAAAAGGACGAAAGAGGGACAAAGTTGTGATTAATTCCAACTGAGTTCTGTCAAAAGAAAAGTGATACCTACAAAACATTCTTGATAGGTCTAACCAACCATGGTCACCATTATCATTATCTCCTATGATGATAGATATTGGTAAAATTTATCAGAGCTACCCAGAGATATTCAAACTTTATTCAACCTAATCCTCATGCCCTTGCTTTCTGCCGTCATTTTTTGCCTTCAAATTTCTGACTCTCCATTGACTTGTTGATAACTCAAGTATATTACATCTCTTTTGACTTCCTCCTACAATCTCATATACACCTACTTTGACCTGGACATACCTCTGGACTCACTGTTTCTTTACCAACATTTCCCACACTCAGCATGTTTCATGGTCATGATTAAGAAGAACAGTCCTTGTTGGAAAGGGTTACTGCTTCTAAAAACCTGGTTAGTTATTCTAGGGAACATGTCTTGGAAAATTTGAACACCAGGATATGATAGGTCCCAAAGAATCATTTATTCCTCCTGGGTAGCTACAGAAATCTACTATAATTAAATAAGCATTTGAATAACGCTTTCATTTGGGAGAAAATTGATTCTCCTACATGCTTTCTCATTTTAAAAGGAGATATCATTCAACACTATAAGGTAGTTGGTCTCACCACTAACCCTATTTAACAGTTTAAGAAAGTGAATTATACAGAAGTTAATAACTTACCATAGTTTGTAAAGCAAGGTAATTATAGAACCTAGAGAAAGACTCAGATCTCATGACTTAAAATCCATGTCTTTCCACAGTAAAATGGTGGTTCCTTTAAGTTTTCCTGCCTATTGTAGATCTCAGGGTATACATTTTTGTTGGCTGTGTTTCTAGTCTACAAAGAATAAAGCTCTATTTTTTTTACTGTAATACCTCAAAGACTGAAATAATTTGTGTGTGTGTGCGTGTGTGTTACTTCTCTCAATTTAATGAAAGTGCTTCTCTGCAACAATCACACCACGCATATCCTACTAATTCCTTATCCTTTCTCCAATGAAAGCAGAATGCTATTCATCCCAATTTATCAGCAAGAAAGTCATCCCCATGTAGGTCCTTCATGACCCCTACCAGAATCAATTAAGAATCCACTTATGCAAAACGGTGGCTTAGGGAAAACCATTTTGGCTTCTAATGCTACTTTTCCCCAGAAGTGAAGAGATACTCATGTTTAATGCAGATTCTCACTTGTATAAACCAGAGTGCTTTCAAAACAGTATCCCATTATATAATTAAGATAATAGCCTCTTTCTCTTGGTTGTTCTTTAATATTTCAGAAAAAAATCTTCCCCTCAGTAATCTGTGGTTTTTCAGGCTGTACGTTTTTAATTCAATTGATCTTTTTCACAGTTCTGGTTTACTCCTGCATTTTATCATTGTGAGAGGGACTCTTTGCAATTTCTCTGATTTCTTTGTATTTTCCCCAAAGCATGGCATCAAGAATTAGATGCGGTAATGTCTGTGGATAGCTGCAGTTACCTAAGACATCCTTCAGGCAACTGGAGCTAATTTAGCCTAATAGCCTGGAAATCTCATGATACACAAAAAATCTAAAGTTTTCCATTTTCCCTTTTTGTTTGTGCCAACACAAGACTAATTTCAAGGACACACTTTTGAAGCTGGAGTTTGTTAGTTCATAGTCTAAGCTTTGACATTTGATTTTTATAAAATAAGAGACCTGACTTTTATTAACTTAAAAGAGTGCTCATTTTTCATATTGGACACAACACAATTTTTAATAGCCAGAATGGGTAAAATTATGTGAGGCTCTAAGGTTTCAAAAATCATCAAGAGGATTCCAGCAACTAGAACTGTACTTAGCAGTCACCAATAAATGCAATTGTTAGGATGAATGAACGAAAATAATATAGATGATTACTTTTTCATTCATTCACAAAATCGACAAAAATTGAGGAATCATTCTGTACAAGGAGCTGTTCTGGGTGCTGGGGATATATTAGGATACAATATATATACAAAATCCCTGACCTTGGAACTCATGTTCTGTTGGAATGGAAGAGAAAAACAAAAGTACAAATTCAGTAAATTAAAAATGAAAAGAGAAAAAATATGACAGAATGGACAGAATGGAGTATGTAAATACAATTTTAAATAGGGTGACCAGGACAGCCCTTGGTAAGACAGTCACATTTGAGGGAGGCAAAAGAGACCTGCATCTACCTAGGGGAGATAAATTCCGGGTACAGGGAATAGCCAGTTCAAAGGCCCTGAGTTGAAAGCATAGCAACAAGGCCATTGTAGTTGCAGCAGTGTGTGTATGAAATTAGTTGAGAGAGAGGAGAAATAGGAATAAATCCTTGTAGACCATTAATAGTATTTTGGCAATTACTCTGATTAAATAGGAAAATACTGTGGAGGACATTTTTTTTTTTTTTTTTTTTTTTTTGAGACAGAGTCTTGCTCTGTCACCCAGGCTGGAGTACAGTGGTGCAATCTCGGCTCACTGCAAGCTCCGCCTCTTGGGTTCATGCCATTCTCCTGCCTCAGCCTCCCGAGTAGCTGGGACTACAGGCGTCCACCACCATGCCCGGCTAATTTTTTTTTTTTTTTTTTTTTAGTAGAGACGGGGTTTCACCGTGTTGGCCAGGATAGTCTCGATCTCCTGACCTCGTGATCCGCCCGCCTCGGCCTCCCAAAGTGCTGGGATTAAAGACGTGAGACACCGTGCCCGGCCAATACTGTGGAGGAGTTTAACAAAGAATCCTTTCCTAGGACTTTCTATCAGAATAGAAATACGTGGCCTTTCTAAATGTAAAAATATATAATATGGGAAAGGGACATACTGCATCTTAGATTCAATTCCAGTAAGCAATCTCTGAGATCCTGTGATCTAAGTCTCCTATTTTATAAGTAAGGAAATGACTTGGAGGAACGATAACCTTTGTCCAAGATCGTAGAGTTGAATGCTATTATTTGTTTGTTTTTATTACCTGACACTGGATCTTTATATAATGATAGTAAAGAGGCATGTAGAGAGGAAGGTCCAGGGTGTTGATTTAATTTGTTACAGCTGAGGCTTTGTGTCATGACAAATCTGTTTCATGTCTATATTCTATCCCATGTTCAAAACAAATAAGTTAATGGTTCTTAATTTATTATCTCACAAGCAAAGGAGGATCTGTGCCTAGCAGCTGAAGCTTGAGTCCCTTTTGCAGCTCAATTTTTAAATCCTGATCTACAAGTTAATATAATAGTTGTGTATCTAAGGACAGTAGCTGGACCTCTCCAAAGCTGAGTATCTTCATCTGCAAATACAAGTATTAATAGTAACTATCTCACAGTTCTTGTGAAGTTGGAATGAGTTAGTATCAATTATAATATGTTATTTTAATTATTATTAAATATAGGTCAAATAAAGAACACTCGTTGACACCTTTATGTTTCAAGCACTCAGACACAGATGTGAATAGATGTTTCTACTCTCTGGTTAGCCTAAAGAGGTAAATAGAAGTCATAAGCTCAATATGATAATCCACTAGCCATACTGCAATAAAGAACTACACAAAATTCAGTGGAGTAAATAATGGAGAAAAGATCTCTAATGAGCACATTAATACATTTAATACACTGCTTAAAATAGGATAGAAATTAGAAAAATTGAAGAAGTAGAAAATTAGCAGAGTTTAACATTTGTTCATAGGAAGTGGGAATTTGTTTAGGAAAAGAGTGACAGTTGAGCTAAGCTATGAGTGGCTGGGGGTATTTATATACTTGGAGTTAAAGATGGGTATTCAAGGTGAAAAAATGCAGTAGCAAAGAAACAGAGGTAAGAATATAAAAGTCTTGAAAAGATATTTTTAATGAAATTGTGAAGGTAGGTTTTATTTGTGGGAAGCTTTTTAGCAGCTTTAACCAAAAGCTAATATTTAGGTAATTAACATTTTAAAAACACAGAGAAGTGATAAATAGGAGTGAAAAAAAATTGAAAGCTCTGTTGACACTCTACCGGGATCTAGAAATTAAAGGGAAAAAGTCACCGTGAATTGGGGCTAACACCTTTCCTTCACACCATCAGCATTACTCAAAATGATAATGTTCCTCTGAAACATTGATGGTGCTTTTGTTTCTTGCAGGAAGGTGTTCTCTGTCTTAGAGCCACATGTGTCATGTGGCAGTTGCTACGGTAACTAGTTTTAAGGAATGTCATCCAGTTACCAAGTAAATAGTCTTGTAAGGCAGATATTACAGCTGACATGTAAATTAAGGCTGCCCCGTCTCTGTCAGCTTTTCTATTCTGAATTCCCTCGCTTTCCGTATTTGAGAGAGAACTCCTTTTCTTTGCAAAAAAATCTCCTTTTCTTAACTAGCAGGGTATCATTTGGCTTCACAGTTAACATTCCCTTTTTTCTTATTTTAGTATCCTATACCTGGGCATTAATTCCTGAATACTACTCTGAGCTGACAACGACAGATACTTAAGTTGGTATACATAAGCTGAATCATTTGTTTTTCCTTTGGTGGTCAAGGTGAGAAAACAGTAACACCTGCTTTCAAAATAATCCAGATCAAAATCATTTTCTCTATTTTTTATAATGCTGATCTCTTTGATTCTATTTCTTGTTAAAGCATTTGAGTAAACTCCAAACTGTAGTTAATAAGAGTTAGTTCTACTTTTAGAAACATTTTAGGTTCATCTGGCATATACATAGGTGGTCCTCTTTATGAGCAAGCACTGTAGTTTTTATACCTCAACGTATATAGTTTCCACTTCATCCCCAAAATAGAAAGCATGTGCTTTGCCTCTTGTTTACCAAAATTGTGCCTGCCTTTCAGGCACTTTACAACAATGCTAATATTGCATTTGTGGACATTTAGCTTTTGTGTGCAGCTAGACTACAATGATTCATTTTGAAGAGTGTAAAATTTTCACACAAACTATTCTTTCTTCTACATTCTTTAACTTATGCTTCTAAATCAGGTCATACCACTAGAAAACAATGTGGGTTTGCCTTTTCCACAGAAATATTTTCACAGTCCTACTGGAAAACTTAACATTTTTCTTTTTTCAAATATCACCAGAAGAAATAAGCATAGGAAGATCAATTTATATCATCAAAAAATTACCAAAATTCACCAATCAAGATATCACTTGTTCCCCCTACACAAAAACCTATGAAATAGGTTTTTTTTTTTCAATTATAATGACTGGAATACATTTCGCTGTATATAGATTTGGACTTCTTTTTTATTAGCTCATGAGAGCATTATAAACTTTCACAAATCCTTTTTCATGTGGCTATTGGGAAGTCCACAGCTTAGTGGTATATAAGTGCAACAGATTGTCTTAGACTCGGTTTTGTTACTGTTATTTTGGAATGATTATCTCACCAGTATCAGTTAAAATTCTGTTTGGCTATGAGAAACAGAGATTTAAGGATTAGCTAAACAAAAAGTGGTTGAACCCCTCCTGAAGAGGTATCAGGAGGTGTTCATCTCAGGCTGGTCTGATAGAGATTCAAGCACTTTCTTTTTGCTCTGACATTCTTAGTTCAGAGCTTCTATACCTGAGGTCAATCCACAGTCACTAGATGGAAGGTGAAGCGCTAATTGGCCTGTTTCAGGAAGAAGGTAGTAGAATGGTAGGTGGTCAAAATCACATGCAAACTTAACCAGTCCTCATTTTTTTTAAGTGCTTCCCCAGAAGCTTCACCAAGAAAACTTGCTATCTGTTCCATTTGTTGGAACTTAATTCCATAGCCACTTCTACCTCTAGGGAAGCCTGAAAAATGTAGCTGGGCCCATTGGCACACCAATTCTAGATTCTATTAGGAAAGCACAAAGGGAGAATGTCTATATGATGGGCAGCTGGAGTATCTACCTCATTACCCTTTCATTCAGCTGTCAAGGAGGCTGAATTGAAAGTATAAAAGATGCCACTTGAATATGTAAGAACTCCCCTGGGAGGCAGAACATGTATACATATAAATCCCATATAAGACAGAGATGAGGCAAATTATCCAAGTACAGATGACATCAGTTATAGACTCCAGTGATACCGAAGATTTCCTGGAAGAAAAGGGATTTAAGCTTTTGTTTACATGGCCTACATTCATACGTTTTAAAAAACTGTGTAACTATTTGCCATAAAATTTTCAGACGTACTGGTTGTTACATAGATGAGTGCTTTTTAATAAGTTACTTTTAAGGGATAGAGGGAGAGAGACTATGACTATTTCAATTTGGCAAATTTCAAATGTATAATTTTTAATGTTGCTTGCCTACTAAGTCATCATCTACAACAATTTCAGTCACAGTGCCCAAGACAACAGAGGTAAAAACAAAACAAACACAGAATACTGCTTCATGCAGGTGAAGTGGGTTATCTTAGAAATGACCTGAATATAATATAGATCAAAGTAACTACGCAAATGGAAAGGACCAAAATGAGTATAGAAGTGAGAGTAGGTAAGTCAATGGAATCTCAAATGGTTGCATTTTTTTTAGCGTCTTCTGCGTTATCCCCATTGCCAATGTATTTCTCTTTTGTCACTTTTTAATGCATATGCAAATTTGTATCCATTTTATGAGTGTTTAAATGAAATTGACCCACCTACCCCATTCACTGACTTGGGGGTAGTAAAAAAGGAGTAGTGAGTATTTCAGATCCATTCTTAGACTTTACCTTGGAGTCCTCTTTTTTTTATCCACATGTTTATAGAACCCTTCCATTTTATATCTTCCTGAGTTCTGATCCTTCACCTATTTAGGTTATTATAGTCCTCCTGACAGATTTTCAGGGTCTCCAGGCTCTGGCCCTTTGCAATCATATGAGCTTTGTATAAGGGATGTTATACCATAGTGATTAAAACCATGCTTCTGGTGTTAGATGGCTGAATTTCATAGTCCACCTTCACTACTTACAAGTTATGAACACTTAACCTTGGACAAACTACTCTCTTCTCAGAACTTCAATTTTCTCATTTAGAAAATGCAGCTACCCATAGTCCTTCCCTCACTGAGTTTTTGGAGAAATAATTATCAGATGGTCTCATATTCTTGAGCTTTCTCTTCAAAGCCACATATGGCAAAAGAATCCATCCATTCGGATTATGATTCTGAGAACTAATCTTTTCATCCATCTCACCTTTCTACCAGAGATTCACCAAATCAAGCATGGATATTAATGTTCTAACTACTTTTCATCGTTTATTTTACCTGAAATTCATTTTAATATTCTATCTAGCATGGCAAGTTCTGATATTGGTCAAAGAATACAAAATTTCAGTTAGGAGGAATAAGTTAAAGAGATCTATTGTACAACATAATGATTATAGTTAATAATAACATATTCCTGAACATTGCTAAGAGAATATATTAGCCTAATATTTTAAGCATTCTCACCAAAAAAGAAATGATAAGTATATGAGGTAATGTAATATGTTAATTAGCTCATTTTAGCCAATTCACAATGTATGCATATTTCAAAACAACATGCTGTACATGATAAATATACACAATTTCATTTGTCAATTAAAAATAAACTTTTTTTCTAAAAATTAAAGTTCTTTAGCACTGAACAGACTTGGAAATGGATTAGGTATGGTTCAGGTATGAGGTAGTAGGCTTTAGCTTGTCAGGTATGAGACAAAGAGGTATGAGCCCTAAGATATATTAATGACCTAATATAGTAGAGGTATCTGGGGACAAGTATAGGACATTTTGTGTGCTTGTGCATTTCTGCACATCTGCATTTCTGACTTCCCTGCTCTTTCCCAGTGTTTTCCTTAAAAAAAAAAAAAAGCTTTTGGAGAAGGCTATGATCCCACCAAGTGGTGCAGTTATGCTTTTTGAGTCTGTGGGGTTTCCCTCCTGCCCCCTTAATCTAAGAACTAAGGACTAGTCTATGAACTAATTAATAAATTGTTAAAATAGCAAAGTCTAGAAATAAAATTTCACAATTTTTTTCCCCTTTTGCTGTCTGAAAATTTTGAAAAAGTCATAGAAATATATGATGAATAAAAGAAAGCTTTTCTATATTCTCATATCTGAGTGGAGTCAAAGAACAAAATCTGTGTTTAGTTTATCATATTTGCATAAATAAAAATGTACAGCTATTGAAGATAAATTTAAATTACTGATATATCTAAAGAAAGAGTCATATTTCCCCTATTAGCCATGTAATCTAGAAATAACCATTAGTATCGTAATGTATTTTCTTCTAGGCGTTTTTATGTGATGCAGTTTATACAAGCCTGCTCAAACTCAAACTGAATGCAAATTTTTTTTTCTAATGTTAATTTAAACATAGACTATGTAGCTTTTCATATTATTGCAGAGTTTTTATGACTAAAATCTTAAAATGGTAACTATTCAGCTACTGTTGAATGTCAAGACTTTCTCAGGTTTTTTGTAATATTATAAGTAATATTGATATTAACAATTTTTCCCCCTAAGGCCAACATTCCATGTTGTCTTTCTATGATTCTTTTCTCAGTTTTTATAAATCACTAGGATGCCATTTTCACTTGAACTTTCTTAACCTTTTGACTCAATTTCTTTAGCTTATTTGCACACATGAATTATCTTTCCTAGTAGTGGTAAAAATACCTTGGAAGATTTTTTACTTCCTTAAAATATTTACCACATTCTGAAAATTCTCTAAACATTTATCAAGTAAATGTCTAAAGAAAGAGCAATTAAGAAATATAATGGTTTTACTTAGCTTTTATTTCTGGGACACGTTGTCAATGTAGTCACTTGTTTTGACAATTGCCCAGGAGGTTATATTTCCTTAAGGTTAAATGCAAAGTTGCTAAAATTAAAACATGAGTTCATTCAATGAAGGCTCATATAATTGGCAGAAGTGTTGACTTAACTAAACATTAGCCTTGGCAAAATAAATGTGAACAGGCAGCCAATTCACAAAATTGCTAATTGTTCTTATTTGACTGTGTGTTACTTGGCATTTAGTCTTTCACTATGACGTGTGTGTGTGTGTGTGTGTGTGTGTGTGTGTGTGTCTTGATAACACATGTATGTAATATTATTTGAACTTTATCTCTCTGAATTATTTCAAAAGTATAATTCATAAGTGAATTATTTTGTATTTCAATTATTTAATGGCTAGATGAGGGCATATATATATTCACATACACATATTATTTATTGATAACTAGAATATTGTTATTATGTAGTCATTTAGCCAACTAATATTTTGAAATGTAGGCTGTGAGTTTGAACACAGAACTTTTGAAATATGGTTCCTAATTTAAAACAGTGATTGATAACCAGGAATCCCCACCCTTACCCAGGGAACGTTTGATAATGCCTGAAGGCATTTTTGATTGTTATGTCTGATGGGAAACAAGTGCCACTAACATTTAGTGATTAGAAGTCAAGAATGCTAAATATCCAGTAATACACAGTACAGCTCAGACAACAAAGAATTATCTAGTCCAGTATATCAAAGTCACCGAAGTTGAGAAACCCCATCTTAAAACATCTCATAGTCTCAGAGTGTTAGACAGGCACACTTTTGTATCAATGGAATTAAGATTACAATAGGAACCAAGAATAACTATTTCTGGTAGAGATGCTAAGGAGGATGTTGTCAACTTCCCCTGGAAAAGAATGAGAGATTTGGAAGGTGATGCTGAGTCCAAGGGGCAAGGGGAAATCATTCCAGGGAGAGGCAATAGCTTGAAAAAAGTCATGAAAACATGACACTAAAAACAGCTTCATTGAGCTGGAGTTCAAAGTGGTGGTATAGAACCCTATGAAAAATAAGTCTAGACCAGTAGTAAAGGCTCAATTACCGAGAATCAGTTTTGTAAGGTAGAGTTTGGACTTTGTCCTATAGGCAAAGAAAATCCACTAAAAAGACCCATGGATTCAAAAGTATGGACTAGTTACTCTTTCTATATGTGTGTATATATATACATATATGTGTATATCTACATATATTTGTATATATACATATATATACACACACACACATATATATATTATACTTTAAGTTCTAGGGTACATGTGCACAATGTGCAGGTTTGTTACATATGTATACACGTGCCATGTTGGTGTGCTGCACCCATTAACGCGTCATTTACATTAGGTATATCTCCTAATGCTATCCCTCTTCCCTCCCCCCACCCCACAAGGGGCCCTGGCATGTGATTGTTCCCCTCTGTGTCCAAGTGTTCTCATTGTTCAATTCCCACCTATGAGTGAGAACATGCGGTGTTTGGTTTTTTGTCCTTGCGATAGTTTGCTGAGAATGATGGTTTCCAGCTTCATCCATGTCCCTACAAAGGACATGAAGTCATCATTTTTTATGGCTGCATAGTATTCCATGGTGTATATGTGCCACATTTTCTTAATCCAGTCTATCATTGATGGACATTTGGGTTGGTTCCAAGTCTTTGCTATTGTGAATAGTGCCTCAATAAACATACGTGTGTGTATGTGTCTTTATAGCAGCATGATTTATAATCCTTTGGGTATATACCCAGTAATGGGATGGCTGGGTCAAATGGTGTTTCTAGTTCTAGATCCCTGAGGAATCACCACACTGACTTCCACAGTGGTTGAACTAGTTTACAGTCCCACCAACAGTGTAAAAGTGTTCCTATTTCTCCACATCCTCTCCAGCACCTGTTGTTTCCTGACTATTTAATGATCGCCATTCTAACTGACATGAGATGGTATCTCATTGTGGTTTTGATTTGCATTTCTCTGATGGCCAGCAATGATGAGCATCTTTTCATGTGTCAGTTGGTTGCATAAATGTCTTCTTTTGAGAAGTGTCTGTTCATATCCTTTGCCCACTTGTTGATGGGGTTGTTTGGTTTTTTTTTTTTTTTTTGTAAATTTGTTTGAGTTCTTTGTAGATTCTGGATATTAGCCCTTTGTCAGATGAGTAGATTGCAAAATTTTCTCCCATTCTGTAGGTTGCCTGTTCACTCTGATGGTGGTTTCTTTTGCTGTGCAGAAGCTCTTTAGTTTAATGAGATCCCATTTGTCAATTTTGGCTTTTGTTGCCATTGCTTTTGGTATTTTAGACATGAAGTCCTTGCCCATGCCTATATCCTGAATGGTATTGCCTAGGTTTTCTTCTAGGGTTTAGAAAGAGAAGGAAAACACCACTGGCAGCCAAAAGAAAACTAGAAGCAATAAAACTGATTAGTGGCATGGATGTCAATTTGGCTAATAATTAAAACTTGCAAGTGAAAAATCCTAAGAGGCTAATCTATCTCTCTATGAGTAGGGCTTAAGGATAGCTGCTTAAGCTATGCTTAAGGCATCCGTAATGGTAAGGTAAAGGAGGCTGAGAAAGTGGGATTTGCCTCTCCACTGAAGGTAGGGATTGAGGAAAGGAAACCATTATCAATGGTTTCTAGTTTTCTGCTTTGATTATCCAGAAAGATGACAGTGCCTCATTCCAAGGTATTTCTGAGGGATTATTTGGAAAAATCATGAGTTCTCTTCTACACATTCTGAGTTTAAGCTAATGGTGGTCATGCAGTTCTATAACCCATAAAACAGGTTCACAATGGATGTATAAAACAAAAATGTTCAAAAATGAGTTACTTGAAACATTGGAAGTAGACTAGGTTTTTCAAGAAGACTATTGAAAGAGAAGACCAATCCTCTGAAAATACCAATATTTCATTGTCAAGTAGAGAAAGAGAAAACAACTTTTGCTTGTCAGAATATGTAGTCAGAGATATGATGAGGACAAGAAAAATGGCATAATGAAATAGAAAGAGCAAAAAGGACATCTGGTATTTTAAAATTAAGGCAATATAGAAAAATTTACTTCAATTAAATTATGAAAGAAATATTTTAGAAATGCTTGTACATGGTAAAAAACAAGAAACGAGAGCTTTTAGATGCTTCAGTGAAGGAGAAATTCAAGGTAAGATCAGTAATCAAAGGCACAAAACATCAGAGTTATCAGGGGGAAACAATCATTAAATGCTCGGTGTGACATTTTAATACCCTCAAGGCTGAGTGCAAGTAGAAGTTGATTGGATCTGTACTACCTGCAAGAAAACATTGAGACAGGAGATCATTCTGCTATGGCTTTGATATTAGAACTAGAAAAATTCTGACCACCAGCCATCATTTAAAATGAATCATTTTTGAGAAATTGGCCATACAAGACACTTTAAGAAAACTTGTGAGTTCCGAATTTGTATGTAGTATGAGAAGGGCAAGTTGAGAAATTAATAAAAACCTAATACAAACTCAGTGAAACTGATGACAACAGTGAAGAGGTGAATATGCAATGACACATGGTGATCGTTGCTATAGACTGGGGCTCCTGAAATGCTCCTGTATTAGTCGGCTTGGGCTGCCACAAAAGAATACCATACACTGGTTAGCTTGAAGAACAGAAAGTTATTTTCTCACAGTTCTGGAACTAGAAGTCTAAGATCCAAATGCCAACCATGTTGGTTTTTGTAAGCACCCTATTCTTGGCTTGCAGATAGTTGCCTTCTTTCTACATCCTCACATGGCCTTGTCTCTATGTGTGCACATTGTTGGTGTCTCTTCCTTTTCTTACAAGGATACCAGTGACCTGATCTCCAAATACAGTCATCTAAGAGGTTAGGCCTTCAACATATGAATTTTAGGGAGACACAAATTTTCCATAATGACCCCCATGAAGGTGACTTAAGAGTGAAATATTTAAATCCCCAATGGAAATTCATAATGAAAAGTCAGAAAATGCAACAAATAGGAGAATTTACACCCCCAGAACTAGAGATAATAGAATTGTCCAGAGGACACATTGAAATGACTGTGTTTAAACATTCAAATAGATAAAAGAAAAAAATGACCACAGACATCAGACTTGGAGAAGGACTCCAATGTTGAACTGTGGAGCTATAAGCTGTAAGATTTTGTGAGCAAATACATTTGTAAAGATGCAGTTAAGTGTAAACAAGCATTAGTGACTTGGAAATAGATCTGATTAAATTAACCAGACATGCAGCTTTACTGTGAAGAGTTAAGACAAATAAAATGACATACTACAGAAAATAAGAGAAATTATAGACAAGGAGGATAGAGACAAAAGAATCATACACTAGTTTGTTATTTGCCTGAAGCAAAAAAAGATATCAATCTTCAGAATGAGTACTACATCCACACATTGTTTAATTAAAAACAAATATTCACCTAGTTCTATTGCAGTGAAATTTCCAAACTCACACAAACAGAAAACATATTGAAAGCAATTAAGGATGAGATATCTATTGCAATCAAAGGAATGGAAATTAGAATGACAGAAGATGTCTCACAGCCGTGATGGAGACCAGATGCCCCAACAGAATGAAACTTTAAAGAGTGGATGGAAAATAATTGTTTACCTAAAATTCTACATTTAGCTAAACTTCAATTCAAGGATGAATCCAAATGGGGAAAAAATCTCATAAAAATAGTGAGAATTAGAATCTATAGATTGTCTGTCTATCTCTCTCTCTCTCTATCATTGATCTATTGATCTATCTATATGAGAATGAAAATCAGTAAGAGAAAATTGAACCTCCAACCCAAAGAAAGGGTGAGATGATAAAGAAACCCTTTCATATACATGTAAGGTTTGTCTGTGAAAAATAACATAGATAGAAAGATAGGTGATAGATAGACAGACAGACTGATATAATATATGCTACTAATTTCTTGGTAGTTTCAGGCAAGGTATTTTACAGGGCAAAAGCAAGAGAAATTAATGTGGTAAATTGGAGGAAGAAGTTCAGTGTGAATACATTCAAATGCCCTATTTGGTTAGAGAGATTAGAAATATTATTGATCAACTGTTAAGTATACATGTTAAAAATGTATAAATGTCCACAAACAGAAAAGAAAATGAATGTAAAATATTCAGACAGAAAAAGGAAGGGAAGACAGGAATAAAGAAGACTGTATCAATCCAATAGTAGAAAAACTTTGGAATGTAAAGGATACATACCAACTAAAGAATAATGGCTTTCACTCTGAGGAGAAAGGTAGAAAAATTGGGAAGGAATGCAAAGTGGACTTCAATTATTTAAACTATATCAATCTGGAAAGAAAAAAGTTCGGAGGTTAATAAAGCAAAGTCCAGGGTAGAGACACGTGGCTATAGTCCCAGCTACTTGGGAGGCTGAGATGGGAGGATCCCTTGAGTCTAGGAGTTTGAGGCTGCAGTGAGCCATGATTGTGCCACTGCATCCTGGGTCACAGAGCAAGACCCTGTCTCTGAAAAGTAAAAATAAAAGCAAAATGTAAATATTTGTTAAATCTTTGAGCAGGTGTGTTTTGTTGGTTGCAACCGTTTGGTATATTTCTGTACTTTTGGAATATGTAATTCTCATAATAACATGTTAAAAAATATACATTGGTATCAGACAAAACTGGATTCTTACCTCATATATTGTACTTACTCTATAACTTAGGTAAAGATTCCATTTCTTTAGGTTCCGTCTGCTTGATCTTAAATGTATATAATATTGCAATATTCCCTACCTTTTTAGGGTTATTTTAACTATTTGAACTATACTGATGACATAGTACTTCGGGAAAATATGTGTCCAATATATGGTAAGTGGAAGGAATAAGGAAGCAGCAACATGAAACCAAAAGAGAGAAACATTTTTCAAAAGGGGAAGGAGGTGTCTTTTGTTTCACATGCTGGTGACAGTTAAATTACTAGTCTTGCCCATTATCTTTAAATGTTAGGAGGTTATTGATGAATTTCACTTGAGCAGTCTGGCCAGAAAGATGCAAGCAGAGGACTGTGGTTGTGGGTTGAAAGGAAGGAAGGACAAATAACAAATGCTTGTACTGTGTTGTTTGAAATAAGGATACAAGGAAAAATCATGTACGTATTTATAGATGGATAAGAGAAAACAGGTGATTTTAAAATGGGAGACTGCAGATGTGGACTATTTTAAGTAGTTTGATTGTGGAGGGAAATAGGTCAGTGACTACACGTAGAGAGAAGGGTGTGTGTGTGTGTGTGTGTGTGTGTGTGTGTGTGTAATGGTAAGGATTTTAGCATGTGAACAGGCTGAATGGACCAGTAGCAAGGGGAGAGGTGAAAATACAGGAACAAAGGTAGAGCACTGATGGATCAAGGTCTTAGAAAAGACAGGAGGAGTTGGAATCAAGAACACAGATGAAAGGGTTGACTGTAAGCAAAAGAAAAAGCACTTGTTCTGAGATTAGAAAGAAGTTGAACTCTGAGTACTGACAGTGATAAGTGTCTATGTGTGAAGACAGGACATTGGGGGAGTTTACGTCTCTTAGCTTCAGATTTATCTGTAAAAGGTAGATGGCAGTGTCCTCTACTGAGAAAGAATGTGTTATTTTGGTTATCTTTGTTGTTGCTGTTTGCTTGCTTCTTTCCTGTCAAGAGTGAGGACTCAGGCATTGAAATACTCCATGAGGGATGTTTCTTTTGATGGAAAAATTGGATTCAGTCCCAATTCTCCTTTTCTAAAGAAGAGATTTTTTCTATGAACGATCATTGTTTGGTACTTCAAATCACTACACTCATCTCAGAAAGTCATGAAAGGTCCATAGAGGGGAGTGACATATAAGAGTTACTGGCCAAGGCTTTTGGGAAATAAACAGGAACCAAGACTCCACATTTCCATGTCCTCTGCAAAATCAGCTTTCCAAAAATAGACTCGTACAAGCTATAGTCACAGTTGAATGTCATGTTTCTATTATTGCAATGACATAAAATCATTAAACCACTGCTAGTAGTAAAAGCAGTCATGTCTAGTAATAGAACTGCTCTTTGTCCATTCAAAGAGAATTGCATTTTAAATGACACATGGTGAGCTATGTCCTGTTGAGGTGAGTGGCATGGACTGAGGTTTGACTTCCACCACAATTCATTAAATATCCTCCTGTGATAGTTCTCTGCAGTACCCAGGCTCTCAGTTCTGAATAGTGGTGTCAAACCGGCTGGCATGTCATAGGCTTAAGACACAGAAAAGTTTCCAATTTGTTGGGGACCATCTGTTAAATTTTTTGTTTCCTATATTTAAGTTAACTGAAAAAAGATCAAATATTCTTTTTTACCTTACTTTAAAAAATGTTTATATATGATAGAAACAAAAAAATATATATAAATAAAATAAAGACAGGGTCTTACTATGTTGCCCAGGCTAGTCTCGAACTCCTGGGCTCAAGCAATCCTCTCACCTTGGCCTCCCAAAGTGCTGGGATTACAGGTGTGAGCCATTGGGCCTGGCCCAAATATTCTTAATATGGAGACTCAATAAAACTCCCTTAGTCTCTCAAGATTTTTTAAAATATTTTTTTCTAATTTTTGTGGGCATATAGAAGGTATATATTTTTATTGGGTACATGAGATGTTTTGATACAGGCATGCAATGTGTAATAATCACATCATGGAAAATGGGGTATCCACCTTCTCAAGGATTTATCCTTTGTGTTACAAACAATCCAGTTTGTAACTCTTTTAGTTATTTTAAAATATACAGTTAAATTATTATGGACTATAGTCACCCTGTTGTGCTATCAAATACTAGGCCATATTCATTCATTCTAATTTTTTGTACCCATTAACCATCCCCATGTTCTTCCTACCCCCGTACATCTTCCTCCTACCCGGCCTCCCCAACCTCTGGTAACCATCCTTCTACTCTCTATCCTCATGTGTTCAAAATGTTTTGATTTGTAGATCCCACAGATAAATGAGAACGTGTGATGTTTGTCTTTCTGTGTTTGGCTTATTTCAGTTAACATAATATCCTCCAGTTCCATCCATGTTGTTGCAAATTACTGAATCTCATTCTTTTTATGGCTGAATAGTACTCCATTGCATATAAGTACCACATTTTCTTTATCTATTCATCTGTTGATGGACACTTAGGGTGCTTCCTAATCTTGGCTATTGTAAACAGAGCTGTATCAAGTTTCCTTTTCTAGACTACTCTTCACATCATGTACACCATACAAGAAGAATTTTTGAATACCTTATATGATTCAGGCACATCATCTCAGTTAATCCCACATAGAATCCAATGAGAGAATTATAGCCATAGGCTAATGAGTACGTTGACATTTCAAGATTGAATACAGTATTTCCAAAACCAACTGGGATACAAATTCATGTCTGAATTAAACAAATGTGATTAAAGGAGTCATTGGATCAAATGTCTTTTCTAAGTTCTAAACCTATTAAGAAGGGGACAAGGAAGTTTTGACTTCCTTAGGAATTCAAATATCACCTTTATTATCAGTAAGACTGTATTGATAAATATACTCTCTATATGAGGCCAAAACACACTGTACATTAGGCCAATATTATCACCCTAAAACTGGCCTCTTGGATGAGAATTGTAGTTACAGAGCTAATAAATTGCATCAAGAAGTGAAGCCTACCTCTCACCTTTCATGAGTGAATGGTATAGATGCATTAGTCCCGTAAAATAAGTCATTTCTCTTATTGGCAATGAAATAGTGAGGGGTGCAGGGATTGGTTTCTATCAAATACCTTCAAGGGAGGTAGAGGTTGGTCAGTAAAAAGAACAGATGATTCCCTCTAAACGTGGCTTTTTCCACGGCAGGTAATTCTCTCTTATTAATTTAATCCACTTAAGTGTTTTATCTTCTCTTTTACATTATGAGCTTCTTAAGTCACAAAAGTATTGATTAAACCAGGACAAAAAACCAGGCAGCTAACACACTAGGAATTATGAAAAAGCATTATATTGGTGGATTTCACTGTGATAGGAAACAGAGTATAATTTTCCATTGTACTTTGGGGCAGCACACAGAGATGGAATAAATCAAGCACTGGCCTCCAGAAGGCTTTAAGAAACTAATTGGGAAAGCAACAGCTCTTCCCCTGGCATGATTAAGAGATGATATCCATCAACTACGTGTATGGCACAGTTTTGTCTCCAAGTCCTGTTCTGCCAACTGGACATCCAATAGTTTGGGGAACACAAGCCCATTCTCTGGCAGAGTCAATGGGTTCATGTCTAAGCCTCAGAGTTCCAGCTCTTTAACATGCTTGAACATGGCTTAATCTGCCATCTCAGCCTTTACTAGAATTGGTTGCCTTAAGACATTTTTTTGTAGCTATTTTTCCAGGCAATCTGCAGGCAGAAAGCTCCTTCTTTGGGAGACTAGCATGTGAGCATGTAGGGAGTAAGTTTTGGACAAGACAATTTGTACTTCTCCATATTGACCTGATTATATCTTATCTCACCATCATACTTAGCACAGTGTCTTGCAATATGTAACTGTTGAATAAAGGAGATAATGTATTGATGGATGAATGAATGAATAAATAATTGTGTAGAGAAAACTATAGCCACTAAGACTGTCTTTTCTTCATGCCATTCCTCCAGAGTTCTTATTTTCAAGAAGGTGCAAACAGATACCTAGGCACCAATTAGAAGTCTGCTTCTCAGTAAAAGTCTAAGTTCCTTTTATGTGCTAAATTTCTCTTCTCTGATTTGAAACTCAGAACCTTTCAGCCATCAAATAAACCTCACATCAACGATGGAGTCATAGCCTATAGAACAATGACTCTCTATGTCTCTTAATGAAAGACCTCAGGTTTATTTTTTATTTCTTTTTGAAATATGATAAAATCCCCTATATGTATTGAAAAATCCCCTTGAATTAAATAATAAATTGTAATCATAGCTAGCGTTTTTTAATGTTCACTCTGTGCCAGTGCTCTGATAAATACTTGACATAGATTATCTCATTTAATCCTTACAGAAACCAAATGAAGTGTTTACTGTCATTATCCGTATTTGATGAAGAGGATACTGAGGCTCAAAGAGAATTAATAATTTGTTCAAGACCGTCTAATGTGGAGTAATCAAGAGTGAATGCCCTGAAAGTACACACCCCAGCCTGGACCAGCATTCTTTTTTTTTTTTTTTTTTTTTTTTTTGAGAGGAAAAACTACAGAGACAGAGTAGCAGCAGGTGAGCCACTTTCTCCATACCAGTTGTACAAGGATCTGGTGGGCAAATGTCTGTCATGGGAGAGGCTCCAGTCTTGAGATGTGGGGCTTATAAGCTGCCTGGTTACAGAAGCATGAGACCTTCCCCTGGGATAGATTGGGGCCAAGGTCAAAACTTTGTTGTTACAGTTCTGTGATGTACAAGAATTGTGACTTCTATCCCTGATCTTCCACCGCAGCATTTATAACAGAGAGCTCAGTAACCCATCCCTTGGTGAGATCGGAGTCCAGGGCCCAAGTCTCATGTTTGTTGTCATATGGTGTTGGGGATTCTTGGCCCTCAGCCCTGTCCATTTCATTGGCATCCTATCAGATGTCTGACTTGAGTACTCAGTTGTTGCCAGTTTTTCTATCTTCTGCATTTTAGTTTTCAAATGAGCCTGCTCTTTGGGGGAGAGGAAGTGTCAGCTGTCTGTATGGAAAGTCAGCCTGCTGGGTCTCCAGCCCAGGCAGAGTAACCCTTGCCTATCACCAGCTGTTAAGTGATAGAACCTTTATTCAAGTGCCACAGTATGATGCCAGAGTGCCCAGTCTTAAGTGATTTTCAATAAGAAGAGGATTTAACCAACCATATGTACATTTCAAGTAGAATCGTAATCTACAGTACCTACTTTTGCTATTGTGTGTTTTTGTCTCTTGTTGCTAGTTGATCATTTGAAATACTTATATATCAAGCTCCTATTTCTAGCCCATGTAATTCACCATTCTTCTACTCTCTGCTCCCTTAGAAGGTGAGATTTTATTTGGTTGTGAAACATCCAAAGATATGTTGTTAGCCATGAGATTGATATGCTTATTCACTGGGATGTGTGTTGGAGTGGATAGTTCTTAAGATGTAGCGTGCCCTAGAAGAAGAAATAAGTACAAATTCAGGCTTTGCATTCTGTCCTCTGTGTGGGTATTTATAGGAGATTCTAAAACTAGAACTAATGATGTTAGGAATTTGTCTCTATGCCAGTTGAGCTCTATGGTTTCTTGTGTGGAATTCTATTTGTATATCTTGCAAGTATAAATTTATTCTTTCCAATATTTCCCATTTGAAATGTATAGATTTATAAACTTTAACAATATAGAATGTCTTTATCCAGTCAATCATTGATGGGCATTTAGGTTGATTCCATATCTTTACTATTGTAAATAGTGATACAATGAACTTATTCCTGCATATGTCTTTATAATAGAATGATTTATACTCCTTTGGGTATATAGCTAGTAATGGGATTGCTGGGTCAAATGGTATTTATGTCTTTATGTCTTTGAGGAATTGCCACACTGTCTTCCACAATGGCTAAACTAATTTACACTCCCATAAACAGTGATAAGATTTTCTTTTTCTCTACAACCTTGCCAGCATCTGCTATTTTTTGACTTTGTAATAATAGCCATTCTGACTGGTGTTAAATGGTATCTCATCGTGTTTTGATTTTCATTTCTCTAATAATCAGTGATATTGAGGTTTTTTTTTTTTTTCATATGATGGTTGGCCGCACATATGTCTTCTTTTGAAAAGTGTCTGTTCATGTCCTTTGCCCACTTTTTTATGAGGTTGTTTTTTGTAAATTTGTTTGGGCACATTAGGGGAACAACACACACTGGGTCCTTTCGGAAGGTGGAGGGTCGGAAGAGGAAGCAGATCAGAAAAAATAACTAATGGGTACTAGGCTTAATACCTGGGTGACAAAATAATTTGTACCACAAACCTCCATTACACAAGTTTACCTATGTAACAAACTTACATTTGTACCCCCGAACTTAAAATAAAAGTTAAGTAAATAAATAAATACAGAATATCTTGAACCAAGAGAAATCATCAGTAATTTAATAGTAGTAACATCTTTAACTCAAGTTCACAAAGTCAGAGACGTAATCTGTTTTATTCATTTCTATATATTCCCAGTGCATAGACACTGGCCTAGAACAAAGTAGTTGTTAAATGAATTCTTGTTATTTGAATAAATAAACCAATATATGACTTCTGATGAAAAATTACCCATTAAATCATCTCAATTTTCTTGGGATATCAACATATCTGCTTTTAGTTATGTTTATTAAATTAGATAAATATGAGATGGGAAAAGTGATCATCTTTTCTTGTGTTTCCACACAAATCATTTTTTTCTCAGTGAAATAGACAATATATTCTAAGTAAAATTCTTTAAAATCTTGTGATTGGAAGTACTTTCAGACGTGTAGAATTGTGTGTGTGTGTGTGTGTGTGTGTGTGTATGTCTGTGTGTTTAATATTGGAGGATAATTATTTGAAAAAAAAAAAGCTGTTTTCTAGAGATTATCCACTATTTTGGATAACACCCCCCCGCCAAAAAAAGTTGAATGTTGCACAGCAGATAACCAGAGAGATTCCTATTTTCATAACTCTCCCTTGGAGAGGGGTATTTCATATTGTTTAAGAGCATGAGCCCTTCCTTACTAGTTGTATGTCCTTGAAAAACTTCCTTCTTATTCTTATGTCTTGTTTCCTCATTGACAGAAAGAAAATAATAATAGTTTTCACTTTGGTATAACAATCAGTGAGTTAGTACATGTAAAGCCATGTAGAGCATGCCTGGTACAAAGTAAGCTCTCAAGAAACATTATTATTACTATTATTCCTGTCTCCTAATGCATAAAAAACCTCACCTTCCTCAGGCAATTTATACAAGTCAGGAATAGTATAAACTCTGATTTTAACTTTCATATTTAGTGATCTTAGAGAGTCTTCAAGGGGCTCCCTACTAGCCTTTTAATTTTAAAAAATTCCAGGTCAAATAATACAAAAACACATATAGGTCCCTATGATGCCTGTTCTGTCTTACTGAAACTGGGCTTTCTGGAATCCCTTCAATTATCCTTCATGTGTCTTCAGATTCTGAGAATGCTCAGGCTTCCTTTGTAGTATTTTTAAAACTGGTACTAGCCTCTGTCTGGCATGTGCAGTAGATGAGGGAACATTCTACTTTTTCTGAATAAAATTATTTATTCAGAATTGCATCTCTGAAACTTCATCTGGTTCATCCCCTGCACACAAACGTGATTGAGCAGAGGGAGCTGAATAAGGTCAACACCGGGTGATTTTCCCAACTAAAATTTCTAATCTATTGTTGTAGGCACAGGGCTAAACCACAGTGTGTGATGGTCCTGCTAGAGAAAAAAGAAAAAGTGCCATAGCAAATAAATGGAAATTCCTTCAGGCGATAGAAAATGTGGCAGCTCTAAATACAGCTACACCTTTATGTAGGAACACACAGAAACACTTGACTGGACTTCAAGAATGTGTGAAGATTTCTTCAGTTTTAGTTGAAGGCAGTCTTCCGATATGGGCTTCTGTAAACTTCCTCTCTTACTCTTTTTGTTTTCCTGGCCCTTATGCATTTGACTTTCTTCCCAATGACCCGCTCTCTGACTTTCTTTAGATAATTTGAAAATACTGACTGTGCAGATGCCAAGGGTGAAAAGTATCTTCATCCTCACTGAACTGCACATAGCAACTCTCTTTTCTCATCCCCAGAGGAATTTTTGTAATTTTGTTGGGAGTACTTGTGTCTGTACTATAATGTCTACAGAAAAGAATAATGAACGAATCTACCCATAATTAACTACATTTTAATGGGCTTCGATAAGAAGTCAGCTCACCCCAGTCTCAAAAATGAAAACAAAACAAAGAAAATTTGACTTAATAAGTGACATATGCGGCCGGGCGCGGTGGCTCAAGCCTGTAATCCCAGCACTTTGGGAGGCCGAGGTGGGCGGATCATGAGGTCAGGAGATTGAGACCATCCTGGCTAACACAGTGAAACCCCGTCTCTACTAAAAACACACACAAAAATTTAGCCGGGCGTGGTGGCAGGCGCCTGTAGTCCCAGCTACTCTGGAGGCTGAGGCAGGAGAATGGCGTGAATTCAGGAGGCGGAGCTTGCTGTGAGCCGAGATCGCAACACTGCACTCCAGTCTGGGCGACACAGCAAGACTCCGTCTCAAAAAAAAAAAAAAAAAAAAAATGACATATGCATATGCATATGAAAGTTAAGATGATTTGGGGTAATAGTAATATGTTGAAAACAACATAGAATCTATTATTATTCTTTAAACTTTTTTGACCAATGGCTTTCTGAGCATATAGCTAAAGAACTCTATCCTTAGAAAATACACATAAAGTAGACATCTACAAAATTTTTTGAAGATAATTTTCACAGATATATTGTATGAAGCCTATTGCTATATTCTACATTAATATATAAAATTCACATTAAAAGCCCTGCCTTAGCTCAGGCGGTTGCCAGACTGTTGCATCACAGGGTCAGGTGCAGTGAGTGCATCACAGGTGTGCTGAGATTATTACCTATTTCTGTCTTTAAGGCAGCAAGGCAGAATCAAAGGTAACTAGAATGGAGGGGTTTGTTTCTTCTCATTGTAAAAAAGCAGGAAAGTTTTCCCCAGTAAACCATAGATATGTGATCACTTTCTATATGATTCTTAAGTAAAGTAAGTTGAACATACTGACAAGGATTGTTCACTTATTTTTGCAGTGGATATTTATTGACTGTCTCCTCTTAACTATGCACTATACACTGTGTTAGATATGGGTGAAGTAACAAAGGTGACTAAAGTTTTTTTTTTTTTTTGGTGACCTTGAGGAAGTCATAGTCTGTAAGGGAAAACACATACCCAAATAATTAAGTATAATACCACATGCCGTATGTGTAGACCTATGGAAGCAAAGAGGAGAGTAGGCCTCATTTTATTTGGATGAGAACACATATCACCAAAATAACATTTAATTAAACTTTGCAGGCTAAGTGGAATTCACTAAGAAGATTATGTGTGCTAGGATTATTTTTCCTATAGATATTTTTCTACAACATTTTTAATGGTTGCATACTATTCTATTGTGTGAACATAATGCAATTTAGTTTTTAAATTTTTTTAATGCAGGGTAGAAGTGCAATATTGCTACATCAATTTATTGCATTGTAATGAAGTCAGGGTCTTTAACATATTCATCACAGAAGCAATGCACATTGCAGCCAACAAGCAACCTCCCATCATCCACCCCCACCATCTCCCAACACAATTAATTTAATCAAGTCTTTTTCATCACTAGTTCATTCCAATTTTTGGCACTATAGCCAATATTAAGATTCTTATAGCTAAGTCATAGTACATGTTCTTTATTCTATTTTTAGAATACAATTCTAAACAAAATTACTGGTTCAAAGGACCACACCATTTTTAAAGCCTAAATACTTTTTCTCAAGTTAGCATTATTGAAAAGCAGGGATTTGTGTTCAGATAGACTTCAGTATAAAATATAAACATTTATTTTCTTGTTTGACCTTGGGCAAGTTGCTTAAGGGGTATTCCTCTTGGTTTCTTTATTTTTAAAGTATTCAGATAATATGTATATTGAAGTCCTGCTTTAAAAATTATAGTGGAGATTAATATTTATTGAAGCTTCTATGTATTTTGATTTGACAATAGTTACCAGATAGTTGCTAAATACTAGAAAGAAAATTCAAGTGTTCCATTTTAAGTTAGTGTCATTAAGTAATTTCTAACAGAACATGGGCACTGTCTGAAGAACTACGCGGTGTTGTTATAGTCCATTCATTATATGGCCAAAATTTTGGAAATCCAAACTCACTGTCCATATAAATCATTTTAAAATTGATGGGCTGTGTTCAGAAATTTGGCCTGAAAAATAGGGATGTTGTAGTATCAGATGAAGAGATAAAAATCTGGAATAAAATTTGTATTCTTCCACTCATGACCCGTTTCTTTTAATCTCTCAGAGCCTTGGTCATATCATCTAAAAAAAAGAGCATAAGTTTGAATATTCTTTCAGCTTTAAAGAATCAAGTGAGCAATATAAATTAAAAACATAGATAGGTATCTAAATTGTTTTTCTTTTATAGTTTATTATTTTTAGTTTTTGAATTCACTCTGAATCTTTTTACTTATTGAGAAAGAGGAGATCATGCAAAATCTACACTTTTCTCATACTTGTCAGTGTATTATATTTTTCACACTATATTGATGTGGGGCATTAACTTGAAGAATCTGGATTTATTTTTGAACTCCTGTCAGCACTCCATAATTAACATTGCCCAGAAGAGAAATGCTATTTTGCCTCCTGCATCATCAACACAACTGTCAGCAAATAAGGAAGGCATCGTCTTTACCATTGTTGCTGCTATGTATGAAGCAGAAAAGAACAGCTGGATTTTCACACACTGGGCTGTTAGAAAAGCTAGCAGTTAGTGAAATCTATTTTCAGTTTCTACCTACCTTTTTTTTTTTTTTTACTTAAGAATGTAATTAAAGAGAAAAATGTCATTTTTATCCTGAAGTCTATTTTTAAACTCTTAATTTGGGACATTTACTGTTCTCAAAGTTGTTTATCTCAATGTCGTTTTTCTTTCTTGACATTAAAATGCAAAGTTAATGTTGATTGCATAGCGGTCATTTCACTTATCCACTCACCGCTCTATTGTGTCTGTGTCCTAAATTCCCTGTAATGTTTCAGATCTTTCTCTGTTCTTCAATTTTGTTTAAATTTACAATGGTGATGGGTAAATGAGCCTGTTTTAAAATGAACAGTTGCAACAGTTGCAAGGACTAAGTCTTGCTGCAATAAAAGGGCAATGTCATAGCTCAGACATTTGCTTCTTTAAGAAGGTAAAATATCTGTAGCCTTCACAGTTACAGTGTGCCAAAATTAGGTAATGTAAGAAACCTTTATTAAATAAGGTTTTGTGTTTGTGTATGTGTGTGCTTTGTTTCAACTGCATACGAGGTAGGCTTGAGAACGAAGCAGCCACTTTGGAAAGCAGTTCAGCAGTTCCTCAAAATGTTAAATGTAGAGTTAGCATAGGCCAGGCATTCTACTCCTAAGCATATGTCCCCCAAAATGAAAACATAGGTCCACACAAAAACTTATACATAAATGTTTATGGCAGCATCATTTATAATAGCCCCAAAGTGGAAATAACTCAAATTTCTATCGAGAGATGAATGGATATACAAAATATGATACATCTATACAATAGAAAGTACTGATACAGGCTATAGCATGGATCAAATGTAAAAATATTATACTCAGTGAAAGAAGCCAGAGACAAAAGGCTACATATTATTATTCCATTTGTAAGAAATGCCAAACATAGGTAAATTCACAGAAATAAAAAAGTAGATTAGTGGTTTTCAGGGTTAGGAGCCAAGGAGATTGTGGAAACATCGTCAATGTGGATGGAATTTTTTTTTTTTTTTTTTTTTTTGAGATGGAATTGCACTCTGTCACCCAGGCTGGAGTGCAGTGGTATGATCTCAGCTCACTGCAACCTTCTGCTCATGGGTTCAAGCAATTCTTGTGCCTCAGCCTCCCGAGTAGCTGGGATCACAGGCGTGCACCACCACGTCCAGCTACTTTTTGTATTTTTAGTAGAGGCAGGGTTTCACCATGTTGGCCAGGCTGGTCTTGAATTTATGACCTCAGGTGATCCACCCACCTTGGCCTCCCAACGTGCTGGGGTTACAGACGTGAGCCACTACTCCTGGCCAGTTTTTTAAAAAATTTTTTTCAATTGATAGTATGTTCTAAAATTAGATATGGGTGATTATTGCACAATTCTGTAAAGTTACTAAAAACCACTGAACTTTACACTTAGAAAGTGTGATTTTTTTGCATATAAATTATATCTCAGTAAACCTGTTATACAAAATGTGATATATATATATATATATATATATACATGAATAAAAAATAGAAATTGAGAATGAACATAGGAAATGAAGGGGAAAATTATGACTAAACAATTCATCATAAGCTCTTCATGTTAAACATTCTTTATAAACATTTCTATTTTTAATGACTTCAGAGTATATTTTAGCTAAGTGAACCACAATTTACTTAAGCATTTATTTATATATACATATATATAATATATATATACACACACACATATATATACACACATATATATATGTGTGTATATATATATATATATTTTATTTTTGAGATGGAGTCTGGCTCTGTCGCCCAGGCTGGAGTGCAGTGGCGTGATCTCGGCTCACTGCAAGCTCCTCCTCCTGGGTTTAAGCCATTCTCCTGCCTCAGCCTGCCGAGTAGCTGGGACTACAGGCGCCCGCCACCACGCCCGGCTAATTTTTTTTTTTTTTTTTTTTTTTTTGTATTTTTAGTAGAGACGGGGTTTCACGGTGTTAGCCAGGTTAGTCTCGATCTCCTGACCTCGTGATCCACCCGCCTTGGCCTCCCAAAATGCTAGGATTACAGGCGTGAGCCATCGCGCCTGCATTTATATTTTTAAGTGTAGGTAGTTGCCAGCCATTGTTATACGTTTTTTCTCTTTTTCATTTTTATTGTTTAAGAACCAGGCAAGGTGTTTGTGGCCATTGACACACATCTGATCAGTTTTCTAGGACCTGGAAGTGTACTTCAGGGAGTCACTAGCACCTGGCAGCCTGGCAACAGTAGAGGTTATTTTCTTCTCACTTGGGTCACTGCTGTTGTCATAACTCATTCTGAGTAGACTGCCAATGGTGATTGAAGATGTCCTTCATATTCTTCTTATTTGGAGGGAAGTGTGGCTGTCCATATTTTTCTGATTGAAAACAGATTTCAAGGCTTCTCCTAGCTAAATATGGCAGGCAAGTATTTCACAGACTTGCAGATGACAAATTCTGACAGACCAGAATAGGAAAATGGGAAAACAGCTTAGTTCAAAAGCTTCATGTGTCTTTTTACTAATGAAAGATTTAGTACTTTAAAGGATATTATAATGAGATCAAATCAAATTTATAGCAGAATGAACAAATGAGAATAACAAATGGAGGTCAAAATGTGAGTTCTATATTGCACCAGTTGGATCTGCAAGGAAGGAACTTAATGTAAGTTGATGTGTGATTGTTCCAGTTTTAAAAGAATGTAATTCAGTCTATGTCTGATTTCATTAAGGATGTTGGGATAGCCCTGGAGTAATTCAAAGAGAAGATAAATGTAAAGGGTGCTGAGTGTGTGTATGGAAGTGCATATTTACCCTGCACTTTATCTGTTATAACATGCATGGATCTATCAACTCTCTAACATGTGATGTCTGTTATGATTTAATCTTGTATAAGTTTGAGAGCTAGAAACTTTCCTGCTCAAAAAACGTAATGTGATCACTCTAAATTTGTAGCACTAAATCTTTTGCTGTGACCCATTCACTATGTGGTAGAGAAGATTCAACGAGTAAACCTAGACATACAGTTATATTACCTGTTGGTTAGTGATGGATGCTTAAAGTACATTAAAACGAGTTTGCTAACACTTTTTCTGTCACTTTTCATCTCTTCAGCCCCACAGCTACTTATAAAAGGAAGACGTTTGTCTGAGAAAAGGTCCCCAGGTGGGCATTAATGTCCATTTCTCCGCATAATTTTACACAAAATAAATATGATCATAGGACTTGTTATATTATCACATCATTTCATGGAGTAATTAACATATACCCCATAATAAACCTATTAGAAATGTTTATACTGTTTAGTTTATAACATGTGGGAATTGACATTCAGAGTGATTTTAACTTTTTAGTAACCAAAGTATAAACACAAGAACTGAGAAAGGAAGTAAGAAAATCAAATAACTTTCATGATGCCCCTATTCTAGCACTATTGTAGAAACTTCTAATATGTTAGCATATTTAATCCTCCAAAAATCATAGGAGGCAAACTTTATTACCTTTATTACACAGAGAAGGAAACAAAAGGTCCCAGGTCATAAACCTACTTCTTAGCAGAACAAAGATTGAATTCAGTGTAACAACTTTTTAAAGCCTTTACGATTTACCTTAGCCATGTGTTTCAATGTGTTAGGTACATGGAATCAACCTAAATGCCCATCAGTAATAGACTAGATGAAGAAAATGTGGCACATATATACACCATGGAATACTATGCAGCCATGAAAAGGAATGAGATCATGTCCTTTGCAGGGACATAAATGGAGCTCAATATCATGTCCTTTGCAGGGACATAAGTGGAGCTTCGATAAATGGAAGCTATTATTCTCAGCAAAGTACTGCAGGGACAGGAAACCAAACACTGGATGTTCTCACTTATAAGTGGGAGCTGAATGGTGAGAACACATGGACACACTGGGGCCTGTTGAGGGGAGGGGTGGGAAGAAGGAGAACATCAGAAAGACTAGCTAATGTATGCTGAGCTTAATACCTAAGCGATGGATTGATCTGTGCAGCAAACCACCATGGCACATGCCATGGCACATGTTTACCTATGTAACAAACCTGCACATCATGCACATGTACCCCTGAACTTAAAAACAGAAGTTGAAGCAAAAAGCAATTTTAAAAGGTGTTGTGTTTAAGCATAATCAGATTATTGGAAAGATATTCAGCTTTACCTTTTGTTATGAAAGTTGAATCATCACTGTCTTGCAGCCTTGATTAATTTCTTAACACAGTAGCTATCTTTACATTTTATTTTCTTTACACGTATTTTCAAAACATTATATAGCTCACTGGGAAAGCCCAAGATAAAAATAATATTGATTAGGAAAAAAAGTTGTTGTGAAAAGGAAGACTATGCCTTCTTCAAACTTTCAATATTGTCTCTGATGCCAGGACCTTATAACTTCTTCCCCATTCCCCTCCACTCCTCACAGTCACACACTTTGTATACATCTTAAATAAACTAAACAAACAAAAATATAAAGATTAGTTGGCCTCGATCATTAAAAAGTCAGGAAATAACAGGTGCTGGAGAGGATGTGGAGAAATAGGAACACTTTTACACTGTTGGTGGGACTGTAAACTAGTTCAACCATTGTGGAAGATAGTGTGGCGGTTCCTCAGGGATCTAGAACTAGAAATACCATTTGACCCAGCCATCCCATTACTGGGTATATACCCAAAGGAATATAAATCATGCTGCTATAAAGACACATGAGCACGTATGTTTATTGCGGCTCTACTCACAATAGCAAAGACTTGGAACCAACCCAAATATCCAACAATCATAGACTGGATTAAGAAAATGTGGCACATATACACCATGGAATACTATGCAGCCATAATAAAATGATGACTTCATGTCCTTTGTAGGGACACGGGTGAAGCTGGAAACCATCATTCTCAGCCAACTATCACAAGGACAAAAAACCAAACACTGCATGTTCTCACACATAGGTGGGAATTGAACAATGAGAACACTTGGATACAGGAAGGGGAACATCACACACTGGGGCCTGTTGTGGGATGGGGGGCAGGGGGAGGGATAGCATTAGGAGACATACCTAATGTAAACGATGAGTTAATGGGTGAAGCACACCAACATGGCACGTGTATACATATATAACAAACCTGCAAGTTGTGCACATGTACCCTAGAACTTAAAGTATAATACAAAAATAAAAATAAATGAATAAAAAAAGATTAGTTGGCCTCTTTGCAATTGGGGAGATTGTATGGATTCCATAGCATTCACTAGGGGATGATGGCAGTCTGCTCTTCACCCTGCCATGGAGTAATTCATAAAAATTTTATAACTCCTCTTATTAGAATACCATCTCCAGTCTTTTCTAAATATAGCTTCTTTCTATCATTTAAACCAGGGGGCCCCAACTCCTGGGGCCACAGACTTGTACTGGTTCATGGCCTGTTAGGAACTAGGCCGCACAGCAGGAGGTGTGTGACAGGCAAGTGAGCATTGCTGCCAGAGCTCTGCCTCCTGTCAGATCAGCTGTGCCATTAGATTCTTATAGGAGGGCCAACCGTACTGTGAACTGCATATGTGAGGGATCTAGGTTGCATGCTCCTTATGAGACTCTAACTAATGCCCAATGATCTGAGGTGAAGCAGTTTTATCCCCAAACCATCCACTCCCAACCCCCATCAGTGGAAGAATTACCTTCCCTGAAATCAGTCCCTGGTACCAAAAAGATTGGGGACTGCTGATTTAAATGTATGTGAATGATAAACTGTGAAGTTCAGTTTCTTTCCACAGACTTTGAAGCTCTTTGGCTTCTGTTTTGGCTCTGTTCTTAGGCTAGTTTATTGAAGGGCAGAGAAATAGATGCCGACAATATCTGGATTTAGAGCCTTATGTTCATATTCAGGTACTAGATATCTTTACCAAGCCATGGCCCACAATAACCATTATGACCAAAGGATCATTGTATTAGTCCATTTTCATGCTGTTGATAAAGACATACCCAAGACTGGGTAATTTATAAAGAAAAAGAGGTTTAATGGACTCACAGTTCAGTGTGGCTGGGGAGGGCTCACAATCATGGCAGAAAGAGAAAGCCATGTCTTACATGGTGGCAGGCAAGAGAGGATGAGAGGCAAACGAAAGGAGAAAACCCTTGTAAAACCATCAGATCTCGCGAGACTTATTCAAGACCAGGAGAACAGTATGGGGAAAACCGCCCCCATGATTCAGTTATCTCCCACAGGTCCCTCCCACAACATGTGGGAATTATGAGAGCTACAATTCAAGATGAGATTTGGGTGAAGACACACTCAAACCATATCAGTTATAATGGTACTATGGGTTGGTGTTTGTCTCCTTGGGCTACTGTAACAAAATACCACAGACTGGGTGGCTTAACAGAAATTTATTTATATTCTCACAGTTCTGGAGGCTGGAAATCAAAAACCAAGGTGCCAACAGGGTTGGTTTCAAGTGAGGCCTCTCTTTCTGGCTTGCAGACACCTGCTTCCTCACTGAATCCTCACGTGGCGTTTCCTCTATGTGCATGCAGAGAGAGAGAGAATATCTGGTGTCTCTTAGTCTCCCTACAGTGACACGAGTCCTATCTGATTGAAGCCCCACTCTTAAGACAACTTTTAACCTTAATTACCCCCTTTTAAACCCTATTACTAGATATAGTCATATTGTGGGTTAAGGCTTCAATACATGAATTCTGGGAGGACGCAATTCAGTCCAAAACATTTTACCTTCTGTCGTCCCAGAATTTATGCTCCTCTTGCATGCAAAATACATTCACCCCCTCCCAACAGTCCAAAAAGTCTTGTTCCATTCTAGCATCAATTCCAAATCCAAAGTCTTTTTTTCTCTTTAATTTTTTTTTTTTTTTGAGACAGAGTCTCACTCTGTTGCCCAGGCTGGAGTGCAGTGGTGCAATCTCAGCTCACTGCAACCTCAGCCTCCCAGGTTCAAGGGATTCCCCTGCCTCAGCTTCCCGAGTAGCTGGGATTACAGGCGCCCAGCTAATTCTAAATCCAAAATCTTATCTAAATCAAATATATATTAGACCTGAGGTATGATTCATACTAATAATCCTCTCCTACTGTGAACCTGTGAAACTACGGGTTTTGTGCTTCTAAAATACAACGGTGAGACTGGAATAATTTAGACAATCACATTCCCAAAGGGAGAAATCAGAAAGAAGAAAGGGTGGCAGGTCCCAAACAAGTCAAAAATCTAGCAAGGCAAATTTCATTTGATCTTTACAAATAATTAATATATATTTAATATTTATGTATATTTAATATTAGTATATATTTAATATTTTAACTTTTATTTTAGGTTCAGGGATACATGTGCAGGTTGGTTATATAGGTAAACTTGTGACTCAGCGGTTTAGTGTACAGATTATCATCACCAAAACACTATGCTTAGTACCTAACGGGTTTTTTTTTTTTTCTTTCTGAACCTCTTCCTCCTCCCACCTTTCCCCTTCAAATAGGCCCCTATGTCTGTTCGTTTGCTCTTAAGGCTTGAGAATAATCCTCTCTGGCTGGCCTCTCTGCACTCCAAACCCACGGGGGTTGCAGCAGCCCCACCTTCTCAGCTCTCCATGGTGACCCTGCACCCTCAGTTCTGTGGGGTGCCCTACCCCCAGGACCCTGAGCAGTGGCCTTGTCCTTGAGGCACTGGCCAGTGCGTCATCCTGGCCCACTAAAACCAAGGAGGTGGCTCCATCCTCTGAAGCTGAGGAGAAAACAGACTTGTCTGCTTGGTTTATGGTAGGAATAGCAGCCCAGATGATCTCTGAATTGTCTTTGGGACCATTCTTCTATTTTCTTGTAGAGAAGCACATGTTCCCAATCAGGTAGCCCTGTTGTCCCATCCTGTAGGATCTCTGAGGCCTGACAGCTTTCTTTTATTCTGTTGCATTGTTTCTACTCCTGATAGCCCCTGTGGGAAGTATTTCTGCTGGTATAATCCCATTGCTATTTCTGTCTTCAGTTAAGACAGCTGATTAAATTCTGTGGGTAATCCTTTAGAGAGTGATTTATGAATTGTCCAGCCTCATCCTATGTGTTTCATCCAGAGCACACTTTCTCATTTTTTGGCAACATGCACAGGCAGAGAATTATTCAAATCTTCAAGTCCTGTTTTCTTTTTGCTAAATAACTTCTTCAATCTATCTCTTTCCGCTCTCATTTTACTATAAGCAGTAAAAGAAAACTAAGCCGTAACTTCAACAATTTTATGAAATCTCAACTAAATAACCAATTTTATCACTCACAAGTCCCACCTTCCACAAAACACTAGAACACAATTTAGCCAAATTCTTTGCCACTTTATCACATGATTGCCTTCTTTCCAGTTCCTAACAGCATGTTCCTGATTTGTGTCTGAGACCTCCCAGAAGCACCTTTAATGTTCATATTTCTACCAACATTCTGTTCCTAGTGATACATGTCTTCTCTAAGGTGATACTTTCTCTCCAGCTCTCCTCTTTTCATGCTGAGCACTCACCAAAATCACCTTAATGTACATATTTCTGCTACTGGTCTCTTAAGACAATCTAGGCTTTTACTAGCCTGGACTTCAAATTTCTCCCAGCTTTTACCCCCCACCCAGGGTCAAAGCCACTTCTACACTTTTGGGTATTTGTTAAATCAGCACCCCACTTCACAGTACTAAAATCTATATTAGCCTGCTGAGGCTGCCAAAACAAAATACTACAGAGTGGGTGGATTAAACAACAGAAATGTATTTTCTCACAGCTCTCAAAGCTGGAAGTCCAAGATCACGGTAGGAGCAGGAATAGTTTCAGGTGAAGCCTCACTTCTTGGCTTGCTGTCTTCCAGGTGTTTTCACACAGGGCCTTTGCTTTGTGCATGCACAGAGAAAAATCAAGAGGGAGAGGGAAAAAGAGAGGGAGAGGGAAAGTGGCAGTGGAGGAGATGGGTGGGAGGGAGAGATCTTTTGTGTCTATTCCTCTTCTTATAAAGACACTAGTCCTTTGAAATTAAGGCCCTACTCTTTTGACTTCATTTAGCCTTAATTGCCTCCTTAAAGCCATTATCTCCATAAACACTTCAGGGGTTAGAGTTTCAATAAATGAATTTCTGGGTGGGGAAGATATTCAGTTTATAATAGATGAGATTACACTAATTGGCTCAGAGCAACTGTTTTTCAGCCCCCTGGATCTTTATAATGACTAAGGGGAGAGGGAGAGAGGAACTTTTAAAAAAAGACTGATGTCCAGACATTACCCCAGAACATGGAAATCAGAGTCTTCCAGGCTAGGACAGGGCATATCAACTTTTTAAAATCTCCCCATGTGATTGTAAATTGGCAACCAGAATTGAAAACCACAGTCTTAAGTCCTTTAGGCTCCTTTGACTGAAACAATAATGCATAGAATGTTGTGGATCCTTTTGGGAAGAAGAAAGGAGGACTGGGTACTGGCATTTTAAGCATATTAAATATGCTTATAAGGAATACATGCTATACATTATACTTTTTGCTAATCTATACATTATACTATATACTATAGCAGAAAAATATATATATAGTGTATAGCATCATATATACTTATAATGTAGGTATAAGATAATAGGAAAAGCTCTAGAGTCAGACAGCTAGGGTTCTAATTCTGTTCTCATCTTATTACATTACGTTAACATTCTTAGGATAAATGGTGGTGACAATGACAGTATTCTCCTTGGTTATGAGGATTGAGATTATACAGGGAAACCCCCAAATAGTCCATAAGTATTATTAGCAGTAACAGTTAAAGAAGATGGAAAAACCTGAGGTCTATGTCTGTTTGTCTTCTCTCTGATACACTAAGATCCTCAGGCTTTGGAGCAAGGGATTCAAAACTGTGTCCTTGCAAAGCCTACATTAGCTAAATTTTGCATGTCAAAGTGGTAGGGCCTGGGGCACTCAAAGGGCATTTGAAAATAGCAGAATAATTCTAAAGCAAGTGGTTAAGGTCACAGTAGATACAGGAGGAAAGCTGTGAGCAAAGTTACAGCTCTTCAAGGTGATTTTTTTGAGCTTTCAGAGGATGCTGCAAGAGCCCTAACAGAAAATGAAGGAGGCTTTTTGTAGGTCACTCTTGTGTTGGAATATTAGACTTTTTTGATTAATTTTAGAACTCCGCAACCCAACATTTTGAAATTTTTCAGAAGATATCCTATGTGTTTTGAGTTGAGGCTGCCTGTGAGAAACAGCTTTTTCTAAAACACTGAGCAATTCAGTTTGGCATTTCAATCTGTCTCCTCTTACATTTGTATTAGAAAAAGCCAACCTGGTGGAAATGTTGATTCTCAGACTTGAGAGTAGTTAAAAAAATAAATCTTTTGTTCACTTTCTTTTAGAAATGTTTCCTTGTTCTCATCTGAAGTGTGTGGGAAGCCCTACCTAATCTTTAGCATTTTTATGAAATTGTCATAAAAAGCTTTTCTATGTTGTATATAAATTCTTATCTCAATTGGAAGTTGAAGGGGGTTAACGGTGATGGTTTTCCTTGACATATCTATAGTATACTACTTCAGTGTAGAAACACTGGCCAGCTAAGGAGTTTTTTTCTTAAAAAGCTTAGTAGTAAAATGCATGGTTTAGTGTTTCCAGTGCTAACTTGCTTGGTTTAAATTCTGCCTTTGACATTTACTATTAAATAGTTTAATTTCTCTAAGACTCAGATTACTCATCTGTAAAAGGAGGATAATAATAGAATCTACTTCACAGAGTTGTTATGAAAGTTAAGTTTGCTAATGTACTGGAAACCCTTGGAGTACTCCTGGGTCCATAGCAAGCATCACTTAAGTGTTAGGAATTCCTGAAGGTTATTATAAGTTTTTTTTGTTTGTTGTTTGTTTGTTTTTCTTTTTGCCAAACCCACTGAAGAGGCAGTAGTCTGAGAGTCTACTGGGAAAAACAAACAAACAAATTTATCTCTGAGCCACGTTTGTCCAAGTTTGAGGGTATTGACTCTGTGATTTAGAAGCTACAATCACTGGTAGCCTTTGTTAACTCATTTCTAAAAGGGGGAAAATCTGATATCTCCTTTGTTTATCTGGTATAATGGTTCAGTACAATGACCTTCTACAAGCCACTGCTGTCTCCTGCCTTGAAGATTTCAGGAGCCCCCAAGTTGGTGTTACAGTTTCCATTCTTACCCATTTAACAGCACATTCTCCATGCAATAATCAGAGAAAAATATAAATTGACTCATGCTATTGCCTTGCTTAATATGTTCATTGGTTTTCTATCATTTTTGAAATAAGTATCAATCTCATCATCATAGTTTATATAGCTCTGTATGATCTATCCATGTTTGAATCTCCAGCTTATCCCTAATCCCTACTCCTTTGTTCATTCTGTTCCAGTCACACTTACTTTTTTTATGTTCCTGGATCATCCCAAGCCCTTTCCCACCTCAGGGCCTTTGGATATATTCAGGGATTTTGTATACATTTACAATTACCAAACATTTTTACCTGGGATCTCCAAAGGGTTGGTGATCCTTTTTAGACTGTAAGTCTTTATTCAAAATCATCTCCTCAAAAAAACCACTTCTTACTATCTCATCTAAAGTGGGCAACACTCCAGGATGATCTGCCTCATATCTCACCCCTTTAATACATGTCAAACCTTACAATCATCTTGTTTATGTATCTG
Source organism: Homo sapiens (assembly GCF_000001405.40). Classification (NCBI taxonomy): domain Eukaryota; kingdom Metazoa; phylum Chordata; class Mammalia; order Primates; family Hominidae; genus Homo; species Homo sapiens. The sequence continues at coordinate 41,204,854 of NC_000011.10, read as the reverse complement.
GTTACTTGTGTATTGCTTCTCTTCACTGACATTTTGAAGGTACAATATTGTCCAAATTTTACATCATTATATTCCATAGTGCCTGGCACATAGTAAATGCTCAATGAATATCACTGGAAGAAAGAAAGAAAGAAAGGCAAAAAGGAAAAAAATGATAACATATAAGGAGCTCAATATATTTTAGCATTATTAAAGGAAATATAAATAAAGATTAAGCACAGAATGAAAAAGTTCTACTGACAGCCAGAGTCTGACTCTAGGAGTGGACTTCTTCAGAAGAAATATAGAGTTAGTCTTTTAAAGCCATGAGCCTGAGAACTGTTTCTTTCCCATAGGAAAAAAGCAGTGTCTCTATCTAAGTCATGTTGCCTGACTGACAATCTCTGGGCTTGTACATTAGGTAAGTGCTGGGCTGGCTGGTGACTGTTCACTGTGTAAGGATTTTAGCAGAAAGTTGCTTCTGCCACAATCATACCACACCCAAGAGGTTAACTGTTCAAAGCAAGATATGGTGCCCAGTCCAGATTATGCTGGTTTCAGTAGGCTGGTGCCAAGCTGAGATTTGTCAGGGCCATCTCTGCCTTATATATTTCATTATTTCCTCTGTCACTGAACAATAAAATGCTTGTGTGGATAATCTTAATTCCTTGCAGTATACATCATGGCTCTTCTATTTTTAGAAGGCCAGGATAATACTCTGTCTCCAAATCTGTTCTTGAAGGCTCTTGTCTTACTCAAATTGCTTTTCCTGTCTCCACCAGTTGGACACTCAAAAATATTATTTCAAGAGGACCTATTTTAGTTTTGCCATCTATAATCTGGAGAAAAAAAAATGAGGTCTTATTCTGATCTGACAATTGCATGTGGCTGTTTCACAAAGAGAAAGAAAAAGAAGAAAAAACAAGATGTGTCTGGTGAAATACCTTCTACTTTTCATAAACATCACCTGTCAGCGATTTTCCAGAAGACAGGCTCCCATAGGCTGTCTTAAAGGGCAGACATTTTGGGCTGTGAATGTTTTATATACAGATATCTTCTCTGCTCTAGTAACACTGATATTAAACTTTGATTGCTTACTTTATTCCAAACCATTCTAAAGACTGTCTATATATTAGGTCATTAGATGCTCACATTCCACAGATACAAAACAAAACAAAACTGAGGCACAGAGAGGTCAGTTGTGGTGTTCAAGGTAACCCACAAATTCGTAGAGCTAAGATTGTAATCAGACAATCTGGCTTCAGAACCTTTATATTTAACCACTATAATCTCTCTCAATGGCAGTAGCTAAGTCCACAGACTCTGGGTCTTAGAATGTGGGATGCAGGGACTCTTGCATGTATCAAAATAAAGTTTGCAATTTATTTTAAATGTTAGTCATCTAAAACCAATAGCTTTAGAAAAAAATTGCTTCCTCTTAACTTCCAAGAAAAATTTCAGGCTTATAATTATAATTCTACATTTAAAACGGTCCAGTATTTGAATTCTTGTTACCAAAGCAACTGCCTTCTCCTCAGCATCTTGGATGAGATTGTGAAAATGAAAGGATTTATATTCAGTATGGTCTAGATTTCTGTTATAGGGCCCTCAACAGAACCTTAGAATGAAATCTAAATAGACTGAATCATCCATTTTGTCTGTCCAAGTGTCTATTTCCTAGCCTCAAGAAAACAGGGTGAATGACAGATAAAACAGTAAATGTGGACTGAAGGAATAAGACCTTCCATGATGAACACAGCCCAAGAAACTGAAGAAAGAAATCAGTTTTTGACCGGGCACAGTGGCTCACGCCTGTTATCCCAGCACCTTGGGAGGCTGAGGCGGGTGGATCACCTGAGGTCAGGAGTTCAAGACCAGCCTGACCAACATGGTGAAACCCCGTCTCTACTAAAAATACAAAAATTAGCTGGATATGGTGGCACATGCCTGTAATCCCAGCTACTCAGGAGGTTGAGGCAGGAGAATCGCTTGGACCCGGGAGGCGGAGGTTGCAGAGAGCTGAGATCATGCCACTGCACTCTAGCCTGGGTGAAAGAGCGAGACTGTGTCTCAAAAAAAAAAAAAAATCGGTTTTCAAAGGGGTCTCTGAGAGACCTAGTTTATTGTTAAATAGTTGTTTGGGGAAATTTTGTCTTTATAGCATGAACTTGGCACTTCAAAATCCTTAATATTTGAAGAGAGGCTCATTCCAAAAGCATTAGAGCCAAAAAACACGGCAATGTCGGCTCTGTTATTTACAAGCAGAAGGATATTTAGCAAATCACTGAACCTCACTTGTGTTTTAACTAAAATGAGAATAAAAGAGTTTTCTTTATTTTAGGGCTCATGTAAAGATTCCTAAGATAATGTATGTAAAGTGATTTAGTGCTAGGTCTGATATATAGAGAATACTCAATAAATGACAGATAATAAAAGAGAATATTTATGTAGTTAATACAAAAAGAGCTTCAGGTTTGGGGTTAAACTTTGGATGGAGCAGCTGAATTAACTCCCCTTTTAAATTGATGAGCTGCTATTGATTCTATGTGGGTACATAATGCAGAGATGATGAGAAATCCAAATCATTTCCCGAAATCCTCCTCTGTGCATCAAACAGAAAAAGTTGAGTCAATGTTAGCAGAAACCCATTTGGACAAGACCATCTCTACTCTAAACTTAGTATTTGGGGGCTTTCCATCAGCCTACTAGTGCTGTCTAGTTTATCAGAGAGAAAATAAAGAACTGGACATTGTCCAGTCAAGGAAGAGCCGGTGTTCCAAAGAGGACATCAATAAGTTCTGGAGGTGGGGCAGGGAGTAAAATAATGAGGCATTACGAGTGAGGCAAGGAGGCTCCTAGGAGGACTGATGGTCAAAACTAAACTTTACTTTCCACTTTTCCCTAAAAACTACACTGCATTTGCTGGACTTGTGTGTGTGTGTGTGTGTGTGTGTTTGTGTGTGTGTATGTGTGTGTGTGTAGAGCAGCCAAAAGCATCCTGGGTGCTTGCAGAAATCCAGTTTAGAACTCCCCTAAAAATGCATGTAAGCAAACATAACCAATGTGGCTCATTTTTGTATAGATATTTTTGAATAACATTTTTCCAAAAAAATGCCAATGCTAAAATCTTTAAAAGAAAATCTATGTAAAATCTTCTGAGATGTTTATCACCTATTAAAGTGTCAAAAATATTATTTAGAATACCAAAGAAAGGGCTTCAGATCTTTAAATTTGTAAACAGGCAGATATTTGGTGGGGATGGGGAAGATTCCTCACAGATTCTCAGGAGACAATTCACACATCAGGAAAAACGGTAGCTTGGGCCACATCTTCAAAACTATGGTTTAACACTTTTCTTTAAAGACTCTGTTCTAGTAGTTTATTTTTCCTATAAAATAAATGAGCTTTGCTCCCACAGAAGTGAAATTAGAGCTACCAGGACCAAGGGTTTTGAAAACCTTGTAGAATGGGTATTTCTATCAGAACCTGAAGGGTTAAACCTAGAGCCGCCACTAGGTGTCACGTTGGGATTGGTTTTGGGAACACGAGCTCCCTAAACGTCTCCAAATAAGAAAAGGCACCTTCTAGGTTAATTTCAGCTACTGTTCAGTTTCTTTAAATAGAGACTCGTACACTGCACATGTCAAATCTTCAGAGTCTTTCCCTTTGTTTTACAGGTATTTACAACCATTTAAACTTTTCAACCCACCATACAGGCCTAGCAGGAGGTAGATTTTGAAATAGGGGAGGTGTGACAACAGGATCACATTGTAGGGAGGGAGAAGTCTCTTTTAGTCTTGTATCTCTTAAAATCTATTTAAGTTTCTCCATCTTAAAACATTGGAAATTAACATGCAAATTGAGAAATAATTTGGTGCCTGCTATATAAAATGCATACAAGTTTCATATGTGAAAATTCCAGATTTCCCACTAGGTTTTCTTCATCACATCTTCACATCTATTCACCCCCACTTCAGTGGACTGACTTCCCAGCTGAGTTCTACAACATTCTTCTCTCTGGGTCTGTTTAGATAACTTAGCAAATAAATTGACAAATACAGTGGTTCAAATTTGAGTGTTAATCATTTCACAATTTGCCAATTTCAAAAATACTGTTTTAAAAGAAAATAGTTTTTGGGGGGGCCATATTTTGGCCACAGAGAATAACAGTTCAGCACAGATAAACTCGATGACGGTAGAGAAAACACAGTGGTTTTAAGCTCAGGGAGTGGTGGGTACTCTATTCTAGAAATATTTTCACATAGCTACTTACTCCATCATCGGTAAAGCAAGTTTTATCTCTGTTTTTGCAGAAGTAGGTAGGTTAACATTACCTGAAAAAATTAAAATTTAAAAAAAAAGGATGCCAAAGAAACTTCCTATTTTCTGGAGAAGAACAAGTCTCTGCCTGAACCTCTAAAAGCAAAATAATAAGAAAAAAATGCAGAACCAGATAAAATTGTAGTCAGGTGCAGTAATGCAGACAGAAGTTGCTAGGATTTGAACACCTGTAGAAAGCCTTGGTAGACTAAAAGAAATAATGCCTTTTTACTTCCACAGCATTTTCTGATTTAAACCCATTTCAGAATAATTTATGTATATAGTCCTTTGTCAAAAAAGTATTTAGAACCTGCTGTCACCATTGTTTTGGGGACAAAAATACAACAATAAACAAGACCCAGATCAACATCATTCCAATCTCCACGAAGATTGCATTGTAACTGGTGAAGCATACATCAAAGAATTGAACAAATAAGTTAACTCATTTCAGAAGTGACATTACTACAAAGAGACTCAAGCAGGAATAAGGAACAGAGACACACAAGAAACAACATGGTTTTTTACATAATCTCTCATAAAAGTACATAGGACAATGAAATGAGCAAGGAGATTTAGGCTCACGAGCTGTATGATCTTGAGCAGGTCACAGAGGTTGGCTTATTCATGTTTAAGATGTTAAGATGTAAGGAATGTATATATTTTATCTGGGCTTTCTGAAAAGTCTCCATCACTTAGGGGGTGACTTTGTGGCTGAGATCAGAATTCTGAGGAGTCAGCCACAATATCTATGAAAACACTTTGCAGAAAGAAGGTCCAGCTAGTGTAAAATTTCCACATTTGGGACTCCCTTGGTGTCTTCTAGCAATCACAGAAACGCTGGCATGGCTGGAGTTTCATAAGCAATGGAGGAGGTAGGTGGGAGGAGATGCATTCACTGGGAAATATAAGAAATTAAATGCTCTAAGTGAAAATTTCTAGCAGATATCGCAGCCAAAGTGGGTGTTTGACACACCTATCTAAGAAGTCTACACTCTATATGAAATAAAATTAAAACTCTTTACCATAGCCTACAAAATCCTATACATTTTTGTATTCTTGGGTAAAGTATTGCACATGGAAGTGCTCAGAAATGCTCTATTCAATTAATTTGCAAGACTGCCCGGAAGAGGAATCATATTACAGAAAACTGTTAGTTTTTTCTTTCTTCCCTGACAGACCCACAGGAAGGCTGACACTCCCCGTTTTTGAATATTGTAGTGTGAGGATGGGATGCTTGGAGCTATACATTTTCTGATTATTAAAAATAAATCACCAAAAGCTGAGAATGTTGAAAATATTAAAATACCTTAGATCTTTGGAGACAGGATTTAAGAATTGAACAAACTCAGGAATACTCACCCCTTGAACTACTGTTTTGGAAATTACTAAGTGCCTTACTGTATAAACTGTTTCCTTGAGAATTTAGTATACTTTCACAGAGTGTATATATGATAGCTGATACAGTTGTCTTTTACACTGCTATAAAATCAATGCCATGCAAGGGCATAAAATCCATAGTTATTAAACACTGATTTGTTGAGTGAACTTATCAAGGCTTAATGCTTCAATAAACGAAGGCAACTAGTACCTTTCGCTTTTAGAACAGATTTTCTTATGTGGATAAAATAAATAAAACACCCGTTGAGACTGCTGAGTTCTAAATTTTGCTCAATACATAGTTCACTAACTGTTCAGTAAATATAGCATTCCCAGGAGACCTGCTTCTCCTCCTTATACTTATGTGAGATTGAAATACATGTTTGTCTTCTGGTTATTTCGCTGGGACTTCTACCGCTGTAAAGAAATCACACTTCTTACCAATATATCAGAAACTAGTGCAACTTAAAGAGGGCCACCGTGAAAATGGAGTGTCTTTCCCACAGACCAAAATTGAGTGTGTGTTTTTCTATTTCCCTCCATACTTTTTTTTCCTCTCCCCTCTATATTTCTTGTTCTTGTCAGAAGGGCTCATTTGGACAGAGGACCTGGGTGCATGTTCTCTTTTTGTTTGGATTCCAACTTGTCATTACATTCTCAAATGCTTACATCCCTCCTCAAAGCAAAAGCTGCATTTTACAGTCAAAGTTGTGTTTATTGACATTTTCTGAATCCTGAAAATATTGATATTGATAAAAGATACTTAAATACTTTCTTACTTTCACTTTCTGAAAAAAGGAGATAATTTTATTTATACCTAGAATTATGTTTTTAATCTAGGTAACTGCTATAATTATTCATAGTAATATAGGTTTCCACCATAATACATTTTTAAATAGGAACATAAAAAATCTTAGAGTGATATACAGGAAATGCATATATTTCATGGCTAGGGATCAGACAGCCACTGAATTGCATACAATGGAATAATAGTATGGTTTTAATGGTTCAAAAATCTATAGATTTATCCATAGCAAAAATTGTTTGTTCTTTATTTTTTGTCATAGATACTCCTAAGTAAATAATATACTTTAAAATAATATTTTAAATCCCACTTAGCTTTTTTTTATTCACAGAAGGTTTATATTTCTGTTTCTAAGTTAGAAAAAATCATGGAATAAACTTGAGTTTACAATGATGGTGATGGTGATAACAACAGGGGTGATGGCAGTGACGAGGAGGTAGTGGTGAATTTCATTGCTATTGATATCAGCTTTCATTTACTGAGCATTTTCCAGATGTCAGGCATTGTGATGAGCCATTTGCTTGCAATCTATTACCACCTTTCCATGATGTAGGCATTGTTTTTCCTATCTTACCATGCAAACTAAGACCCAAAATGACAATGTTATTTCCTTATTTTAAGGAGTTTGAGGAGAATAAATCTTGAGAGAAGTAACTTGGAAGAGGCCAGGAGAATAATGAATATCTGAAAATTCATCACCTATTAGGGAAAATGCAGAAGGAAGTATCTAATGTCAATGAAAAAAAATTCCATCTGTCTCTGGAGAAAAAATAATCTCTATCTCTATATTTTGCTAGTAAAGAATTTCAGAAGGTTCTGCAGATTCCCTTTAAAAGAGGTGCTGTTTGATGTTTTTGAGTATCTCTGGGGAATAATTTCACACCTGCAAATCCTCTAGAGAACAGGACACAGTGATGTGTAGGACAAGCAAATAGATTTTCCTTTCTTGTTATTTCCCAACAGTTATTTTTTAGCATGGTACCAGCCAGGTTGCAGAGCCCAATAAAATGATAAGCCTGTCTTCCTCAATGTCAGGATAGGCATCAGAATCCACCATCACATGCATCTCTTAGAAATAGAAAAATCTGAATCTGGGCTTTATCAGCGAAAGGGATTATCCTCTAAAATAGTGTGTCTTATTTTGTATCCGTGAAGAATGCTTGTGGGTATAGAGATCTGTGGATGAATCCACTGCCAAACAGGAACAACAAAAAATCCTTTCTTTATTGCAGTTTTATCACTTGAAGGGAAGTGTAGCTGTAACTTGTTTGCTGTCTTAGCAAAGTGGTACTTCCATGCACAGAATTTCCTTGATTCCTACCAGTAGCTCTGTTTCTTATTCTTAATGTTTAGGCTGGGGAAATCAAAGAAGGAATTTCAAACTGAATAATAAAAATCCATTTTAATACTTTAATGTCTTTCTTCCTTTCAATCCATTGTGTCTGACATGGGAATAAAGATCTTTTATCAGGCATTTAGTTTTCTACCTGCAGAAAGTTGGGAACAGGAGTTACTAAAAATTAATTAGATCCTGGCAGTAAATGAATTTTTAGTCCCTGGTGAAGCTGACCTGAAAGAAAAACTTCAGTAATTTTGGAGAATCACATGAGCACACCCATCCCACATAAGCAGGATGGGTATCAACCAACCCATCCATTCATTCATGCATCCGTTTATCTGTCCATCCATCTATTCATCTATCTACCCACTCAGCTGTCCATCCAGTTATCCATCTATTCATTCTTGCATTTTATGTATACATTCATTTATTCATTATAGAACTGCCCAAATTAATATCTTTCATAAGTATTTGGTAACTATCAGTGATCAAGTATTTATTCCTCTTCTATTTAACAATGAACTCATTCTTTCAATCTCTCCTATGGCCTAAAGATTGGGTTTGATAAACTCAACTTAGAAAACTGCAAATCATCACTGTGTAAGTTTATGATTTAAGTTCTTGTCATCACATTACTCTTATGTTGATGAGTGTCTTTGGATAAGATATTTAATTTCCTGTTCCTCATCTAGAAAATGAAGGAGCTAGTCTAGTTGATTAGTAACAACTGCTTTTATTTTTAAATGCTGTTTCTTTCCTACGCTCAAAAGTGAGTGGCCAGCCTCTGTGTTTCTGTCTTCAAACAAAAAGTCCAGTGTAACACATACACTGACTTGAGGGAGAATGTCTTTAGATTTTATGTAAACTTCAGGATGAGGTGCTCATACACTGACAGTACTACATTTTGGAAATATTCCAATTGACATTTATAAATGTCATGGAATTAACTACAGAGATTGCCCCTTCTATTGTGTCCAAATAAGCAAAGAAAGCAACAAACTTTAAAAAGTTAGATCAAAGGATGAAATAAGGGTAAAAGATCAGTCTCATCAATGGTTGTTTTCTCGAGAAGGGATCCTTGAGCAGAAAGTAGATGAGACTTCCTTCCTTCTCAAAGGGCTTAGCTTCTATGTTTGTTAAATTAGATTTGATGCACAAAAACAACTTTGCATCTGCAAATGAGACCTTGTCGACTCCAATTTTGTGTATATGCTGACTTAAAAGGAAGACACAATAAAGGAAACTTAAAGAGATTTATTGATTAAAAAAAACTTGCTCCTTTTACACTTTCATACATTTGCTCACTTCATTGTTCGTATAAGGCCTTCCTCCATTCCATATAAAGTAAACTGCTCTTTCTGATGTTATTGATTATTCTGTGTCTGCTTTCATGGGAATATAAAATAGACATATCATCTCTAAGTCAACGCATACCTGTATCAGCTTGCTATTGGTGGACTGTATGTGCTTTATAATTTGGGGGGGGAAATATCTCCATGATGAGAAGCTTACTAAAGTTAAAGGCAGAAAGATATTTGTCTATCTCCTTGATAGTCCTTTTCCCAGTGGATTGTCAGTTTCTGAAACATTCCAGTTTGACAGCCATTGAGAATTGACATTTTGTGCACTGTTAATAATTTTGTTTTTTTAAATGGCTTTATCTATGCAGACTAATTAATGATGCCTTTTTTCGATAGCTGAATTGTGATTATCTATTAGTTTATATTTGGTAAAGTCAGAATTCATGAAATTATCAGGCCAAGTTCTGACAAGACTAATTTAAATAGTATTTACTTTAATGGGCAATTTACAAAGGGCATGCACACACAGTGTGTTTTGTTTTGTTAACCTAAAGAGAAAACCTGGGGAAATTAAGTTGTGACAGAATGGAGGGGCCTATGAGGAGAAAAAATACAGGGGAGCAAAAGAGAAACTATGTCTGAAGCAGGTCTCTGCCTACTTCACAATAGTAAGATGGGTAAATATACAGCCAAGTAAAGCATCAGTTTTTTTTTTTATCTTAGTGAGTATTACCACTTTGGTGGGCTCTGCAAAATTAGAAATCCTGTCTTCAGAGGCACAGTTAACTATTTCTCCTCCGCAGGAACTAGGATCAGTACATTTGATAAACCTGCCATTACAGCAAGTACATATTCCATATCTGGTATTATTTATCTATTGTTATATAACAATATTACTATAAATGTGGTGAATTAAAACAACACACATTCATGATATTATAGTTTCTGTGGGTTAGGAGTGCCACACAACTTAACAGGGCCCTTTGCTTCATGGTCTTACAAAGCTGCAATCAAAGTCTTGGCTGGCGTTGACAGAGAAGGATCTACTTCTAAGCTCACATGTTTTTTGGCATCGTTTTGTTCCTTGTGGGCTGTTGGCCTGGGGGCCTCTGCTTCTTGCTAGCTAAGAGTCTCAAGGCCTCAGTTCCTTCTAACATGAGCCTGTCCAACATGGCCACTTGATTCCTCGAAGCCAACAAGGGAAATAATCTCCTGGCAAAATGGTCATTATCATCTCAGGTAATGTAATGATGTACATCTTGTTACCTTGCTATATTCCATGGGTTAGAATCGAGTCATAGGTTGCATCCATACTTGAGGGGATTATATAAAGACATGAATACCAGGAGACAATCATGAGTTTTATGTCTCTATACTCATATTATCATATATAGTTGACCCTTGAACAATATAGGGGTTAGAAGCACTGGCCTCCACACAGTTGAAAATCCATGTTTAACTTTTGTCTACCTAAAAACTTAAATACTAATAGCCTACTGTTGACTGAATGCCTTACCAATAACACATATTTTGTATGTTATAGTACTATATGCTGTATTTTTATGATAAAGGAACCTGGAGAAAACATTTTATTAGTAAAATCATAAGGAAGAGAAAATACATTTACAATTCATGAAATAAAAGTGAATCATTATAAAGGTCTTTATCCTTGTCTTCATGATGAGTAGGCTGAAGAGGAGAGGTTGGTTTTACTGTCTCAAGGGTGGCACTGGCAGAAGAGATGGAGGAGATGGAAGGGGAGGCAAGACCAGTAGGCACACTCTATGTGACTTTATGAAAAAAATCACAATTTCTCTCTTTTTGGCTGTATTATTTCTCTAAAAATGTTTTTATATTGTACTAATTATTCTTCCACCCTTTGCTTTAGTTTCAGTATCATAGAAGGGTCCATATGGTTAAAAAAAAAGGCAAAATCAGTCTTGAATAATCAGAACACCTCTAGATTGACTAATGTCAACTTGTTTTCTGGCATTGCTTCTTTTATATTTCTACCTCGTCTGGCACTGGTTTAGAAGCACTCATCTCCATTAAGATGTCTTTGGTTAATTCCTCTGATGTGATGACTATTTGGTGTTTAATTAGATCAAGATCCGTGTCTTGATACCCTTCACTCATTTCATGATTGTCTTGATTGGATCTGTTGTCAATCCTGTGAAGTCATACAACATCTGGAGACAGTTTCTCCAACAAGAATATCTTCTTCCTAGCTTGATGGGTTTCATGGCTTTTTCTATAACAACGATGGCATCATCAATGGTGTAGCATTTCCAGAGTTTCATGATGCTTGGTCTATTGGGGTTATCTTCCATAGTGTTGACAATTCGTCCCATAGAATATGATGTGTAATGAGCTTTAAAGGTCTTTACAATGCTCTCATCTAGAGACTGAATCAGATGGTTTTTAGGAGCAAGTAGATGACTCTGATTCCTTCAGTCTTGGGCATTATCAAGAAAAACTTTAAGAAGAGATTCCTTTCTGGAGAGGTACTTTCCAACTTCAGGTACAAACCATCAATGAAAACAATACAGAAAAAGTGTTCTCATCATCCATACCTTCTTGTTGTACAACCCAAAGATTGGTAGCTAGTATTTATATTTTCTCTTCAAGTCTTGGGATTAGCAACTTTATAGATAAGGGCAGTCCTCATCATAAGCCTGACTGCATTCACATAAAACAATAGTGTTAGACTATCCCTTCTCTTTCTTACCATCAAATGTTCTTTGTGGCATTTTTTTCCAGAGTAGGTCACTTTTGTCTTCATCAAAATCCTGTTCAGGCAGATATTCTTCTCCCTTATGATTTTCTTAATGGCATCTCGGGACTTATGGGCTGCCTCTTGATCAGAAGAAGATGCTTCTCTTGTTATCCTGACATTTTTTAAGCAAAACCTTTTCTAAAATTATCAAACCATCCTTTGCTGCCATAAATTCCCCAGCTTTAGATTCTTAACCTTACTTTGGATTTAAGTTGTCCTGTAATGATTTTGCTTTTTCTCGATTCTGACTCTACGGGTATGCCTTTTTCATAGCAATTCTGCATTCACGTAAAAGCTGCATTTTTAAGACAAGATATACAGGTATTTTTCAAAATATGCAAGGTTTTTGTTCTTGCTGGTACAGATACAGTGATGCATCACAAATTTTCTTTTCTTTTTTCTTATTTATTTGGTAATAACCAGGTGATACAGATTTGGGGGAATAAGGGGTACTGATTCATTCTTTGAACAAATATATACAAATTATATATGTGTATGTGTGTGTGTGTGTATACATTTCTATGTATATATATGTGTGTGTGTGTGTGTGTGTGTGTGTATGATCTTCTTGATTAGCCCTGTTGTCAATTCTGTAAAGTACTGAACACACACACACACACACACACACACACACATTTAATTCATGCTGTATGCCAGACAATATTCCAGTTCTGACAAAAGAAGTGAAAAAGATAAGTATGTGCTCTCCTGGGGCTTACATGCAAGCATGAGAAGACCTTAATGAACCAATAACAAAAATTAGTATGTACCAAGTCAGATGCTATGAAGGTAAACACATTGAGGAAAATGAGGTATGTGCTATTTTAGATTAATAGCCACAGAAGACACTTCAATAAGTTAATGCTGAAGCAGAAACCTAAATGAAGTGAGTGATGTGCTGTGTGGCTATCTAGGGTCCAAGGGAATAGTAACTGAAAATGATCTGAATGAAGTATACATAACAAGCAATTTTAATTACCATCTTACACTTGAGAATACCATTCAGAATTAATGTCTTCCTTTGGCACCGAAATTAGATGTAACTTCCAAAGTCAGAAAGCAAGGTGGTACCATAGCTGCTTAGAACTGTTGAATCTAATTCCAAAGTTAGGATCTGTGCCCCAGACAAGTGGTTCCTCTTTTTAAGCTGCAGAACCCTTTTCCAAGTATATCTTATGCATTAATAAATAAAGTGGACAAAAGTAGAACTGCTCTGCTTGATGAGAAGTTGGGTGGGAGATGCCCAGGATTCATCTTATCTACTACCCATTCTAAAGCACCCGAGTTGTAATGCAATAGCCCTTTAAAGTTTAACTGAAGATAGGAGTTTGAAATCTGTTAGATCTCCTCTGGGGCTACCTTCTGCTTAGCATGACCTAATATCTTTGCAATGAGTTCTTTCTAAGGCTTTGTTCACAATTGAACAGAGTCACTATAAACTTTGGCAGTAATGATAGAAACTGGTGTCCACTTTTTCTTTTCACTACCATTCATAGATGACCAACAGGCTGAAAGACAGATGAGTTTAGTTAAATTGGTAGTTGAAGGGAAAAGAGTGACTTTAATCAGGCAAATAATTCTTCTATAATTGGTCAAGTGTAAGGCCAGTGAAAAATCAGGAACGTTTTTGCATGGCATAAATAAAGTAGAGAGTCCACAGCAGGCTCCTGACACTTGATGTAGATTATCTTTGCTCACTGTAAATGACAGAAAATTCCAGGCAAAGTGTGGTTCTAAGAAACCGTAGCTTAGTTATATCTGCCCTAATTCAAAATAGAAACAATGGGACTGCATGGGACCAAATGCAAAGCAATATTCTTGAACAGAATAAGCCACTATTAAGATACATTTCTACAGATTGCAGAATAAAAACACTTTGCCCTTAAAGAGAAAATAGCTGGGAGAAAAGAGGCCAGGGAGGGGTTAAAACAGATTACTGTAATCAATTAGAAATACAGATGAGCCAAGGCCAGCTGATGCTATCACACTTCATCATTCAAATTCTCATTATCTGGATATACAACAGTAAGTTACTGCAAGAGTACTTTCCTTACTGTAGCGAGAGACATTAATTTCTAAGGAGCCGAACGAGTGACAGTGAGCTTCAGAAGTGGCTTGGTGCTAAATGATTTGACTGTAATTATTCTGAAAGGGCTTTCATCATCATTACCCAACATTCTGCAGATACAGCATGTTTGAAAATAAACTACGGCCAAACTAGTGTCACGTCATTTCAGATTTTAAACATCAAGTATCTGGTTTGCTGATATATTTTTGTGTATGCAAGTGTAGACGAACACAAATGTACGCAGCCGAGCATACGTCATTTTACCGTTGTTTAGCCAATGCATCCGCATTGGTGAGGACTGGGTAATCTATGTGCACAGTTCTCTGACCGTGATAAATGCAGTGAAAGGAAACATTTATTCCTTGCTTCATTCATTCCTGCGACCTAGGCTGAGCACCTGGCATTGTGCTATTACAACAATAAACAAGATGAATAAAACCCTGCCCGAGAGATGTTTTCTATCCAGTGTTCTTCCTGCAAATGCTTGGATTCTCCCTCTTGTTTACACCCTAAAAAGACAGGTCAAAGTCTGTTTGCTTTGCCAGTTTGCCTTAATTATAAGGTTTCCAAGGCCATTAACAGATGAAGCTGTTTACATTGCACAAGTATGTTTAAATTTCACCTCTGTGACCCTTCCTCTCTCTTGTCCTCCGTCTGTCTTCAGGCTCAGGTGGAAGGACAAGTGATCAGGGCAACAGCATAAGTAGACCTCTCTACTTCTACAGAAAAAAAAAGCTAGTGTCCTTGCAAAAGTGTCAGTAGCTTTATATTGTATCACACAGAAAGTTATGAATGTCCGTTTTTACAGTTATTACATAACACATGTTCATGCATGATTATTAGAAATTTCCCTGTTTTCTGCTGTCTGCAATCTGATTATAGAACAATGGACACAAAAACTGCTTAACTACAGCACTAGGCAAATTGTCAGGGAGCAACCCAATAAGTGTGGCTAGCACATTGAATCCTAGAGCCATCCTGAATAAAGGCACGTCAGTGTGGAGACAAAAAGCTGCTTTGTGACAGCAGACCAGTGCAATGGGAGCTAGCTAGGCAGAATTGAAATAGATCACTGCTTGAGTAAAAAGCATTATCCCTGTAGTTTATTTCCTAGTTTCTCATTGCACCTTTGTCTTCACACGACCTACTTCTTTCATCCCCTCTCATATCACTAATTCTAATTTCATACCTTATGCCTGTCCATTTCTCTTCAGCCCTCTGCCATCACCTTGGGGCATGTGGTCATCTTAATTAAAATACCCTCTGAGTAAACCTTTCCTTTAGTCTTTTTCTTTCTAATCCTGCTGCATTCTTAATGCCAAGTCTTCAGTATTTTTCAGTGTGAGTGGGATCGCATCATCCTCCCATTTAAACTTTCCCATTTTGCAGGAATCCAATCTCCTTATCACTGTGGCAGACACTAAATAGTCTGGTCCTTACCCAGCTCTACAAACACAGTTCCTCTATTTTCCAGTCACATTGCCCTTCTCTTGGATCACATAATCCGCAAGGTCTATCTCACCTCAAAGCCTTTATTCTTCTTGTTCCCTCAGCCAGGAAACGTCTTGTCTTTTTTTACTTGTCTTAACTGCCACTTCCTCAGAAAGGATTTCTCAGACTAACCTATCACAGCATCTTCATAGCACTGACCATGTTCAATGATTATTTTCACTTTTGTTCATTGTTTTTATCTCTCAGTAGAATACAGACTTTGTGAAGTCAGAGGCTTTTTTGTCTCATTCACTGTGGTATCCTGATAGCTGAGCTGTGTTTTGTACATAAAGGTGCCCTATAAATCTTTGTTGAATAAATGAGTGAGAAAACAGGTGAGTCAGTCTTTTGACCATAGGTGAACAAGAAATATTCTTGTTATTGATTTCTGTGGTTCTGTTTGGCTTGATCGTGGGTTATAATTTTTATTTAATAAGAATCATTTATTAGTTTAAGAAATTGCCAACATAAATTATACTTTTTTTTGGGGGGGGGGGCAGGTCCTGTTTTGTGCTAAAAAGTAGTTTTCTTTACAATTCTCATGAAAGCATAACAACAAGGATATATGGTTCTATATGTAAGAGAGCTAAGCTTAGAGATAACCTGCCCAAAACCAAACAGCTAATACATTTTAGAAACCATTTATTTCACCAGTCTTTATCATTGCATTATACTCTTTTTTTTTTTTTTTTTGCTTCTTTTTCTCCTCTCTTTCTAGGCTCCCCCTTCATTTAGAAGAGATAAAAAAACTAATATTGATCAAACAGTACCACATGAGTAGACAGTGTTATAAGTATCATCAGCTCACCTGATCTTCACAGTCCATCTATGAATGATTGCTATTATTGTTCTTAATTAAAGGATAAGAAAATTTGTACATAGATCTATTACTTCTGCTTGGAATCACATAGCCAGTAAGAGATTAAGCTGGGATTGGCTTCCAGGTAGTCTAACTCCGAAGGCTCCATTCTGGCTACCTCACTATTCAGTCTTCCTTGTTACGCTATGCTGCTTTTTTGGAAAATCATCTCAACATGTATTATTGAAGAGTAATTATTTTTTTAGTTGCTTACTTAGAGGAGACATAGAAAAGCAACTAAAAAATAAGAATATGTTGCTTAACTGCAGGTAAACTGTAAACGTGGGAATTCTTGCTTTCCCCAATTGGGCAGTGATGTTTGTATTCAACAGCACAGAATGTCTCCTGGTAAAGAAGTAAGAAGTCTGTGTTTGTGTGTTGGGTGGGAGGAGGGGAAGGGAGAGGAAGGGGAGGGTATCTTCAATCCAAAGTTAAACAGGAAATTTGTGAAAACTGGATAGGTGTTGCTGAGACTGATTGACAGTCTCTTTGAGTTCACTCTTGTTCTATTCATAACATGAGAATGGAAAAGAGAAAGAAATTAACATTTACTGCCACTTATTATGTATGTAAACTGTTCAGATATGATGTCATTTATAGCAAAACCAAGAGGTAGTTACTGCTGAAACGAGAAAAGTTCCCTTATCCTCCTCACAGGATGTGTAATTGGTATGTGGCTTACTTCTTTGCTACCCTGCTGCTCAAACCTCTAGCGGGAGCATGCAGATGGGCAGGTTGTGGTGCTCCGGCCCCACGGCAGCGTCTAGGGGTGAATGCTCACAGCTCATGAAGCCCTAGTGGGCAAGTTACAGGGTGCTCTTTTAGTTTTGCCATCTGTAGGTGGCTTGTGCTAATCAGCTCTATTAGACCCCTGCCTTACTGCAAGGACAGAGGGCTTTCTGTATCCCAGGGTTCTTACCTTGGTGTACTGGAAGAATCTGATAACACGTGGGCTTGGAGAAAGAGTGCAAGGCTTTTTTATTGAGCAGTAGCTCTCAGCAAGGAGGATGGGGAGGCCAGAAGGGGGATGGAGTGGGAAGGTGGTTTTCCCCTGGAGTTGGGCGACTCAGTGGCTAGGCTTACCTCCAAATGCCTTGGCCAAACTCCACGTCTTTCTACTGGTCTGTGGTCTGCTGGGTCTGCTGGTGTGCTCTTTCGCCAGTGCATTTTTCTCGACTTCCAGTTACTTGTGTCCTCTTCTGCCAGTGTGTTCTTCTCAACGTCCAGACACTTGTGTGCATGCCTGCTACAGCCTCGGGATTTGTACAGACACATAATGGGGGTGTGGTGGGCCAAGGTGGTCTTGGGAAATACAACATTTGGGCATGAAAACAGAAGTGCCTGTCCTCACCTTCGTCCCTGGGCACAGGCCTGGGATTGGAGCCCTATCCAGGGACCATGCCCTCCCCTTCCCAACACTTCCCCTGCTCCCCTTCCCATATCACTGCTATTATCACAATTTCATAGATGAAAATGTATATAATCAGGGAGCTTAATTAACATGTCCAAGGTCACTCTGCTTGTACATTTTAGATCTGGGTTTGGGTCCAGGTGTATATAATTAAAAAATCAGGGTTCTTCCAGAATTATCTGTTTGATTTATCAGACGTATATACTTTCTAGAATGAAAAATACTACTTTTGTGAATTTTAAAAGAGATTGAGAAACAGTAAGCTAAAGCCATAGAAAATCCTTAGGAAACAAGGCACACGTGACTACCTAAACGGTATCAAAATGTCTTGAAAGAATCCATCACTGTGACTCAGGGCGTAATTTAGATTTTGGTTGAAATTATGTTCTTGTTCCATTAATAGTACTTCCTGATGTTACTAGATAAATAGTGGGTGAACATTTATTTGATAATACAGATTACTAAGTAGTATGTTTCAAATTAACTCTCATCTCCCCACCTCCGACCCAGTGTTCAGGAGAGATGTGCAAAACATTGTTAATATGCTTCTTTATCACAGTGAAATCACAACATATCAATATCTAAGGAATTTTAAAGATAAAGATACAAAGAAACCTAGTGCCTAACCCATGAGCCAACTATAAGTTTAATTTTTCTAAATTCCTTTCACTTTCAAGTTTTCTGAATGTATTTATATTAACTTTTAGACAGTGTTATATTTTACATTTTAACTTGAAATATGGTTATAAAATTTTTCTCTGTTATATTTTCCACAGCAGCTATATTTAGTGGCACTAAAAGATTTTATTGGTTGCTGCCTTCAATATACTTAACCACTTCTCTACTGAGGCATATATAATTTACATTTTCCTTTTCATTACTGTGCTGATGCTAAACTTAGTTTTTTGTGCATTTACTGATTTTACTGAATTAAAAGCTGTATCTGTTTTTCAGTCTTTCTCCTTTTTTTGGCTTCATCAGACAAAACACTAAGACTTTAAGCATTCTTTTTCCTTAATCAGTACAAAATTTTATACTACATTCATGTCATTTATCTATCTTTTATAATTATCAAGGCTGGACATTTTTTCTATGTGTTTATTTACTATATTTACCTCTCTGTACGGCTTATCTGTTTTATACTCTTTTCTAATATACCTATTGGAGTCCTAATTATTACATATATACATAAATGAATAATTTTTATATAGGTGTTAATACATTTTAATTTAATTTACATCTTTTTTTCTTTTTTTAAAATTTTGGTTTTTACATTGCTATAATAGAACAATTGTGTATTCAAATCTGTTGGTCTTTTAATTTGTGACTTTTTTCTATAGTTTAGAAATATTTTAAAAGTATTTACCTCTATGAATATACTTTAGTGCAGTATATTCATTTATTTGGGAAATTATAAATATAAGGATATAAGGATAGCAAATACAAGTTTTGTAAGTAGGTCTCTCTCAATGACAGACAGCCCTGAACCTTTACAGTGGCCTTCCTACCTGCCCTTCCCAACCTTTTCTCCACTAAATACTGTCCTCCAGGAAAATCCCTCTCAGTTGACCGCATTGAAATATGAAATTCAATATTTTTTGTCAGACCTGATATAGGGTGAGGTTATACATGCAACTACATGCAGATTTTCTGTTTTACTTTCCTAACTTGCTTCTACAGATTACAAACACTTAAGAAATCATCCATTCTTTCTCTCCTTTCTTTGGAGATATGTACTTTGTCTTATCCAAAGTCCTTTATATAGTTTGGATTTTTGCTTTGGGTGGATCTCTTGTTTTTTCTCTACCCTGATCTACTTTACTTCTGCCCTAATCATTTTAGTAATTGATAATGTATATTTTATCCCTTTTGGGAATAGACTCTCACCAACTCATATGTAATTCTTAGAATAATCTTTGATACTACCTACTATTTATTTTTTGAATAGATAATATTAAATTTGTAATATACATATATAATTGATATGGTTTGGCTGTGTCCCCACCGAAATCTCATCTTGAGTTGTAACTCCCACAATTCCCATGTGTCATGGGAAGGACCCAGTGGGAGATAATTGAATCATGGGAGTGGGTCTTTCCCATGCTGTTCGCATGATAGTGAATAAGTCTCACAAGATCTGGTGGTTTTAAAAAATGGTAGTTTCCCTGCACAAGCTCTTTCTCTCTTTCTCTATTTGCCTGCCACCATCCACGTAAGATATGACTTGCTCCTCTTTGCCTTCCACCATGATTGTGAGGCCTCCCCAGCCATGTGGAACTGTAAGTCCATTAAACCTTTTTTTTTTTTTTTTTTGTAAATTGCCCAGTCTCAGGTATGCAGTTATCAGCAGCATGAAAATGGACTAATAAAGTAAATTGGTACCAGTAAAGTGGGACGTTGCTGAAAAGATACCCGAAAATGTGGAAGCAACTTTGGAACTTGGTAACAGGCAGTGATTGGAACAGTTTGGAGGGTTTAGAGGAAGACAGGAAAATGTGGGAAAGTATGAAACTTTCCAGAGACTTTGTTGAATGGCTTTGGCAAAAATGCTGATACTGATATGAACAACAATGTCCAGGCTAAGGTGGTCTCAGATGAAGTTGAGGAACTTGTTGGCAACTGGAACAAAAGTGACTCTTGTTATGTTTAGCAAATAAACTGGTGTCATTTAGCCCCTGCCCTAGAGATTTGTGGAACTTTGAACTTGAGAGAGATGATTTAGGGTATTTGGCAGAGGAAATTTCTAAGCAGCAAAGCATTCAAGAGGTGACAGGTGACATGGGTGCTGTTAAAGGTCTTCAGTTTTATAAAGGAAGTGGAGCATAAAGGTTTGAAAAATTTGCACCCTGACAATATGACAGGAAAAAAAAAAACGCATTTTCTGAAGAGAAATTTAAGCTGGCTGCAGAAATTTGCGTAAATAATGAGGAGCTGAATGTTAATCCCCAAAACAATGGGGAAAAAGTCTCCAAGGCATGTCAGAGGTCTTAACAGCAGCCCCTCCCATTACAGGCCCAAAGGTCTAGGAGGAAAAAATGGTTTTGTGGGCTGGCCCCAGGGTCCCTGTGCTGTGTGCAGCCTGGGAACATGGTGTCCTGTGTCCCAGCTGCTCCAGCCATGGCTAAAAGGGGCCAAGTTATAGCTTGGGCTGTTGCTTCAAAGGGTAGAAGCCCCAAGCCTTGGCAGCTTCCATGTGGTGTTGAGCCTGCAGGTATACAGAAGTCAAGAATTGAGGTTTGGGAACCTCTGCCTAGATTTCAGAGGATGTATGGAAATGCCTGGATGTCCAGGCAAAAGTTTGCTGCAGTGATGGGGCTCTCATGGAGAACCTCTGCTAAGGCAGTGTGGAAGGGAAATGTGAGGTCAGAGCCCCCACACAGAGTTCCTACAGGGGCACTGCCCAGTGGAGCTGTGAGAAGAGGGCCACTGTCCTCCAAACCCCAGAATGGTAGATCCACTGACAGCTTGCATCATGTGCCTGGAAAAGCTGCAGACACAACACCAGCTTGTGAAAGCAGCCAGCAGGGAGTCTGTACCCTTCAAAGACACAGGGTTGGAGCTTCCCAAGACCCTGGGAACCCATCTCTTGCACCAGCATGACCTGGGTGTGAGACATGGAGTCAAAGGAGATCATTTTGGAGCTCTAAGATCTGACTGACCCGCTGGATTTCAGACTTCCCTGGGGCCTGTAGCCCCTTTGTTTTGGCCAGTTTCTCCCATTTGGAGTGGCTGTATTTACCCAATGCCCCACCTCCATTGTATGTAGGAAGTACATACAATGTACTTGCTTTTGATTTTACAGGCTCATAGGCAGCAGGGACTTGCCTTGTCTTGGATGAGACTTTAGACTGTGGACTTTTCAGTTAATACTGAAATGTGTTAAGACGTTGGGGAACTGTTGGGAAGGCATGATTGGTTTTGAAATGTGAAGACATGAGATTTGGGAGGGGCCAGGGGCAGAATGATATGGTTTGGCTGTGTCCCCAGCCAAATCTCATCTTGAATTGTAACTCACAATTCCCACGAGTCATGGGAGGGACCCAGTGGGAGGTAATTAAATCATGGGGGTGGGTCTTTTCTGTGCTGTTCTCATGATAGTGAAGAAGTCTCATGACATCTGATGGTTTTAAAAAATGGGAGTTTCCCTGCACAATCTCTCTCTCTCTTCCTGTCACCATCCATGTAAGATGTGATTTGCTCCTCCTTGCCTTCCCCCATGATTGTGAGGCCTCCCCAGCCTTGTGGAACTCTAAGTACATTAAACCTTTTTTTTTTTTTTTAAATTGCCCAGTCTTGGGTATGTATTTATCAGCAGTGTGAAAACAGACTAATATAGTAATAATATGTAAATACATCACGGGAGACAGAATTGTTAAGTATATTTTGAAGTTATTAGATAATTGAACAGTTCTATCAGCATTGTACATAACAAGGAATTTTTTGAGGTATTAAAAATAACTCAGCTAAATTCTCCTCCTTCTACAGTTAAAAATATAAAAAGATTTTGGACTTTTAGAGATCCTAGCATACATTTTCATTTTCATAGTGTTTTTAATTCATGAAATAGATTATTATTATCAATAATATAACAATAAGGAAACTGTGGTTCAGAAACATTGTTTATACAAGATTGTATACCTATGGACTTGACAGAGTCAGACCTTGAACCTAGGTTTTTCAACTTGAAGACATAATGATTTTTCTCTTCAATCCATAGTATACAGTAGAGATAAATTGGTAGTTTTCATATGGCCTGAAATTTCAGAGATATTCAACTTTCTGTGTCACTAATATAATTTCCCCTGTAGATTCTTATGGTTTCAGGTATTTTCACTGGAATGTACAATCACATGA
The DNA here is from genome assembly GCF_000001405.40 of Homo sapiens. Lineage (NCBI taxonomy): Eukaryota > Metazoa > Chordata > Mammalia > Primates > Hominidae > Homo > Homo sapiens. Next base: position 41,182,274 of record NC_000011.10, on the reverse strand, counting down.
GTGAACACAACTGGAAATTGCTTTAGTGTTTGCTTTTCCAAAATAATTGTGATAATTGTGTCAGCTGGAGCATATAAATGGTATCAATAAGTCTCTTATTCTCTATCAGATGCTATTTTCATCTCCCTGGTCTATGAGTATAATTGCTTTAAAAAAGTATTTCCAACATGACCATTAAATAGTTATAATATCCTAGAATACGTAAACAACAAATACATCAAAAATAAATGTTTAGCAATTGGGTCTGTGAATTGGGATGCACTTATACTGAAATCATCACTGTAAACTCCTTTGACAAGTTTTAATGGCTGCTGGAATGGTTTTTCAGGTAATAGCTCAAAGGGAAAACAAATTTAAGTAAAGAGTCTTTTTTTCCTCTTTAAAAGAAATTCATTAGCATATACTAAATGAGCTAGTCTATGAACTAGATAAAAATCACATAGAATCAGACTTGCTTTTAAACATTAGGAAAGTAGCAAAGTGATGGTGGTTAGTATTATAGATTTACCTCATTAATGGAAGATGATCTTGAAGGACTAGAAAAGAGATGAGATTGCTGTAGCTCATTTGTGAGTCAAGGCTCAAACTGAGCTGCTGTGGGTATTAAGAATTGAGTCTCTTTTGTTCAACTACTAATTTGCTGTAATACTCTGAGGATATCCATTAAGGCCAGGAATTGATCCTCACCCTTTAATTGTTAAGGTAGATGTCTCTCTTTCTAACTCATTAGGGTAATAACAACAATACTTTTCTAAAGGAGCTCAGCAGAGCTTGGGGATCCTATATAACAGCAGTTAGTTCTTGAGTGTAGGGAAATTTATTTTCTGAGGGTATTTAATGAGACCAGTGGTGGCTCAGGGAAACAGGAACATTGAGAATATGGCGTTGGATGCCTTTTTTTCCCCCTCTGGAAAATCTGTTTTTTCCAGAGATCACTGTTTCAGTATGCATCAGATTCTCCTTCCTCCAGATTCGGTGTTTATAAAAAGAATCCCTGAAAAAATCTAATATCCATTTTGGTAAAGTTGTGTGTAAGTGGCTGTGGGGGAGAAGGTAAGGTAGAAAATTAAAGGGTCACAGTAAGGGCAATAAGAAAACATACTGTCTTGATTTCCCTATGGCCAAACCACAGAAGAAAACATTTTGAATGCAAAGGGAATGCTATTTCACTCACTGAATAAGAAAACAGTTCATTCTGTGGCTATTAATATTTCCTAGTTTATTAATTACCAACATTCTTAAAACTTTTCTTTTTTTTTCTTCTCCCAAAGATGAGAACTGGTAACTGAGTCTGCACGAATACATGTCTAACTAGAATTCGCAACTCATGAGGATGTGCGCTAAGATCTAACCATTTTTTTTTTAATCACTTCTTAGTGTATCAAGCAGGAAGTTGATTTCTGTGTCATTTTGTACCACATTTTTGATGTTCTGCGGCAGGGATTTTTCGATAGCAGAAGATATCTTAGGATAATGATACCAATTAGCTAACAGGACAGAGATCTGTATCTGGGCCATGTCTCTGTGGTTTAATGGGGAAAATTGTGAGGCAATACCATGAGACACCAGCTCAGCCCTTGAGTGACTTTAGTCAGGGCAGCAGTACTGCACCATCAGTATTGGGTGGCCATTTTAAAGACTTGGTAAATGGCATAGTAAGTCATGCACGTGCATGTGCGCACAGACACACACCCACACACATTTAAATTCTGCTCCTGATTCCTTTGCAAAGGGCAAGTGGAAGCGGACGATCTCTCACTCTCATTTGTTTTAAATGTGAGTTAGTTAGTCTTTTTTTCTGCTGGAGACCTCTGGATCAAAGTTCTTTTCTCTAGGAGAAAGGAGAAACAGCAAGTTTATTTATAAAATCTCTTAAATTTTTTACAATGCCTTTTTTTGCACAGCTGCTAAAATTACTGTTATTTTATCCTCTCACAAGAAATACCTCACTGGATGCAAACAATAACCTGGTGGCAGGTTGGATTATCTCCAAGTTACTCAGCAATTACTGCACAATATTGTGATCTGGCTGCTTTCTTTTCTGAGTTTATTTTCTGCTCTCTTCCTCTGTCTCCCCTTGCTCTAGTCGCATTGACCTTTTAGCTTCTTTTCCCAGCTCAGGAAGTTTGCTTGTGTTTTTAGATCTATCTGAAACATTTTTCACACTCTCCCTTTGCCTAATTCCTACTCAACTATTAGATTTTCCCTTCCATATCACTTCCTTGAAGTTTTTCTTGAAACTTCTACTAGGTCCTGCATGCCCGCCAGTCCTGTATAGGGTGCCTGTCCCACAGCGGCCCTTACATTTACTATATGGCTCTTACCATAGTGATTAATGTAATTGTTTACTGGCTATCTTTCTGTTGACCCTGATGTCTAGGTGGAAGAAAACCTGCCTGTGTTTTTGTCAACACCTAGCAATTCCAATCACATAGAAGATACTCAATAAATAGGTATTCAGTACATGAATGGCTGGTATCTATGCTATAAAGCCAATTAATGTCAAAATTGTGACTAGAGCTTACTTAACAGTTCAGATTTCAGAAGTTTATATTCTGTGTTGTAGGAAACAGTTGTATACCTACTATCTAGCTTTGACTTTCTATCTTAGTGAGAACTCATAAATGGTTTGTAATTGTTGCCGAAAACAATGTTAAGTGAACCAAAGACTAAGTCTGTCAGATTTTGGTGAATGTGAGAAAAGAGTCAGAAGAGAAAGGAAATAAAATACGAGGAAAGTAGAGAGGTATATAACTGTTGTTGGGGTGAATTAGATAGTTAATGAGAAGAAAGTCAGAAAACTACTGAAGGCAACCACGGTGAAATTGGCTTCCAGATCAGGCCCTCAGGCCAGATAGGTTTGGCCTTGATGGAAAGACCATTAGAAAGTATCCAAAGCTGCCATTATAGCCTTAATCATATGACCTATCCATCCTCAGTTTCTAACTTGGTAAACTGAGTGTTAGATTACATAACTTCTGAAATCTCTTCCATCTTCAAAGTCTGAATTTTGCCCTGAATGCTTTTTAGCTCACAGGGAACTAGATTTCAAGGACCTAACCACAGATATCTTAAAAAAAAAAAAAAAAGAGGCTTGAGGATTGCTTCCTTTTCTAAATGTACATGTTTTATCTCTCTCATTCTTTATTATCCATTTCTCTTATTTCCCATAGCTATTAATTCACTTTTTAATCTAGCTGCACCAGTGCTATCCAAATCTGCCAATACAGGACCATGCAAATTACTTATAAACCATATTAAAAACCAGATTCTTGGCCGGGCACGGTGGCTCAGGCTTGTAATCCCAGCACTTTGGGAGGCTGAGGTGGGTGGATCACAAGGTCAGGATTTCAAGGCCAGCCTGGCCAAGATGGTGAAACCCTGTCTCTACTAAAAATGCAAAAATTAGCTGGGCATGGTGGTGGGCACCTGTAATCCCAGCTACTTGGGAGGCTGAGGCAGAGAATTGCTTGAATCCAGGAGGCAGAAGTTGCAGTGACCTGAGATTGCGCTACTGCACTTCAGCCTGGGGGACAGAGCGAGACTCCGTCTCAAAAAACAAACAAACAAACAGATTCCTGGGTCTCACCTTTAAATAATCCGATTTAGAAAGTCTGGGGCTAGGCAACGTGGTTCATGCCTATAAACTCAGCATTTTGGGAGGCTGAGATGGGCAGTTTGCTTGAGGCCAGGAGTTAGAGACTGGCCTGGTCAACATGGCAAGACCCTGTTTCTACAAAAAAAAGTACAAAAATTTGCCAGACCTGGTGGTGCACCCCTGTAGTTCCAGCTACTCAGGAGGCTGAGGCATGAGAATTGCTTGAGCCTAGGAGTTCAAGGCTGCATTGAGCTATGATTACATGATCACGCCATCCTGGGTGTCAAAGAACCAGTCTCAAAAATAAAAAACAACAACAACATAGAAAGTGTGGCATAAATCCCATGGATCTGGACTTTTATTAACCTACCCTGGTGAATTTAAGACAGCTGTCTTATGGGTAAGCATTTAAGAAACAATGGATTTAGTCTTTGGTTGTCCTGCATTATCAAAGAATATTTGAATCAGTTTAACTCACTCATAGGGCAAGTTTGGAGTAAGCAGTAAAAGCATGTTGGATTATATCTAGACAATGTTCTCGTTCAATAGGCCAACATATGGTAACTGGTTTCCACATTTATGCTTTAGTGATGTAATGGGCTTGGGAGACACTGGAGATTTTATACTGAGCCCTGTCATGCACTAAATAGGAGGTGACATGTTATATAGAAATGCAGGCTTTAACCACGGTATCTTGGCTTTTTTCCGAGTTGAGGTAACTCTGGCTTCTTAGTTGGACCTCTTCTCCACCCCTCACACTTGGCTGTGGGATTTGTTAAAGTGTTTATCTTTACTTCTTGTTATGTTACTGTTTGTTATTAAACAGTTACTGCATTTTCCCTCTAGACATGACTGTGTTTTAGTAGTGGGCGATGTGATTGCCTATATATAATTGTTAAGGCACTTTGGAATACTTCTGGAGAAAAATGACTATATAAATGGAAGTCATTACTGTTGTGCTTAAATTAGAATTTCTAGTTTGAGTGTGAAGGCTTGGGATGTAACCCACTTCTGATTGCAGGGGAGTCAACATTTCATATCATTAGTGAATTGACTCATCCAAATGAAGGCCCTGATTCAGAATATTATTCACTTAAGTATCAAGATAGTCATCCAGGGTTGAAGGTAGAGAGGGAGGAGCACATAGGCAGATAGGTGAGATAATAGATCATTGAATTCCATTATATTGTTATACCAGTTGTGATCATACAAAGACCTCTGCAGGCCAGTTGGAGTTATCTCAACATCTTCCCTAGAGGTACTGAAATGAATACCAACTTGGACTCTCAGTACTCATAAGTAGGAAAAGCAATATCTCCATTTTCCTTCCAAAAAAAGCAAATTTGTATCTTGTCTTAGGTTAGTCAACAAAAACGCTTCCCTATAATTACCATTTGCACTTTTCTACCAGGTTATTCCCCGTTGATGAACATACACTCTTCTTGTACCACTCAGTCTTCAGTCTCTCTTATCCAGCCACATCATCCTCTGTTATAAGTCAAATATGCCAGACATATCCACTCCTTAAGGACCTTGCATTGCTGTTCCCTTTGGCTAAAACCTCTTCCTCAAGATATGGTAGCTCACTCCATCTCCTTCTTCAGGTCCTGGATCAGTTGGTAGTGGAGACTCCCCTGACTATTCTTCTGTTTTTGTTTTGTTTTGTTTTGTTTTGTTTTGTTTTGTTTTGTTTTGTTTTGTTTTGTTTTATAGAGATGGAGTATTACTCTGTCGCCCAGGCTGGAGTGCAGTGGCGCAATCTCAGCTCGCTGCAACCTCTGCCTCCTAGGTTCAAGCAATTCTTCTGCCTCAGCCTCCCCAGTAGCTAGGACTACAGGTGCACACTGCCAAGCCCAGCTAATTTCTTTTGTATTTTAGTAGAGACAGGGTTTCACCACGTTGCCCAGGCTGGTCTCGAACTCCTGAGCTCAGGCAATCCGCCTGCGTCAGCCTCCCAAAGACTATTCTTAAAACTTCATTCCTACTCCTAGACCCTAGCCTCTCCTAGCTCCATTCTTCATTTATTTTATCTTTACAGTATTTATAACTATTAGATATAGTATAAATATTACTTATTTATTTACTGTCAATTTCTTCTTTAAAGTATAAGAGCAGGGATTTGGCCAGTATTTTTTCACTGCTATATATACCATGTCTAGAACTACACCTGACATTTGATAGTTATGCAATAAATTTGTTGAATGAATGGATGCAGGACTGATGAATGAACACTATGATAAACCACATTATATGCAAAGTAATTGACTGGGAATTATTGTGAAAGATAGGAGAAAGGAATCTGTTTAATCACTTTAAATTTTAAAGATTATTGTCTTTAGATGGTTCTCCTTCTTATCTTCTTATAAAGACTTAGAAAAAGCTCTTTTTGGGTTCGGGTATTCCCAATGTACTTAGGCTCTTCCATGAGTCTACTAAAATGAACCAGGTTTTAAAAATAAATTAACTGGTGAAGAAATATCATATATTTATTCAATAAATGTTTAATTAATGCTTACTTTGTGTTAGTTTTTGGGCAGCTATGAGAATGCAATAGAATCCAGTTATACACATGCAGTCACTGCTATAATGACTTTTAGTTTTAGTTGGCGAAGATGGACAGTTAAAGGTGCAGTAAACTGAAAAAAAAATATTCTATTATAGTCAGGGAATGCGTAGGACGAGTACTTAAGAGTAAAAGGGAATAACAGAAGTCCTACTGGTAGAAATGCTTCTTATACTGAAACTGGAATAGAAAGTAAGAGCTGGCTAGGCTGAGAAGAGGAAAGGAGATCGAGTCAGAAAGAGAACATGTAGGATGATGAATGTTCTGTATTCAAAGGATTGCAGGAAGAATAGTATCTTGAGGACTTTGGGTAAAAAGTTAAAGAGTGTCAGGAAGAGAAGCTGCAGAGGGAGCTCTGGGACCTTAGAATTGTGTTGAAGTAAACATTTTACTGCTACAGTAATACAAAGCTGTAGTAGTCCTTTATGTCATTCACAAATAGTCTGCTTCTCTTTTCTTCAGCATATAGTAAGGTTGAATTTATCCACCCTCTTGAAGTTAAGGGTGGCCATTGAATTGCTCTGGTTGACTAAATGTAGGTGGAAGTGACATGTTTTACATCCAAGCAGAACCCTTACAAGCCACTATTACATTCCTCCCTACTGCAAGGATTCAGTGATCTGATCACTGAAGTTCCAACAGCCTGGATCCTTGAATGCCAGTAACAATCAGAGTCACCTGCTGAACTACTTTAGACATGTAGTTTGCATGAAAAAAATGTTATTTTATTTGTTTAAGCCATTCACATTTGGTAATTGTTTCCTCCTGCAGAATAAGCTTGACTCTCAGGAATAACAAAAATAATCAATAGGTGTATAAAATAGTAAAATGACTTTTTGATAGACTATATTGGTTGCTGTGAAAAAACTGGGTTGGAGTCAGAAAGACCAGAAGCCTTGAGGCCAGTTTCAAGGCTGCTGGAGGAATCTAACTGAGAGAAGTTGCAGGAATCACAGGTATTTTTTACAAATATCAGATGGGAGAATAGTGGCTGAGAGCAGGACTACAGGCATTCATAGTGGGAATAGGAAGAAAAAATGTGCAGATTCAAAATGTATTTGATCAGCAGAACCAAGAGAACCTGGTAACTGATAGGATATAAGGATGTGAATGAAAAGAAAAAGCATTAATTAAATTAATTTAATTAATTAAAGGCATTAATTAAATGCTCTGGTTTGTGGCATGAAATCGGCAGGATATATAATATTAAAGTGAGAATATTGTCATTAAGACTATGAAAGAAAAATGGTTCAGTTTTAGAAATGATGGATTTGAGGTGCTTTTCTAAGATCCAAGTCTAGGTATAGGTAGACATTTTGTTTTTTTAAAAAAAACAAATTAGGGCTCAAGAAAGAGTTCTGAGCCAAAGGTATAAACATGTGAAATATTAGGATATAGTTGATCATTTAAACCAAAATTGTAGATGAGATCACACTGAATGTGTGTGTTCAAAATGCAGTTGAGCATGTCCCAGGATGATGCTGGTTAACTGGTAAATACATGATGACAGAAAATTGCAATAGCACATAATCCTGGAAAACAGAGCAGAATTTAAAAAAAAATCCAGGCAGATTTGATTCCAGACAACAAACACTGAATTGGGGAGTCCAAAATATGACTTATATTTTTATTTATTATTTTCTTACACTAAAGACTGAATCAGTTATAATATAAATTATATATTCATTCTGCATGTACAGAAGACTTCATAATACATTATTTTTAAGATCTGTGGCCTTTTCAAGAGGAGGCATTTGCATCTTTATTTTATTCTGTTATTTGAATCAATAATCAGAAGTAAAGTCTAAAATTTTAGCTAGAGATAAACTGTTCTCTCCATTTAATTATTTTTTAGGGACCTTAAGTGATAAGCTTATTCATATTGCATAACTCATACATAAATAACTTGATAAGCTCAATACACAAATGAGTTCAATTATGATGCTGTTGTTATGATCAGTTTATTTGCCTGTTCATTCAGAACTATTTTTTTTTCCTGTGCCTAGCATAGGTATCACAAAATAGGCAATATGATTTCATTGGTCATCTGTTGCAGAATAAATTATATTGATATGATTAGGTATCCTGTAGTTGACAAATTAATGGTCACTCATCATGATGCACAATTTATATGTATTTGGGAATGCAGAAGCTTGTGATTTCTGATAAACATTATAACTTTTAAAGTTGACATATTTTCTGATAATAAATATCTTGTTATTTGCTTATATTTATTTTGTTCATTTTAGGACTATTAAAAAGTCCTCGGGCATAATTTTTAAATAAAAATATAAACATTTAACACTGAGTCATGCACTGAAGTTAGAGAGATTAAATAGGACAAAGATCTTTAGTTTCTAACTGTCTCCAGGCAGATGGGGTGGCAGATTAGTGACAAGGTTACAAAGGAATATCGGAAGAAAAGAATGTAGGCTATGGTGTCAATGGAGAGAGACATGAATTCTGTCTTGAGAAAGCAAGAGGCTCTTTGCTCCAAAATGATTTTCGACTTGGATTTTGAAGGATAAGTATGAGCTACCTAGACCAATAAGGAAACAAACTCACTTGAAGTAAGAGCAACAGCATTTGCAAAACATTTGAAATAAAATAGAATATGGCTAGGCCCATTTTGAGGATTGCAAAGAGTCAGTCATTCAATAGGGCTGATGGCTAGCATGAATATCAAAGGGTAAATAAAGAGGCAGGAAATGTTAATGTTCAATAGAATTTCAGGTTGGCTTTAATTTAAACTTAAGTTGATCCCCTCCCTACAGAGAAGGGATTGGGAAAATTGGTAGTTTTGAATCTACAGCTTTTACATTTTCAATTATTCATGTTAGCTAGTCTACAAAGAGCTGCGGGTTAGTCCTAGACAATCATAATGCACTAAAGGAGAAGCCTCTTTATAATTAATTTGCATTTACAACACATCTCATATAAGGAATTGGTTTATCTAATTGGCCCCACTGGATCATTTGTAATAAATTTAAAATGGTGTCCAGGAGACTATTTTGGAGAATGGCCTGCAGAAGTTGTAGGAACCACCTGTATTTCAGACCTATCAACAATTTTTTAGAAACTCTATTGGTGATGGATTCCAAATATCTAGTTTCTGTCACTAACTAACTGGGGGAACTTGGGTTTCTGGACCCATCTCGGAATTTTAGCCTCAGTCTCCTTATCTAGAAAGCAGAGAAGTTGGAATAAACAATATCTAAGGCCCCTTCCATTTCTGTATCTTGTAATTTTATAACTTTACTACATTAAGAATTCTTAATTTTCTTAGACTATAGCATAGAATGATAGAAACTATCAATTGCATTAATCACTTATTCAGTCAAGTTTTAAAAATACTTATGTTCTATTTATTGTGTTAAGTGCAAGGAATAAATTGGTAAAAACTGTTTAAAGGGTATTTCCCATAGGCACGATGTTTAGCTTCTGGTTGGAGGAGAGGAATTTTAATGAAATAAATTTGGAATAGGCCATGAATGAAAAATTAATGGTGTAAGAGCTGAGAAATAATAAAATTACAAGGACTGTGTGAGCATATAAAAGGAAGAATCCAATGTTGTCAGTACAGAGATCAAAGATAGATGTGCTAGGCACTGAGTCTTATCAGGGAAGGACTCTTTGGAGAAGTGACCTTTGAAGGAAAGGAATAGGCAAGAACCTCAGAATGGTTTTGTGATTGTGCTCTGGGAGACCAGTGAGTCTGGTAGAATTAGCAACTTCTTCAAAAGCATATGGCCTTGTGGTATACAAAGGTCAGGAAAGCAAATGCAGAACAATATTTTATGGGCTTCTAAGGGCTATATAATTTAAGATGTGGCAGCAATTTTATTTCCTGTCATGAATATTGAATTGATGGCATTCAGACTTTATTGATTAAGAATGTAAAATTGCTGGCTTTCTTGTAGCTTGGCACATTGAATGTTTTCTCAAACTAAGTTTTAGAAAAGCAAGTAAGTCTGTCAGCCAGTTCTCCCTCCGCCACCCTTTGTTAACTCTAGGCTAATTTGAGTCATCTCAAAATAATCACACTTGCTCCTATCTTGTCTCTGTTGCTGGATCATCATTTGCCTTTTACCTTCTCTGTGGCAGATCTGAAAGAGTTTTAGGTAATAAGAAAGCAGCTTATTAAACCTCAGGAGAATATTTATCAGAAACGTACATAATGAGGTGAGATGCCGTAACTGTTTTTCCCAGCAGCTGGCCTGGTGGTCGTTCAGTATCTACATGCCTTTTCAGTCTGCTTGTCATAATTAGGACCAGAAGCATCCAGATTGGGTCACCTGCTAATTCTAGTTAAGTAAACCCACCAATCTAAATCTTGGTAAGGAATATTATTTTGCAATTTCATCTGGAAATTTTGCTATGGGAAGTTTAACCTACTTGCAAGTCATGCAAATAAAAATATCTAGTTTATCTTTTTTTAAAATTTTATTATTATTATACGTTAAGTTTTAGGGTATATCTCCTAATGCTATCCCTCCCCCCTCCCGCCACCCCACAACAGTCCCCGGTGTGTGATGTTCCCCTTCCTGTGTCCATGTGTTCTTATTGTTCAATTCCCACCTATGAGTGAGAACATGCAGTGTTTGGTTTTTTGTCCTTCCGATAGCTTTCTGAGAATGATGGTTTCCAGCTTCATCCATGTCCCTACAAAGGACATGAACTCATCCTTTTTATGGCTGCATAGTATTCCATGGTGTATATGTGCCACATTTTCTTAAGTCTATCATTGTTGGATATTTGGGTTGGTTCCAAGTCTTTGCTATTGTGAATAGTGCCACAATAAACATACGTGTGTGTGTGTGTCTTTAAAGCAGCATGATTTACAATCCTTTGGGTATATACCCAGTAATGGGATGGCTGGATCAAATGGTGTTTCTAGTTCTAGATCCCTGAGGAATCGCCACACTGACTTCCACAATGGTTGAACTAGTTTACAGTCCCACCAACAGTGTAAAAGTGTTCCTATTTCTCCACATCCTCTCCAGCACCTGTTGTTTCCTGACTTTTTAATGATCACCATTCTAACTGGTGTGAGATGGTATCTCATTGTGGTTTTGATTTGCATTTCTCTGATGGCCAGTGATGATGAGCATTTTTTCATGTGTTTTTTGGCTGCATAAATGTCTTCTTTTGAGAAGTGTCTGTTCATATCCTTCACCCACTTTTTGATGGGGTTGTTTGTTTTTTCTTGTAAATGTGTTTGAGTTCATTGTAGATTGTGGATATTAGCCCTTTGTCCAATGAGTAGGTTGCAAAAATTTTCTCCCATTCTGTAGGTTGCCTGTTCACTCTGATGGTTGTTTCTTTTGCTTTGCAGAGCTCTTTAGTTTAATTAGATCCCATTTGTCAATTTTGGCTTTTGTTGCCATTGCTTTTGGTGTTTTAGATGTGAAGTCCTTGCCCATGCCTATGTCCTGAATGGTATTGCCTAGGTTTTCTTCTAGGATTTTTATGGTTTTAGGTCTAACATTTAAGTCTTTAATCCATCTTGAAATAATTTTTGTATAAGGTGTAAGGAAGGGATCCAGTTTCAGCTTTCTACATATGGCTAGCCAGTTTTCTCAACACCATTTATTAAATAAGGAATCCTTTCCCCATTTCTTGTTTTTGTCAGGCTTGTCAAAGATCAAATAGTTGTAGATATGTGGCATTATTTCTGAGGGCTCTGTTCTGTTCCATTGGTCTATATCTCTGTTTTGGTACCAGTACCATGCTATTTTGGTTACTGTAGTCTTGTAGTATAGTTTGAAGTCAGGTAGCGTGATGCCTCCAGCTTTGTTCTTTTGGCTTAGGATTGACTTGGCAATATGGGCTCTTTTTTGGTTCCATATGAACTTTAAAGTAGTTTTTTCCAATTCTGTGAAGAAAGTCTTTGGTAGCTTGATGGGGATGGCATTGAATCTATAAATTACCTTGGGCAGTATAAAAATATCTAGTCTATCTTGATAGTTTTGGAAAATAAACCAAAAAGCTGAGATTTGATATCAGTGAAGGATTCAGTATGTGTGTAAAATTTGAAGTTATGAGAGTGCTTGAGATCACCCATGTAAATTATATTTATCCTTCATCACATTGTTTCAACAATTATACCCCTTTAAGGTAAATGGGCTTATTTTTCATGAAAAAGAATCATCTCATATTTAAGTAAAACAAAAATGTCTTCTAACATTTTAGCCATGTAAAGGAATTTTTAAAACATTTTCATCTTATCCAGTGATTTATTTCATATTAAATATCTAAGCACGGTTTTCCTGTGTTAAACTTACAATACCATTGAAAGGGGGAATTGAAAGTATGCAGCATTTACTTGCTTTTATCACAGAACAAACGTAATAAAGCTTGCTACTTTTCAGTTGCTATCTGGGATCTCCTTGAAGGCCACATCTTGCTTGTTTATTGCTGTAATTTAAAGTGCGATCAGTATTGAATGCAAGTATTTCTAATTGAAAAGATCATGCCAAAAGATTTTTTCAGTGTTATCTATAATGGACCAAATAGAATCATGGAAAATAAAATATTTTGCAACCACATATTCTAATTGGAGAGTCTGGCTTGGATTCTCTATGATATAATCCCCTGGTACTTACTTATATTGATGTGTTCCCATCCAGCATAGTTATAGAATCAGTATGTGGAAGTGGATGTGATAAAATCTAGAAGAGTGATTGGGGCATACAACAAGCTCCTAGTACTACAGGATACCAGTGGGCTCCTGTGGATTGGTGTACAATTACATGTGAATTAACTCGATTAATAATCATGAAATATTTTTTGAAGAAAAAGCAGACTCAGTAGCAGTTTTCTAGGCTATACTTTAATTTGTGACTTTCTTTTTAATTGCTTATCCTCAATGCTGAAAATAAATGTAAAAGAATAAATAAGAAATGGCATAAGCAATGTTTTGAAAAATGTTTTATTCTCTTAATCTAGGAATAGTGAGAATATTTGTAAACAGACCTTGAAACCCTTTTGAGGAAGGTTTAAGAACTTCAAAGACAATCTGGTTTTTGAATAGTAGCTCTTAAAAAATACTTCGTGTAATGCTGAGAAAGTTAGTTAAAATCTCAGAGTTCATCTTCTTGTTTGCAAAATAGACTAATAATACTATTTCACAATCTCCTTGCGAAGAATGGCGATTATGTATGTAAATCTCCTGGCATGGGGCATTGTTTCATAGGACAGTTACTTCTGTCTCAAATCTGCTTCAGTAGTAATCTGAGACTTGTAGTGATGTTAGAAGTGATTGAACTTCCGTGATGACCATTGGCATTTTGGCAGAAACAGATTGCCTGGTGTAGGCAACCGCTGAAGAGTACTTCTGATGATGCTTTTACTATGAGCTACCCCTGTGAAAAGTACTCAATTGAAAATGAATCTTAGTATTTATTTAATCACTTTAATTCTGAAACCAAACAGCTTAGATGTATAATTGAGCATCTTTATCTCCCAAACACTTGATATTTGGATTCATGTATTTCTGTATCAAAAGGCAGGCAGCTACAAAGGCCTATCCTGTCTTCACCTTATATGAATTGTTTGGTTGATGAGGGTTTCCCAAGTTTTAGTTATCATTAAGTACAGATTAGAGATTGAAAACAATTCTTAGATGATAGCTGTCCTCTTGCAACAAACTGCAAGTAGGTATCCCCTGTGTTCATTCAGCTTTAATCACCTAAAGATGGAAACAGGTAATTTAACTAAATGGTGGAGAGCCTGGATTTTGGATGAGACATCTTGGGTCAATTCTGTAGTTCACTCCTCATCAATTGTAAGCTGTTATCCAGTTTATTAAACTCTGTGCTTTAGCTAGCTCATCAGTTTTTTAACAGATAGGTTTGTAAAGATTAAATTTGTGAAATTATACAGAGTCCTGAGAGCAGCTGGCCTGGTGGTCATTCAGTATCCACATGCCCTTTCAGTCTGCCTTTCATGATCAGTACCAGAAACATCCAGGTTGGGTTACCTGCTTTGTCCCTGCAGGTGGGATATATATGCCTGGCTCATAGGTGGTCAATGAATGCTAGATACAGCTAAAATGTAAACATATTATTCACAGACTATCAAACAATAACAGAACCATGCTGCCCTGATGTCTATGTCTGTCTGGGCCACTGTCCTGACCATTGGACCACTTGATTTGCATTTTTATCAGGTAGTCAATTTCTGGTATGTACAGACATAGCTGAGAAATAATCTCCTGTTGATTAGTTAGTCAAATTACTTGAATCACCTCTCCACATCCCATTCAGTACATAATTAGTGTTTATTTCAATTTTACTATTCATTATGCAAATTCATTGCAGGAGAGCATCATGACTGGGGAGTGTGAGGCTCATGATTTTTTTATTGGCAGTCATTGAGATGAGAGATGGACAGGTACTGGGAAGCTTCTGCTTTGCTTAATTTGGTGACACTTTTCTGTATTTGGGCCAAAGTATCAGTATAATCACATTAGTTTTATTAGTACTGTTAATTAGATGTGAGTGCAAGAAAAGTGTTTCCAGTTGTGGAGTTGATTAAGTGCTGAAGTGTTTCCCCACAGTTTGATTTGTTTCAGGCAAACTGGACCAAGGATTAGAGTCAACACACCTCAGGGAGGAGTGGTATGAATTAGGTGGTAGACTAAATGTTTTCCATTTCCTGCTACAATTTTTGATAATAAAATGTGCTGATCTGCTGGAGCCAGAGGCAGTCTATGTTCTCTCTCCAAAGAATGGGATGTTCAGGTGCATCATCACGGTCATTGTCCAAGAGGGAAAGCACTGTCAGCAGCCACCTCCTGCTCAGAGGAATTAGCAGAAGTATTAACCTTCTGTGTTAGGTTGTAGTGCTGGGAAAGTGTTTTGTTTTCAACTCAAGCATACCAGCAACCTTCTACACTGTGCTACATGAAAGATCTAGTAAGTGTTGGGAGTAATATTTTTGAAATGTTCTGGTATCTATTTTTTTTCCAGAAAATAAATCTATATCATCTGTATATATCTATATATTTCTACCTATCTGTCTGAGCAAAATGTATGTCACTGGTTTTGCTGTATCCATTATGTAGTGATGGAATTCATGGCATTGTAATAAAACACATAAAGCTCTGAATTCAGTATTTAATGCCAATAAGCACTAGATAAACTTTAGGCATGGCATTTAGCCTTTCTAAGCTTCAGTTTGTATGGGGGAGAGGGGTTGTGTTAGTACTAGTCATCACATGCCATTGTTAGAGATGAATTGCCATGGTGTCTGTAAAATGCCTCACATAAGGTAAGCATCATACATGTGTTTGTTTACCCTCATTCCTCCGGCATGAAGTGGACCATATTCAATCAATTCAATTTAACAAATATTGATTGCTTCTCCAGAGCTGTGTTTGTTCCTGGGGAAACAGTGGCAAATATAAATCCTTGTCTTTTGAGTAATTCTTTAGCCCCACAAGACTATAGTCATGTGTGTCATATCTGCCCTCAGGATTTTCATTCTGAGAAGTTAACCAGGAGAAAGAGGGTAGAGCTCAGGAAAGAGAACATTTCTAACAGAGGGCACAAACTATATACAGTTTTGAGTTAGTGAATTTGTCAAAATAAAAACCCGATCTTTATTTTATTTAGGCACATCCTTCCACTAATTATAATTCCACATGCCTTGGGCTGGATCTTAAAGCATAAAGTGTTAAGGTCTGACTATATGTCGTTCTGTGGTCACGGAATGTATGTTAGAGTAAGCAGTAACAATTATATGAAAAATAAAGTATTTCTGCCAGGCATTTGCTTGTACTGAAGAACAGCAATGCAAATTGCTCCAGGGACTAGAGAAAATACAGTTAAATATGTGTGGTTGTGCTATCAGGCATTGAAGACCAAACAGATATATTAAATATTTTCTATGTGCTAGGCTCTGTGCTGAAAACTTAATATGCAATTTAATATGGAGCACCTTGTTTTATTTAGTAAAGACTATCATTATGCTTTTTTTTTTGACATAAATACAGATTTAAAACCCATATAGCATTTTTCCAAGGTGAGAAAGCTAGAACTGGACACACACCAAGAGATTTGGGGACTTTTTTTTTTTTTTTGACAGAATTTCGCTCTTGTTGCCGAGGCTGGAGTGCAATGGCACGATTTCGACTCACTGCAACCTCCGCCTCCTGGGTTCAATTGATTCTCCTGCTGCAGCCTCCTGAGTAGCTGGGATTACAGGCACCCACCACCATGCCCAGCTATTTTTTTGTATTTTTAGTAGAGATGGGGTTTCACCATGTTGGCCATTCTGGTCTCGAACTCCTGGCCTCAGGTGGTCCACCCACCTCGGCCTCCCAAAGTGCTGGGATTACAGGTCTGAGCCACTATGCCCGGCCCCTTTTTAAGTTTTTACAAACTAGAAGATATTCATTCTCCTACAGGTTTGAGCTGAATTGTGCTGGGTTAAACATTATGGGGAGAGATGGTGCATAATTTAGCTTCTGTAGAAATTTTATATGATAAACTTACCTGCATAGTAGAGCGAGGAATTTAGAAGCTACCTGACATTGTATAGATTATTGAAACTTTTTGAGCCTCAGGTTGTCTTGAAGTGGTAAGATTAGTAATTTTTACCTCATCTATAGTTTATGAGGATTAAATAAGATGGTGTGTGTAATATACTGAGGGTGTTACTTGGCAAAAAGGAAAAGTCAGTTCTCATATCTACCCAAACATTTGAGTTTTCTGAGAGAAAACTCTGTGAAATTCTTCACAGAGCAACATCCCTGAATCATGACCATCATAAAGCACATAATGACATTTCGGTCAACAATGGATCTCATATATGATGGTGATCCCATACCCTTATTGCTGGGGTGATCAGACTCAACACCAGGTCCTGGGGGCAACAAAGTCTGGCAGAGTCAAAGGATTGAGAAAAAGACAGTTTGAGAGAGAAAGGTGGGACCAGGGGGCCATCGCGATTGTGGAGGCTGCGAAGGTCCCAGGCTCTGGGAACCCGCGCTATTTATTGGTGATCCAATAAAGAAACAGGTGGTGAGAATGTGGAGGTCAAAACGTCACGTTGCACTAAGCACATGATTTACAGCTGTGATGGTTTAGCATTTGCGCTGCTACTTGAGATAATGGAGAGCAGGTTCTTTTAACCCAAGATACAATCGATCCTGGGAGAGCAAGGAACAAGGAGACAGCAAGTCTAGACACATTCCAGAGCCACGAGCCCTGGATTCTATCCAAGCCACGAGGGATTTTATGACCTGGGCTTAGATTATGGTGTTTCAGAGTAGTCTTCTACCCTTTAGCACAGATCTTGGTGTTCCAAAGGCCACAAGGGGTTTTAGACCCTGGACCCCAGACATGTTCCAAGACTCTTTTACATTATGTCAGACATGCAAGCCCTGCCTCAGCTTCTCCCAACACTCAGCTTTTCCCAACAATTATAATGGAGTTGAAAAATTCCTATTGCCCAGTGACCTCATAGCTGTCCTAATATCATAGTGTAATACATGACTTGGGTGTTTGTGGTCAAGAATCCTACTGCACTGCCAGTCATATAGAAGTGCAGCACATAGAGTTATGTACAGTATATAGTACTTGAAAATGATAGTAAATTACTATGTTATTGGTTTATATGTTTACTATTCTATTCTTTTTATTATTATTTTAGAGTGTTCTCCTTTTACTTATGTAAAAAAAAGGTAACTATAAAACAGCCTCAGGCAGGTTCCTCAGGAGGTACTGAAGAGAAGACATTGTTATCATAGAGACAATGGCTTCATGCTTGTTATTGTTCCTAAAGACTTTCTACTGGAACAAGATGTGGAAGTGGAAGACTGTGATATTTATGACCCTGACCCTCTGTCAACCTAGGCTAATATTGTATGTGTAGTGTCTTAGTTAAGAAAAAATTTTAAAGTAAAAAAAAAAAAAATAAAAAAGGTAAAAGAAAAAGAAGTATGTAATAAGGATTTAAATAAAATATTCTTTGTACAGTGAAACTGTGGGTTTATTTTAAAATAAATGTTATTAGAAAAGAGTCATAGAGTTAAATAATTGATAAATGTTTGAGGTGATTGATATCTCAATCATTTTGATTTAATCATTACACACTATAGGCTTGTATCAAAATATCAGCTGTACCCCATAAATATGTACAACTATTATATATCCACAACAATTACAAATACAAATAAAAAAGTTTTTGAAGTAGTGGCCAGGTGCAGCATCTCATGCCTGTAATCTCAGCACTTTGGGAGGCTGAAGCAGGTGGATCACCTGAGGTCAGGAGTTCGAGACCAGCCTGGCCAACATGGTGAAACCTCGTCTCTACTAAAAATATAAAAATTTGCTTGGAGTGTTTGTGGGCACCTGTAATCCCAGCTACTCAGAAAGCTGAGGCAGGAGAATTGCTTGAACCCAGGAGGTGGAGGTTGCAGTGAGCCAAGAACAGGCTATTGCACTCCAGCCTGGGCAACAGAGAGAGACTCTGTTTCAAACAAAAAAAAAACAGTTTTTAAAGTAAAAATGTTACAGTAAACTTGCCAGGTGTGGTGGCTCATGCCTGTAATCGCAGCACTTTAGGAGGCCGAGGTAAGCAGATCATTTGAGGTCAGGAGTTTGATACCAGCCTGGCCAACATGGGGAAACCCTATCTCTACTATAAATACAAAAATTAGTTGGGTGTGATGGCAGACACCTGTAATTCCAGCTACTCAGGAAGCTGAGGCAGGGGAATCATTTGAACCCGGGAGGAAGTGGCTGCAGTGAGCAGAGATTGCGCCACTGCACTCCAGCCTGGGTGACAGAGCAAGACCCTGTTTGAAAAAAAAAAAAAAAAACAGTTACAGTAAACTAAGTTTATTACTCCATTTTCATGTTGCTAATAAAGACATACCTGAGACTGGGAAGAAAAAGAGGTTTAATTGGGCTTAGAAGTTTAATTAAATTCTGAGGCTGGGGAGACATCAGAATCATGGAGGGAGGTGAAAGGCACTTCTTACATGGTGGCGGCAAGAGAAAATGAGGAAGATGCAAAAGCAGATACTTCTGATAAAACCATCAGATCTTGTGAGACTTATTCACTACCACAAGAACAGTATGGGAGAAACTGACCCCATAATTCAAATTATCTCCCATCTGGTTTATCCCACAATATGTGGGATTATGAAAGTACAATTCCAGATGAGATTTGGGTGGGGAAACAGTGCCAAACCATATCACTAAGGTTAATTGTTTTTGAAGAAATGATGTTTTTCAATTAATATTGTGTAGCTTAAGTGCACAGTGTTCATAAAGTCTACAGTAGTGTACAATAATGTTCCAGGCCTTCACATTCACCACTATTCATTCACTGGCTCTCCCAAAGCAACTTTCAGTCCTGCAAGCTCCATTCATGGAAAGTGCCTGATACAGTTGTACTATTTTTTATCTTTTATACTATGTTTTTACTGTACCTTTTATGATTACATATTTTTAGGTACACAAATAATTGCCATTGTGTTACTTGCCTACAATATGATACAATAACATACCGTACAGGTTTGTAGCCTAAGGAGCAATAGGCTATACCATATAGCCTAGGCGTATAGTAGGATATAGCATCTAGGTTTGTGTAAATACACCCTATGATTTTTGCACAGTGAAGAAATCGCCTAGCAATGAGTTTCTCAGAATGTATCAGTGTCATTAAATGATGCGTGGCTGTTCTGAAATTATGGGTATCACTGAGCAAGTTCAGTAAATAATACCCCTCTTCTCTGCCAAGGTTCTGAACTCATCGGAAATAAGGCAGAAGTAAGAGAAAATATTAAGGTATTAGGGAGGCTAATGTATTGCCTTTATTGGTGATAAAGGCAAGATGGGTGACATAGCTTAGTCCGAGGGTCAGATAGTCATGCTGTGGACCCTGCGTTTGATAGACTTATTGTCCAATCAAAGGCGATGCTGGATGTGGAAGAGTTACAGCACAGAGCTGCAGAAGGGGACATGTGCTACCTGGGCAAAAGAAGAAATATTGTATTTCTTCCAAATTTAGCAATCAGAAAAATCTCTTACCTCATGAGGTGCAGAGTGGATAAATGGCGCCAGATAAGCCAAGACTATAGCCTGAATTAATTCCAATCCTATAGAAATAAATATTAAGAGTGGGTAAAAAGCATTCCCTTCCACAATAAATCACAGTTGTGGTTTACTTACATATATTTTTTCTGTATTAATGTCCCATTGGTGAAACCACCTAGAGGTGTTGTTACTCATTACCTCTCTAGAACTCAGGTAGTCCTGTTGGGTTGAGTGAGTTAGACAACTTTATACTGTAATTTAAATGGTCAGTTGATCATGTAGAATCACATCCCGATGAAAATAAAAGGATACCAATTATTTTTTTATTTCACATGCACATAAGATGAACTGTATTAGACTCAACATAAAACAAGAGTTTTTGGCAGAGCCAGCAATGCAATGCAAAAATCAGTTTTTGACTCAGGATTTCAGTAAACAGTAACTGTTAGAGTTTTTCATAGGTGACCCTAAGTGTCCATGACATGCACTCTAATTAAAGGTTATCTGACATCTCTGAGTTTCATAAAGATGCCTGTAGGAATCTTGTGAAGATGGAAAAGGTACTTAATATCAGTGTGCCCCCAAGACCAGACAAAGGTCCTGGTAAGTATCTGGATTTAATAGTATGCACTTAAGAGAATATTACATAGCATATGTGTAAAGATGAATGTTATGACATTGTTTTCAAAGCTCTCTACAGGATGTAGCATTACTCAGGAAAACAGAAATAAGCAGGAGGGACTCTGTGATTAAACCATTTAGGCAAATTTCTTTGACATAGGATTTCTCATGTTCTTGGCTATGTTAATCTTCATTGTATATATGTAAGCAGGACATATGGGACATAACATTTCTATACTGACTATGGAATGTCTTTTTAAGGAGTCTCATCTTTAAAAGCACACTACGTTACATGGAATAAACTATTTCTTGATTGTAGTTATCATGGGCATTTGTTTTTCTTGAGTCTTTAATACAGAAATAGGAAACACATGGTTTATTAGTCTTCTACAGAACTGCTGCTCTGTTTAGATGACCTACAGCACATAAGAACATCATGTCTAAAGTAAATCGTCAATTGTTCCCATTCCTCAAAAGCCAAAATAAATATGCTTGTAATTCTTTTATCTCAATTAGTGGATTGTGTTGATTCTTTCTGAAAAAGAAAACAAAACTTTTCTTCATAAATATAATGTTCCTTGCTTTGCTTCAGGAACTTAATATCTCACTACTATGAGAATTTCCTTCTCTGGGTTTTCATAGCAATATGTACAAACTTCCTTAGCACTAAGCAAATTGTACAATAGTCATTTGAGTGTCTGTATCCTTTGCTAGACAATGAATTCTGAAAGGACAAATATTATCACTATTTTTAAATTTATTTTTATATAGCCAGCCACCTGCACCATACTCAAGAATGTTACTTAAATAAATGAATAAAGACATGCATGCCAATTCATATATTTCCAAGCTTTTTAAGACTAATTCAAGATAAATTCATGTATCCCTGTTTGTATGCATGGCCATTGTCCTTAAGATCAGCAACTCATGTTCAGGACAAAATTTTCAAATTCAAATTGCTGAGAATTTTGACAAACTTGATAAAAATTTCTAGTGGTAAAATGTACACAATAATCTTACTTCCATGTGTTCTATATTTTATGTATTTTTTTTTTTTTTTTAGAAAGAGGGTCTTGCTACGTTGCCTAGGCTGGACTGCAATGGCTATTCACAGGTATGATCATGGTGCAATACAGCCTTGATCTCCTGGCATGAAGTCATTTTCTTATCTCAGTCTCCCTGGTAGCTGGGACAATGGCACCCATCATTGTGTCCAGCCATATGTTCTATATTTTAACTTGTATGTTGATGAATATGTTATTGTTATCAACTCTTATGGCAGAAGCACATAGAATGAAATTTAAATATCTCTTTTCACTTTCCCCCTCAACCTTTATTTTTCTTCTCTACCTGGATGTAACCACTTTGTAATGATAGTTTTCTAATACTTTTAATTTCCATTCATGTGTGTGTATGTGTGTGTGCCCTTTTGTTATAAAGCATATTTGGTCTCTATTTTCTGGAGTTTTCTTTTTTTGTTAATGCCTGACTAGAATTTATCCCCCATCAAAGCACATCATTCTTTTTAATGACTCTATAATATTCCACTAAAATCAAATGCACTTACAAGGCAGTATTGGGTATAATACTCATTCCATGTTTTGATTAACCATGACTAGGTGCGGCATTGTTTTCACTTCTCTTTTGATAAATTTGATTGACCTTTCCAGTATAAAAAGTGTATCTCTCTTTATGTTGGATATTTTCTTTTCCAGGGTCAAATACATCAGTTTTCTCATATGTAAAATAGTATAATACTTGAATATTCCTCACATGAGAGTCGAGTAGTAAATTAGGCCATAGCTGCAAAGTGCTTAGAATATGAATGATCACAATAAAGTAGTTGTTCAGTGAATATTGGCTTTCACAATATTAAATGTTGTTATTATTATTGTTTATGGTATTTTAAAAAATCTGTCTGCTCATTGTTTCTTTTAGCTAATTCTCATACTCCTCTCAGACAGTGTGTCTTCTGGGTCAATTCTTCATCTCTATACCTTTTTCTCTGCCCTTTAGCACTCTGAAACAATAATGTTGCTTCCTCCTTCAGCTTCCTAATTTGCTCATCAACATTGTCCATCTTGTCATCCAGCCTAGCTATTGAGTTTTCTTTAATTTTAATGTTTTATTTTTATGTATTTATTTTTTTTAGAGACAGGGTCTTTCTCTGTTGCCCAGGCTGGAGTACAGTGGCATGATCACAGCTCAATGTAATCTCAAGTTCCTAAGCTCATGCAATCTTCCTACATTTAGCCTCACAAATAGCTAGGACTAAAAGTGCATGCTACCATGCCTGGCTAGTTTTTCTAAATTATTTTTGTAGAAATGCAGGTCTCCCTATGTTGCCCTGGCTAGTCTTGAACTCCTGACCTCAAGCAACATTTCTGCCTCAGCCTCCGAAAGTACTGGGATTACAGGCATGAGCTACCATGCCTGGCCTATTGAGTTTTAACTTGCAGGAATTATGTGTTTCATTTCCAATATTTCCTTTTGTCTTATTTCTACAAAGTCCAGTTCCTGTCTTATGGGATAAGATCAGCCTCTTGAATATCTGAAAACTTAATTTTAGCTCTTTTAAAATCTTTTGTTTGTGCTATAATTCTGTGGTCTTGTGTATTATATTTTTTCCTATCTATTGAGCTTGATAGTTTCATGGTGCTGTTGTTTTCAAACATTTGATAATTGTAGATTGTCTATTTATGTTTAATTTAGGTAATATCTGCTCTCTGATGAACTGATTTGCCTTTGAGAGTGTATGAAAGCATAAATGTAGGAGAAAGGCATGAGTGATAGTTTTTGTTTGGGGTGAACTTTGTGGTCCATCGCCATATCCTTCTCCTCCCAGGCTCACTGCTTTGTCCTGGAAAAAAGGTATGTTGCCTTTTCTTCCTAAAAGAAGAAGGAGCGGTGGCTGAGTGGTTTGGCTGAGTTAATAGCACTTGCCTGATTATGTAACCCGTGAATTCCTTTGGGTCCTCTTTACCTGTGACTATTAACTCTAATCATAGTGAATATGGGATCCTTCTACCTCCCTTTTATTTGTCTTGAGCTAAATTGTGGTTTTCTCTTTTTGGAACCAATCTAATGATTACTTTTCAGAAATACCTCAAAAATCTTTGAAAAACCTTCCAGTTTTCAAAATGATGTGGTGTAACCTGTAACTAGGGGACATGTGCTCAGGAATCATGCTGACAGGGATATAATTCAGGATCTGCTGCTTACTCCCTGTGTCAACTTTAGCAAATTGATAATTGTTTTTAATGTCTCATTTTTCTCAACTATAAAATGGAAGAAAACAATAGTATCTTCCTCTTAGGCTTATTGTGGGAATAAAAGTGTTAACTCGTGAGAACAGCACCAGAGGCTGGGAAGGGTGGCTGAGGGATTAGGAGGAGGAGAATTGGGGATGGTCAACAGGCAAAAATAAATAAAAATCAAAAATAAATGAATGAATAAGAGCTAGTATTTGGTAGCACAACAGAGTGAATATAATCAATAATAATTTAATTATACATTTAAAAATAAAGAGTATAATTGGATTGTTTGTAACACAATGGATAAACGCTTGGGGGATGGATACCTCATTTTCCATGTTAAGGTTATTTTGCATCGTATGCCTGTATGAAAGCATCTCATTAACCCTGTAAATAAACACACCTACTATATACCCACAAAATTTAAAAATTAAAAACGTAAAGCTTAAATAAAAATGATATCTAATACAAAATCATATCAAAGCCCAATTCAGAAGGGAATAAAGCTGTGTGCTTATTTTGTTTTCTGTTGAGATGATTATTTCACCTGCCCTGTAATTACTGATGTGATAAACAGAAATTTTTGCAAGGTATGTGGACTTTCATGCAAGATTATAGCAGCCCAAACATAATTTTGGTTACTTCTGCCAATAGTGGATTTAAGACAGTATATCCTGCTGAGGAAATATTGCATAATTAGATATAGATACTTAGGAATAAATATTTGTGTTGAGTGAATTTTAAATGGTTCTTTTTTTTCCATATATGGTCCTATGGACTTTTACAAAAGCCTTAGAGAACTCGCACAACCTTTGTGATGTGGTCTTTCTTATTTCTCTTAG
The DNA here is from genome assembly GCF_000001405.40 of Homo sapiens. Classification (NCBI taxonomy): domain Eukaryota; kingdom Metazoa; phylum Chordata; class Mammalia; order Primates; family Hominidae; genus Homo; species Homo sapiens. The sequence goes on along the minus strand of NC_000011.10, from coordinate 41,157,345 downwards.
GAAATTTGTGCATGCTACATCCCTCTCCTTCCTCTAGTTCAATGAAACTGACCTCCTGGCTGATCCATGAACCTATCATGCATCCTGCCTTATAAAAACCTTTGTTTCTTATCTTCCCCTGTCTGGAACATTTACCCTCATCTTAATTCATTTTGGGCTGGTAGAATGCCTGAGACTAGGTAATTTATAAAGAACAGAAATTTACTTCTGTCAGTTCTGGAAGCTGGGAAGCCCAAGATCAAGGCGCTGGCAGGTTTGGTTCTTGTGAGGATCCTGTCTCTCCTCTTTCAAGATGGGAGTTCCAGAGGGGAGGAATGCTGTTCTTCACATGGCAGAAGAGCAGAAGACAGCAAACACTTCTCCAATCCCTTTTATAGCAGCATTAATCCATTCATGAAGTAGAGCCCTCAACACCTAAACACCTCCCATTTAAGCCCCACCTCTCAACACTGTTGTATTCCTGGTAGTTTCAGCATGAGTTTTAAAGGGGACAAAAACATCCAAACCATAGCACTGCCAGATATCTGCCTGGCTAATTTCCTCACCTCTTCAAAGCCTTCACTCAAATCTCACCTCCCCAGTAAGGCTCACCTCAGTTATCATATTTAATACTGCAACTTGCTGCCCTAATGCCCCTCCGCTTTTCTTGCTATACTTTTCTTTTTTTAATGATTCTTACCAGCTTCTAATACACAATATAATTTACTTGTTTGCCATGTTCATTGTAATATAAGCTCTAGGGCACTTTTTCTGTTTTGTTCATTGATATATCTTCAGTGCCTACAATACTGCCTAGCACACGGTGTTTGCAAAATGACTTGCCAATCATAGAGAACAATCAGAAATTGTTAAGTGGGAAATTGTTAATGTTAAGTGGGAATGATTTTAACCTATTTGTAGAAAAAGACAATTCAAATGTGACAAAGATACTAATTCTGCAGTCACATTGTAAGATATTAAAGGGAGCAAGACATTTTTGTTTGCTTTCTATAAGTAAGATATTTATTCAATATCTAATAGTATTAGAGAAAATAGTAATAGATTACAGTTACAGTGATAGTATGGGCCACCGGTGGTCAATATCGTGGGTTTGCCTTGGGTAACTGTGTTGTCTTTCAGTGTAATAATATCAAGAGCCCTTCTATCCTGCAATCACAGCAACACTGGGGCAGACACTTGTGTGCTCCTGTTCCTTCAATTGCTGTGATCTTTTCTAACAAGTCTGTTTATTTTTGCTTTGCGTAGATGGGTCCGTGGGTTTTACAAAGAATCGATTCAGATCATTAAATCCTACACAAAGCTGAATAACAAAACAGAAAAATCTGTTCACAAAATGCTAAAATCCTTCCTCTGACTCAGAACCTTGCTTTTCTCAGTCTTTGAGTCATCACGTGGAAGATGGCTTTGTTTAATTCCAGATTTATGGTGCCTTATTCCTGAAATGGATATGTACAAAGAGGAAGCATTTATGGGTGAAAAGCATCAGGTTTTGATTTTGAAAGCTATAAAATGTTTAAATTATTGTCTGAATTTAGGGGGATCGAGAAGCAAAGCGGAAAAGAGAGAGAGATTAATTATTCAGAAGATTAGTTACATTGGGTATTCCATCTTGAAACGTCCTGTGAGTTTTTGCAAAACCAAAAGTATCTATACGCACAACCTAACTTAAGAATAGGAGAGTAGGGAAAGGGGAGAGAGCAGTTCTATAGTGGCCTACTTTAGCCAGACAAGAACTGGCTATGCCCCATGTTACTCTAATCCAAAATCTCTCAACGGATGAGTCCATCATTGGAAGAGGGAGAGCAAAGAACTGCTTTGGGAAGGGACATAGGGTAAAGGAAGAAGTTAAACGTTTCGTATCATTGATTCAGGCAGACCTTTAAATCTTCATCAGCCTCCTTCAACAGCCACTTCACTGAACTTGGTTAAAAACAATGTGCTTACTGTGCAATGAACTTTCAAGACAAATGGATTCCAATAACCATACAATCTGTGTAAAATATGTTCTTGCTAAGGGAACTTCAAGTGAAGTCTCCTTGTTTCCAGCAAGCTTGCAACTCCTAGGTTCACAAAAAATAGAAATTCTGGGGCTATGACTGCTCCTGAAGAATACATTAAAGGATGTCCCATAAGGATGTTGGAATTAAGCAAAACATGCACCCAAACTGTGAGTGGCAATGGAGTAGAAACTAAATCTCCAGGACTTGTGCTGCTCCAGAGGTAAAGCTCAGAGACAGACAAAGCTGACTTATTTGCACCTGAGTCAACGCATTGGAAATTACCATTTGGACTTTCTAATATAATTTCTAATACAAACCAGTTAAATAATTGTTGCCACCTCTTCTTACCCCCACGTCATCATCCCTTTCCTAAGCTGCAAATCCACATATCTCACCTGCTCTGATCCCAGTCTGAAGTACTCAGTAGCGCAACCACAAAATAATCGTACCACTCTAGTGAGTTATCTTCAAATTTAAACTTTTTAGAAAATCCCTCATGTCTCACATTTTACCCTCTGTTGTTTTCTGGAGCTGTGGAATGTTCCTTTCACAAGAAAACGAGTCCCAATGAATAATTTAAAGTATGTCGTGCAATTGTGTGACTCAACACATCTTAGGATGATAATGGCTGTCTTCTTTCTTGCCAATGATATCAATTAGTTCTGTAATGCATACAGTTTTTAATGTCTAAATGTTTACCAGAATGTCATTAACATTGCCATTTTTGAAAAAGAAGAAAGTATGCATTTTATTCGCCTTATTTGAATGACATGCAAAATCTTTGAAAAACTTTATTGAATCTTTATAATTCAATTTAATTTAATTCACCAAATATTTTCTGAGTACATACTCATAACTGGATACTGTGCAATGTCTTAGGAAAAGAGAAATAAATTTTTAAAATTTGGTCTTTTCCGTAAGCAATGATAGAACTAAATACCAATTATTATATAATGATAAAGGCCATAATGAAATTATGAAGAAACAGAGGTGGTACAGATGAAGATGTAAGCAATTATATGAGGACCAGGTAAAGAAAGACAGGATAAGAAATCTTTACAGAAAAGTTTTTCTCTTTCATCTTCAGCATATAGAACAGTGAGTAGTATCCAATAAGTACTGTAGAATGATGAATCTCTTTTGGAGGCAAAGTAAGGTTTAGCTTTATGAATGTGCTAGTTTCCAGTGGTTGCTTTAGCAAAATTACCACAAACTTGGTTTCTTGAAACAACAGAAATTTATTCTCTTATAGTTCTGGAGGCCAGAAGTCCAAAATGAAAGTATTGACAGGGCTACACCGTTTCAAGCTCTAGGTGACAATATATTCCTTACAGCGTGCATCTTCTGGTAACTGTCTACGTTGCTTGACTTGTGGCCACATCCCCCTAATCTCTGCCTCTGTGGTCTCTGCCATCTTCTCTTCTGTAGGTCAAATATCCCTTTACCCTCCTTTTATAAAGACACTTGTCATGCTATTTAGAGCCCACATGGCTCATCTCATTTCAAGACCCTTACTCACATCTGTGAAGACCCTTTTTCCAAATGAGGTAATATTTACAAGTTCCAAGGATTAGAACCTAGTATTCTAGTAGCCATAATTTAATCTACTACAAAGGGTAAATAAATAAATAAATTTCTAACAGTGCAGGTTTAAGGGGGCTATTGTGCTAGGCAGGATATTCATAAGAAAAATAGTGCCACAAGATACCGTTTTTAGCAAATTAATTTGGTGATGATGGTGAGCTAGTTAAACACAAAGTTCTTCCTAGTCCAGAACAATCTTAACATCTTTGCCTCCTAGAAATGTATTCTATATTTATTCCAAAACCCTCATATATTCAACATTGTACTTAATATTTGAGGTTACTCGTAGTTTCTTTTTTAATTAATTGAGGGACTCTCCTTGTTCTCTGATTTGGGCTTTCAATGAATCATTCATAAACTTATTCAGTACATATTTATTGAGTAAACAGTGTGAGTCATGTACTGTGTTCTAGGGATGCAAAGATGAGAAAAAACAACAACAAATACCATCATTCCCTTCAAAAAGTATTCAACTCAGTTGATTGATGCATGTACTCAATATCTAGTAACTGAGGCTATGGCAGCACAAAGTTTGGTGTAATTTAATAATTTTTTTCATGGAAATGACAGTTTTAATCAGATTCTTTAAGGGAGTAGAGACTTCATAAGGCAGCTTGGAGGCGAAGAGAATCCCAGGCTGTTGGAGCAGCATGAGAAAGATGCAGACTTGCTAAGAATTAAGGGCTTAGGAAGCTACAAGTGACGTGATTCACGTAAGAGTATGAGATGGAGTTGGTGGTAGGAGACTAAGGCAAACATATAGACATGAGAAGCTCATGGCAAACCTTATTCTTCAAGGTAAGGAAGGAATTCTACATATAAGACTATAAGATGAATCTTACTTTATTACCTATTTTTATTAGTTGGCTAGTGGTATGAGCTTGTTGAGATCAGGAATTTCCCATTTCCCCAGAAAGGAGACCAACCTTCTACAGACAAAGTGACCTCCAAAGACTGTCCATTCAAAAAAAGTTATCCTTGGACTTTGGTCACTTCTCTAATTCTGTACAGTATTAGCTATTTATGAATCATGATGGCACTCTAGGCGTTCATTAGATTAGTATTAGAAGGTTAAATTATGGAACTTTCTTGAAATATTCTTTCTCATATTTGAAGATATTTAGGGACATAAATGGGTGAATTTTGGAGGTGAATTACCATATGTACATTTTATAAATGACTTTTATAGCTTTTTTTCTGTGCTAACTAGGCCTGGGTTCATAAAACTGCACTTTCTCCTGCAGTGGCTGAAGATGTTACTAATGCCTCCCACTGATTCAATAGTTGAATCTCTTTCATTGCACTGTAGGCCATCAGGCTATCAGGGACTTCAGAGAAAACAGGAGTTGAATTTCAGATTTTGTAACCTTGAAGCAGAATAAGCACAAGAAAGCAGATTGGTGTGGGCTGTGATTTTATATAAGCCTGGGTTTAATTCTGAGTTTTGACATTTGCTACTTCTATGACTCTGGAGAAGTCAGCTTACTTCTGTGAGCATCAGTTCTTTCTCTGTAAATGAGGATAACAATGCAATATCAGTCACTCAGGTGTAGGCAGGATACAAGGAATCCATAAAGGCTGGTGCCGTCCCTGGGAGCTAGTAACATCAGCATTCTTTAACTACATATGGAGCTGGAGTGAATATAATGGTTATATAACCTCATGTGAAAGAGAACTACGTGGACAGTGAACAGAGAACAAGGGAGTTCGTGGTCCATGAAGTTCACAGATAAAAACAGAGAAGGGTGGGTAGTGGATGTGTCTGGGTGAATGGAAGTTATCTCCTCTGCAGTACTAGCTGCTTCCTAAAAATGCACTATGAGAATTCAAGGAAATAATTCATGTATTCTGTGCTGAACTTTTTACATTAGACATTATAAAAATACCATCAAATAACTTTTCTAAGTATTTTATTAAATTAATTTTAGCTATTAGAATAACTCAGTCTCTTAATGTTTGGATTGTATTTATCTATCTATGTAATTCTTTCTCTGTTTTAATAGTGTTGGCCATCTTTTTTAGTGAGTGCCTTATGTATGACATTCTCCTGGCAACTGTGGGTAATGGTTGTTGACAGAATATATACTGTACATGCCAGAGGGACATGGGTTTGAATGTGCAGTTTCTTCACTTCATGTCTATGAAACCTTTACAAATTGATTGATTTCCTTTAGTGAGATTCCCCAGTTTTAAAGGAAATATGTAGATCAATGTTCTCTCACAAGTTTGCTTTGAAATTGTATGAAAACATGTCCACACTGCAGCACACGAACTCTAGTGCTGAGTACTCACTAAGTAGCCACTAAGTATTCTATTCCCTTCCCCACATAGATGCCTGTCCTGGCCACTTCACCTTGAGTCAGATGATAAGGCAAGAAGATATTTCTCTATCACCTTATCTGCTGCACATGCCACCTAAAAACTGCATGCCTGCTGTGCTTTATCTACCTTTTATATAATCAACCTTAATAAGGATTCTGCATTAGTATTTAGCTGACAATGTTGTTTGTTAGTGTGAACTAAGCTGAGGAGAAACTAGCTCAACTGTTTCTTAATGGGAGAGCTGGTCTCCTATGGCATTAATGGGTAGCAAAAAACTTATTAAATCAGCAGACCTCTCTCAGAGCTCCAAACTGCAAAGAAATATTTTGTTTGAATGTATATATATAATGCTTACTGATTGCAGAAAAAAAAACTGCGAAGTTGTATTTGCTGTGTGTGTGTGTGTCTGTGTGTGTGTGTGTGTTGCAGGGAGCAGGTGGAATGGAGTTCTGGAAGGATCTCCACTGAAATATGAACTTTATTCATCCCTCAGTGGTTGAATTAGGAGACATTTCCAATTTTTTCTCCCATCATCTGTATGTTTTCTCTGTCTCTTTTGAAAAACAATATTTTGCTTTCCTACTAAGGAAAAAGTAATACAATCATGTTACTTTATTTATTTTATTTTATTTTATTTTATTTTATTTTATTTATTTATTTATTTATTTTGAGATGGAGTCTGTTGTGCAGTGGCATGATCTCGGCTCACTGCAACCTCTGCGTCCTGGGTTCAAGCAATTCTTCTGTCTCAGCCTCCCAAGTAGCTGGGATATAGGCAAGCATCACCACACCTGGCTAATTTTTGTATTTTTAGTAGAGATGGGGTTTTACCATATTGGCCAGGCTGGTCTCAAACTCCTTACCTCGTGATCCGCCCACCTTGGCCTCCCAAAGTGCTGGGATTACAGGCGTGAGCCACCGCGCCTGGCAAAATCATATTACTTTAAATTATGTTTTCAGTAGAAAAAGGGAAATAAGGACACATGCCCAAGCAAAAATCGGAGATATTTAGATTAAATTTGAAGATAAGTCTCTATTTTTTGGAATACTGTTGAGCACCATGTCCAAAACAAAATGTTTCACTTTCTAATAAATGAAATGAATGTTTCACTTTCTTGTTTCTAAGAACCTGCTGTAAACTTGCTATTGGAGCTGAAGTTTAAGTAGGCATTCATACTTGTAGACAGATATGTAGAATACACTAGCAGTTTTTTGAGCTAAATGGAATAGAATGGAAGAGAGAACAGTGATTAATTTTTCCTGGTTGAGTCGTAAGAAAATGTCATTTTGGGGAAGATCTGAAGTACAAGTCTGATTTTGGTCACAAGAGTAAGGGAAAGGCACTTAGAGGGAAAGCCATAAGGGAAGATATGATTTTATCTAAGGGAATGATACATTTAAGGGCTGTATCTTCAATTAGGAAATATTCAACTCCTGACTTTTGAGAACTACGCAGATAAATGTATTTTTTCTAGGATGATTTACAGGTAGCATTTTTTGAAAAGCAGCCTACAAATGAGTATCTTCTTAGTTGAAAAGATGACACAGAGAAATAGCAAATTTTATGATTTCGATGGAAATTTTCAAATGACCTTATTTTAGCTAAATTAAATAGATGCTTTTCCAACTACTCTTAACTCCTGTTTGCTGACTACTCCCTCCACTTCCGGTATTTGCACCTTCATGTACCAAGCACTCAAGGTTATAGAGCTCTAGCTCCCTCTAAGGAAACCCCATGCAGAGTAAGGACAAATCTAACAAAACTACACTGTTCTCCCTTCTTCATCTATCCTATCTGTGCCCAGGAAGGCAGGTAGGTCCCTCCACCTAAAGATTACTTAAATTGGAGCCAGTTTTGCCTTTCCCAATGCTATACTGAAGCAATATCACTTCTGTTCAGCCCTTCTTTTTTTTTTTTTTTTTTTTTTTGGAGACGGAGTCTCGCTCTGTCGCCCAGGCTGGAGTGCAGTGGCGGGATCTCGGCTCACTGCAAGCTCCGCCTCCCGGGTTGTTCACGCCATTCTCCTGCCTCAGCCTCCCAAGTAGCTGGGACTACAGGCGCCCGCCACTGCGCCCGGCTAATTTTTTGTATTTCTAGTAGAGACGGGGTTTCACCGTTTTTTAGCCGGGATGGTCTCGATCTCCTGACCTCGTGATCCGCCCGCCTCGGCCTCCCAAAGTGCTGGGATTACAGGCGTGAGCCACCGCACCCGGCCTCAGCCCTTCATTTTAATTCCCTTCTCTACCCTTCAATTATCTCACTTTAATTTTTATAGACTAAGGCACTAAAAGCATATTATAGTCAAGATTGAGTTTAAAAATGATCCTTTTTTGTTTTTTTCTGAAAAAATAAATTCTGCTCACCAGCAAGCAAGGAAAACATTTCATCTGAAGTAGTTCTGCTGTGTCCAATAATGGTAGATTTCTTGACCACTTGAGACAATTGGCCATGTATTCCTTTGATATAGGCCCAGGACCTGGGCCAGCCATGCCAAGGAGGGATGCAGATTTAGCTGGTGCTATGATTCGGTAACTTCTTGGTTAATAACAATAGCTAACGTAATTATCATTGTATGCCAGATACTGGGCTCAGGATTTTACATAGAATTTTTCATTTATTCCTACAACAACCCTATCAGGTAAATGCCATTTTTCCCAATTCAGAGATGAGGAAATCTCAGCCAAGATCATCTGCTTGTATGTGATGTGAATAGAATCCAAACACCAACTTGATGGGCTCCTAAATGCTGTGCTATACCAGTTCCAGGCCAGAGAGCTAGTCTGGGACTGAGTCCCCTAGTTGTTTCCCGGGTAGTTTACCAATGGTGTTTAGTTCACAAGTAAGCTAAAACCATTAAGATAATTTCTGTCTTCACCTTTGCATACAATTCTCTAGAACTGTGCCATAGATTTTTCTGGCTATTGAAGATTAACTCCATACCTCACCCTCCACCCCTCAAAATCAAGTTGGGTATTTTATTCAATTTTTATTTATCCAATGACAAATAATCTTGAGCATCTTTTATTTTTATTTTTTAATTTACTTATTTAGATAAGGCCTTGCTCTGTTGCCCAGGCTACAGTACAGTGTTGTGATCATGGCTCACTGCAGCCTCAACCACTAGGGCTCAAGAATTTCTCCTGCTCCTGTAATCCCAGCACTTTGGGAGTCTGAGGCAGGCAGATCAGAAGATCAGGAGATCGAGATCATCCTTGCTAACATGATGAAACCCCGTCTCTACTAAAAATACAAAAAGTTAGCCAGGCATGGTGGCACGCACCTGTAGTCCCAACTACTTGGGAGGCTGAGGCAGGATTGTTTGGACCTGGGAGGCGGAGGTTACAGTGAGCCGAGATGGCGTCACTGCATTCCAGCCTGGGCAACAAAGTGAGACTCTGTCTCAAAAAAAAGAAAAAAAATATTCTCATGCTTTAGCCTCCTGCCTCAGCCTCCCAAGTACCTGAGAATACAGGCATGTGCCACCACGCCCAGCTAATTTTTATTTTTATTTTTCTAAAGACAGGGCCTCACTATATTGCCAAGGCTGGTCTTGGACTCCTGGATCAAACAATCCTCCTGCCTCAGCCTCCCAAAGTATTGGGATTACAGACACGAGCCGAGCCACCACTCCTGACCTTGAGCAACTTTTTATGGCTTTATTTGCTATCTGCATATCTTCTTTGATAAATGTCTGATTAAAGCTCTTTGAGTATTTGTTTGTTGTGTCTGAAGTTGTAATAGTACAAAGCCATGATGTTTAGGTTTAGGTAGTGAAAAAATCTATCAATATCATGTCTCTCACATTGCATACATATATTAACATATCATGTTGCACCCCATAAATGTATACAATTATAATTTGTCAATAAAAATTATTTTAGCTTGAAAGGTCATGTCTCTGGCATCTAAAGGCTTTATTTCTCTACTTCTTTCCCAGACTAAGGAAGAAAAGCAGTGAAACATAAAGTAGGTTGATGTACCAAGCATAATTTTTATTTAACTTTTATTTTAGGTTGGGGAGTACATGTGCAGGTTTATTATACAGGTAAATTTTATGTCATGGGGTTTTGGTGTACAGGTTACTTCCTCACCGAGGTGATAAGCACTGGCATTGATGAACAGGAATAGCAGATGAATAGCCTGTGTTTTTTATGCAGTTGCAGACATTCATGAACCTACTAAGGATGTTTTACCTAGTGTGAGCTCCTGTGAGAGATCTGTGTGCTCTGGAAGTCATAGTTAACACTCAACTCAGAAGGGAATCATTTATGGAATACCAAAAAGAGAATATATCTTGGTTTAACAACAAAAACAGATGTAACCAGAAGATGAGGAACACCAGAAAAATAATACTCACTACTTTCTAAAAATGCAAGTATATTTCCATTAGGACAATTATTAGGTGATTTTTTAAAAACTGGAATCATTCATGATCTGTAAAACAAAATAAAGTATTTAAGAGTTTGGATAGAATCATCCAGTCTTCAATATGACTAATCTGTTTCAACCCTGAACCCAGAATTTTTCATGTGTTTAAGTTTTCATAGGAATTTTCATACATTCAGTGGAGTTGTCTTTTGGAATTTCATTCCACTAATAAGAAGAATATCCCCAGAGAGAACAACTTGTTAGTAGATTGGCATGTAATGCCTGGCTATGTATTTTTTTATTTGTTTTATTTCCCCCTGAAGAGAGCACTCTTAATTACATCACTTGGAAAAATAAATCTGTTTTCATGTCTGGCTCCTCCACTTCAGAAGGACAAATTTTTCTTTTGTGGCAGGCGGGAGGAAGGAGGGTATTCCAAGACTTAGCACATTGCTTGTTTCAGATCAGGTCCTAATTAGATGTTTGTTAAGTGAATGAGCTGAGGGAATGCTGTGATCAGGTTATTAACTGCATCCTACTTTTGCTTTTCTAAACAATGTAAAGAATCAAAGAATGGTAGGATTACTGAGTTCATTGTTTTTCTCTATAGTAGCAGACACCTTGTTAAAAAGGAATTCTAAATATAGTCAAGGAAACGCTCAGTAGTGTTTAGAGCAATATGTTGCCTGCAATGAGAGGGAATGAACCTGTGTCATCCACAGACAGTTCAGTCAATTAAGCACCTGACTCCAGAGTGGACTGACGAAGCTCTTAACCTTGAGAGATGATGGGGAGATATTATGTTTGGTGGTCAAATTAATGCAGAGAAAAGTTAAATGACCCAGGCTAGGACTAACAATGATTACATTCTTCATTCATTCATTTAATGAATATTTAATTCAAGGCCACCCTTTGCTGGATGATGGGTGTGTATAAAGAAATGCAAAATAGAATTTGTAATCTAGAAGAGGTTACACTCTTTTGAGAAGAACAGACTCATATCTCTTAATTGTAGTATAAAGTTATAATTCTGTAATGTTGGTTTTCCTGAAGTTTTTTAGCGTATGGTGAAGGAAGTATTTTGGTTCATTTGTTTATGAAAGTATATATTTAGAGAATGCTAAATATTCTCTAATGTGTTATTTGATTTTAGCCTTGAAGGATAAGTAGAACTTTTACAGCAAAAAAGAGATAAGAAAACTCACAAAATCACCGTGGAAACTATTAAATCTGCAGGTGTTTCTAGGTCACTGAAATTTTCTGAATGTTATGGTCTGTAGTGAAAGAGAAGTGTCACATGAAAATGCTCTATAAACACCAACTCGGTGCCAAGGACTGTGCTAGGTAAGAGGCATGCAGTGTACTGGCACTGTATTTATATTCAAATGGACAGTCTAGAAAGGAAGGCCGTTATGTACATGAATAATTACTATATGGGAGGGTCAACAAATTTATCCGACAAAGTGTTGTAGAGTATATATTTTAGGCTTTGTGGGCTCTACAGCCTCTGTGGGAACTATTCAACTCTGCCGTTGTAGCATAAAAGCAGCCATAGGCAATATATAAATAAATGTGCATGGGCTGTGTTTCAATAAAACCTTATTTATAAAAACAGGCAGCAGGCACAATTTTGACCATAGCGTGTAGTTTGCCAATTCTTGAAATAGAATGTAATAACTTTGTGATAGAGGCAAGAAAAGAATAAACTCAATTATTAATTATGAGTAGTTTAAAAAACATAATAAGAAATGTTCAGCTTCACTAATAAACTCAAATGAAAATAGTATTATGGTATTAATTTTTACCCTTCAGATGGGTCAAAGGTTTAAAAGTGTGCCAAAGCCAAAAATTGACAAAAGTGTATAAGTTTGTGCAAATCTTCTAGAGAACCATCTAGCAAAAGCTATAATAGAAAAAGCTATAATAGAACTTTAAATGTTAACATGTATTGAGGTCTTGCTGTGATTATATGCTTTGCTCAATGTATTACGTATGCTTATTTTTCCTTAAGGTCTCATACAACATTATGTGAACAATGTTATTATCTCTATTTTACCAAAGAAGAAATTGTGACTCTAGCTTGCTAAATAACTTGCTCACTTTGCAAACAACAGAGGCAGATTTTGAAACTAGGCAATCTGCATCTAGTCTTAGCCTTCAAAACATTGGAATGTACTAGTTTCATATTAGGAAAACTTAATATGTGCATTTTTTAAAAATCAGAGCAATTCTACAGCCAGGAAATTATCCAGAGAAAATAAGACAAGTGCATATAATTTAAGTGCAAAGAATTAGAAATTCTTTAAGTGGGCAGCAATGGGTAATTGAGTAACTAAATAATGATCCTTCCATACAATTAAATGTAATATAGCTTTGAAAGAGTTGAAGTGGCATTACGGGAATAAATATGAAAAGATGGCCATGTACAGGTTGAATGAAAGAGTATGCATTAATATGTATCATAAAACCCCATATGTATACAATGAGCATGCATTAAAGCATCTGAATGCATATATATATATGTGTGTTGAAAAGCCTTGAGAGATAAGCAACAAACTCATAATATTGGCTATCCATGGGATGTAGGGATAGATATTTGGCTGTGTACATGTTTGTATGTTTTTAAGCAAACAAACTGGAATATTTTTTCTTACAGCTTCAAGCTGGTTCTATTCAGGAAAAAAATATTAGGAATCAACTTTATTTTCCATCGTGCTTTATTTCCTTGTATTCTAAACTGAAGTCTGGAGTGTTCTTTCCTCTGTTGAATCACATTTCAATGGTCACTCACTGCTTTGGGGCTACCTTGGAAGCAATCACTCTATACCCTTGCCTGCAGACATTTTATTCCCAGCTGAAAGCTGTACCAGAGCAGTTTGACCATTATACTCCATCTTGAGCTGCCCTGGTTTATGGTTTCATTCACTTTTGTTCAACATCACTTCCACCTTCCCTTGTGCTTCAATAAGATAATGGGTGAGGTGATAGAGCAAAAATGTCCCTGGCCATCCTTTGGTTTAGAAATAGTGATTATTGCAAGTGAAATTGAGCACGTGGCATCTTCTTAGTTTTCTAATTCTCAAAGACTTCAGAAAGTACACTCTTTGAACTCAAAACAGGTTTCAAACAATTTACTAATTCTTTTGACAATGTTTAAAACTGTATGTGGAAGCTGACTTTGACCAGGAATATGCCAGAATAAACAGAGGATACGCTTGCAAGTCAAGTACAAAAAGCAGTCTTGCCTCTCAATTAGTGTTTTCCTTTTCAATTTTAGCTGCTCATTTGAAACACTTGGAAAGTTTTTAAGGAATTATGATGGCCCCATGCCCCCAAAATATGATTTTCTTAATCTGGGATGGGATTCAGACTAAGGATGAAATGAATTGTCTGAATGTTTTCCGGGTTATTGTAGCTAGGATCGAGAACCATTGTTCAAATGTCTTTATTTTTGGAGTTTCCTTTTGGATGAGATATTTTATATGACAAATGTCCTAGCTTTTTGGTGGACCTGTCCCTCATCTTCAGGACCAAGAACGTCACTGCAGGCACAGCTGTTAGTGTTCTCAACCTACGTTAATTTTGGTTGGATTCATTCAAACACTGAAAAACCTTTGCATTTGAAAGTAGGAGCCCTTCTTTTGTTTTTCTTTGTTTATTTACTTATCAGACTATGCCTTAGTCCCAAAATGATTTAAAGTCACACTAACACTATTAGTACAAAGTAGGTACCTTTCCTGATCCTTTAATTGAAATTCTTTCTTAGTTCTGGAAAATTTATTTTTTAAAAAGAATGTATTCATGTTGTCCAAAGATGACATGCATTCATTTTTTTTTTTTGAGTTTTGCTTCACTTTTATCATATTTTTGTCAAATTTCAGTACTGGAGTCACTGAAACTTGTTGTATTCTGCATTGCTTCAGAGAGATTATTGTGGCACTTTCCATAGAAGGACACCCTTCTTTATTTCTTTATCGTAGAGTTTTTACTCCAGCTCCTCTACTCCACCACCAAAATAAAAAGGCTAGGAGAGGAAATAGACAGGATTGAATCTAGAATTTTCTATAACACAAATATATAAAGTATCCTTATGGAAAAACTCTGCTTTGTTATTCTACCAATAATCAGCATGCATTTCTTGGTCTCTGAAAAGAATGACACGAACACTGTTTTTCTGCACTATAAATGGGGAAATACTTGTTTTTGTTAAGCTATATTTGTGTAAGTAATTACCATAGTAGCTCTGCACCATTGACAAGCACATGATTTTAACACAAAAACAACTTCAGTTCTCTAAATTGAATTTTAATGTCTCTCTTTTGCATCAAAACATAGAGCACTTTCATTGATTTTTATTTGGGAGCCTTTTTTTTTGTTATCAGAGGTAATCTAGAGTTTAACATGAATACCCATCAATAACATCAGTCTTTCTGCAATTAGTCTGTATGAGTACTCCCAAAGCACTCAATTGCATATTGTAATTTCATTCCAAAGAGTGGGAAATCTCTGTCCCGTTCTAGCAAATATACAATTTACATGTTTACAGGAGCACCACATCCCTAGTAACCATTAAATCAGTAGTTCCTAAAGTGCAGTCCCCGAGCCAGCAGGTAAGCATCACTTGGGTACTTGTTATAAAAGCAGATTCTTGAGCCTCATTCCAGACCTAGTGAATCAAAATTTCTGAGAGTTAGTCTCAGCAATCTGGTTTTAACAGAACTTTCAAGTGATGCTACTATAAAGTTTGAGCACTGCTGTGTTCTGAACTGTAAGCTCTCTGAAGGTAGAGGTCATCTATGCCCCATGACCCTTCTATTCCTAATGCCTAGCAGAGGGAGCAAATGAATGAGTAAATGAAAGAATCTACTATGCCTTAGCGACAGCTGAAAACCTATTAATTAACTGACAGCAGGTAAGGCCTGCTAATACCTGTTATATATATATAATGGCAAGAAATAAGAATGAGCTAGTTTGGGACTTTTGTAATTGTAATAAAAAATTAGCTCATTAGTCCTATAGATATACCAGTAAATAATTTGGAGTCTACAATTTGTGATTGAATACTTTTATCTTTTGTGAGTCTTTTTTTTTTAACTGTATCATTTTATGGGATGATTTGTATTGATATTAATACACAGACTAATTTTTTATAACCAGCATTTAACCTCATATTGTACCTAAATTATGATTTGTGAGTTCACTCACCAATAGCATATGTGAGGATTGTATTAGTCCATTCTCAGGCTGCTATGAAGACATAACCCGAGATTGGTTAATTTATAAAGAAAACAGTTTCAATTGACTCACATTTCCTCAGGGCTGGGGAGTCCTCAGGAAACTTACAATCATGGTGGGAGGCACCTCTTCACAGGGTGGCAGGAGAGAGAATGAATGCCAGCAGGGGAAATGCCAGATGCTTATAAAATCATCAGATCTCATGAGACTCACTTACTATCATAAGAAGAGCATGGAAGAAACCGCTCCCACGATTCAATTATCTCCACTGGTCCTGCCCTTGACTCATGGGGGTTATTACAATTCAAGGTGAGATTTGGGTGGGGACATAGAGCCAAACTATTATCAGGCATGTATAATTAAATTAAAATTGGTGTTATTTTACTAATTGATATAAGCAATTAGAGGTTTCAGTTAATACTTTTCAAACTTTTTAATGAGCAGTTGGATCTTTTTTTTTAAGAGAAATTTTAGTCAGGGCTCTATGTGTCAAACAGATAAGGTAGAGTGGCTCTGTTGGGAGCAGGGCAGAGGTGTTGCTAGCAGCCTTCCCTCTTGGCTGCACTGGAAATTTTGTGTGGTGGTGGTGATTCGGAGACTGGGAGCATTGGGGCTGAAAGAAGGATAATTTTAAAAACCTGGTTCTAGGAAAACACTTTCTGACTGTGCCATCTCAATCAACATTTATATAATGCTTTACATTTTGCAGAAAACTTTTTGCTTTGAAGTTGCATTTAGCTGCTGTTATTGATAACCAATGATTCAATCATGACACTACTAGATCTACTTTTAGAAAGGCAAATATCATAGATATAATTCTGGAAACATTCCCTCTTCTTACTCCCGTTGTATAAAAGGTAAAAATATGTATTATTTCCAGGATTTTTCTATCCCCCAGAAGACAGCAAATGAAAAACTATACCACTTGTCCATCTTCCTGCTTATTTAATTTCTTAGTAATATAATCTGTGTCAAATAAAAAACAAATTTTTACTTATGTAAAAAGAGACTTCACTCAAGATATTATTTCTAGGGTATGAAAGTAATTATTAAACTAGGGGAGAGGATAATTTCTGGCAATAAGGAGAAACTTTCTGACCATGAGATATGCAACTATCTGTTATGCAGAAAGGAGCTTTTCTTTTATAGAAAGTAGCAAATAAGGCTGGGAAGAACCCGATGTGGGGAAGTGCATAAATGAATGAGGTGAACAGGTGATGGTGACCTGATTGCACAGTAGATCAGAGAACGTTTTACCCTGCAATGGGCCTATTCTCTATTTTGTTAGAGGTTGTTGAGAAAAGATTGTGTGCTGACTCAGGCTGAGTGTAGGTAAAAGTTCAGGGACCTTGGGGAAGGAGGAGAATCTTAACCAAAGTTTGCTTAATATGCATTTGGTTCTGATGGATCAGTAGGAATAAAACAGTTCAGCTAATCATTTGTGAAGCAAAACATGGGAATCCCAAGGGTCCGTGCCTGACCTTGTCATAAGGAAGCAAAGAGGCACCCTTGAATCTTTCCTAACTCATATGGAGAAGGGTGGGTCTGTGCAGCCAGGCATTTCCAGAAACATGAAATGATGGGAGTTGGGGGATTTCTTAACCTTCATTGTTTTCCAGGATAGCAGGGTTGGGTAAATTTCAA
Organism: Homo sapiens; assembly: GCF_000001405.40. NCBI lineage: Eukaryota > Metazoa > Chordata > Mammalia > Primates > Hominidae > Homo > Homo sapiens. Next base: position 41,140,191 of record NC_000011.10, on the reverse strand, counting down.
CATTGTCATCTACTACATACATCATCTTAATTAGTCTTCACTAAGTGAGGGTAATAAGTTTCTGCCATCTTACGGATGAAGAAGCTCAAAGTCAGAAAGGTTAAACAATATGCCTGGCATCACAGTGCAAACATTCAAATTCCACTTTGTTTTGAAACCGGGACTATTTTCACTCTGCTAAAACATCATGAAAATCATGAGATCAGAAATATGGCCAAAGGGCTATCTTATACACCAGGATTGTCAAATCGCAGAGGTCAGAAAGTGTTTTCTTAGAGCAAGGCAATTCAAACTATGCTTCCTTCAGCCACAGTGCCCCGATCAAAGACCACCACACCGTCTCCCACACAGCCCAAAGGGAAGGAGGCTAGCAGTATCCCCACCCTGCTCCAAGAAGAGCAGATTTGCTCTAAGTGTTTGACATACAGAGCTTCTGACTAAAATTTCATTTAAAGAAAGGGATCCAACTGCTTTAAAAAAAAATTGAAAAGTATTAACCTAAGGCTTCACTCTGACCCACAGCATTTCCTGGATGAACTTGAGGATTGTGCTGGTTAAATTCCCTGATTCTAGAAGTTTAATGGACTTTTTGGTGCTTGGATAACCTATTGATCAAAATCCAGTTTTTGAGGTCTATTCTAGTTTTCTCCTAAATTTACGCTTTCTCACTTGCCATTTACCACCATCGTTCATTGCCCGTTTTCAATAGTCTCTTCAATATTATTGCCATACATAGATCTCCAGCCTTCCATTTTGCTCATAGCCAATTATGGTATAGACCTTTGTAACTAGAGTCAGAAGATTCTAAAATATTATCACTGAAAGATCAAATGACATGCTTTGGTTACAGATCTGAGCAAGTATATCATATGAAGAAAGGCATAGCTTGATTGATAAAATAGACATTGTATATAAGTCCCTTACTATAAATTATTTCTAGCTCTGTGACTGTTGTTCCCATTGGTTGTTATTCTTAACTGAAAAGAGTTTATTCCAACTATAAAATCTTGTTTATGTAATTATTGTATCCTTATTTTAAAAATACTATATTAAGTATTCAACTAGATAAGAAAGAAGCACTTTATATATGGCTTTTAACCATATCTGCTTTTTAAAATAATAAATGCAGCTGTTCCATACTTTTTTGTAAAACAAAACAAAACCTAACAAACAAATTAGTCCCAAATAGCTTCCAAACATAATCAGAAGAAGGCTCAGTTACACATAACATGGCTTTTATTGGGGAAGCTAGGTATTCTTAGGGTTTAAAAGTTCTCTCTAAAGATGTCCTTTGTTTTAATTTTAAAGAAAGTTTAATTAAAGAAATCTCAAGTTCTCCCTTGGGAAATAGTATTCTTATAATGATAATATTCTTTTTGTGTAGTAATTATTTTATAGATTAAAAGTGCTGGTGTTTAGAGCCCAGTGGAACTTATTGAAATGCATCTGTTCCCAATGGGTTTTCAGAATATCTATTTAGGGAGGAAAATTGAAACCATCATAAAAGCTGACATCTGGTACAATTGGATATTCACAATTTAGATTTTATAGAGGTCTCTTTAAATGACTTCTAGAGATCGGCCTATAAATATTTTGTTTACCAGGACATTATGAAACTTAGATATCATTTTCATGTCCTTTTTAACTAACTTCTCTTTCAATATTTATACCAAATGATGTAGTTTCCCATTCTTTTATGATATGAGTTCACCCTCCTATCAAAATGTCCTTCTCCAGGGAGTGTCAATGGTGTCATTGAATCAGTCCTCTTCATGTGTTACCTTCTGTCCCCTGTCTAGTGTACTAGAGACCACACTGATTATAACCTGCAGTGACTCTCCTGACCATTCACCAATCTTGTTTTTTCCAGTGGTGTCCCACAACCATAGGTGCTGGAAGCAATTGCGTTACCTGTATCCAAATGTCCTATGACACTGAAACTTGACTGGTCATCTGAAAGTATACCTTTATTCACAGCAATTGTTATAAGGCTCAAGAGATGTCAGCATAGGCTAGTGTCTAGCATATGGATCTGATTGCTCCAAATGCAAACTAGTAGTAGTTCTTTCAACTCACAAAATATGCAACAGTGAGGTAAGTGAATGAATACATGAATAAGTGAATGAGTGAAAATGATGCAAGACCTTCCTAGAGCACCAGTGATATACCTTTATTTGATTAGCTACTTAATTTTTTACAACCATCTCCCAGTTGGCATGCCCATGGTAACTGAAGGAAAGGAGAACAACTAGTATATCATCTAGCCCTTCTTTCTTACCTCCCACCTGGGTCCAAAAGCCAGATCTTTCCACTTCTACTAAAATTTTTGCCATAATTTCTGCTTCAGATCAATGGGCAGATATTTTTAGAGTAAAGCTCCTCCTTGAAACATAAAATATTTCCTCAAAATATATTCACACTTTTGGAGAAATGTTTGAAAGCTAACAAAAATGACAAAATAGCTGAAGGATACCTTGTTTGTTTTATTTATATTTTTTTCTCCACATGTTTTATAAATCACTTTTTATCTAAAGAGATCTGATTATATATTTTGGTTGTGGTTAATTTAAATCTCAAAGTGTCTACCCACTAACATGTTACCACTTATGTCACTGATGATGGAAAGATCACTCTTTTCAGCTACTCCATGGCCCAAGAGAATATTCTAAGATAATGAAAATACTTTATAAGCATATGCATTATCATAGAGAAAACAGTTTTCATACCATGCTATTCATAGAAATGATGATCATATGATATAAAATATTACCATTTCCCCAAAATACATAATAATAGTGTCATATTAATCTCACATAAAGACACTGTCATTCCTCCTTATCCATCCTGGGTATAGAATCTTTTAAGGGAGGGATTTGATCTGTGATGGTCTATGAATGTGTTTGTGCCTGATTCCTCTAAAGGGCACTTTTTTTTCTTTTTTTCTTTTTTGGAGACTGAGTCTTGCACTGTCACCCAGGCTGGAGTGCAGTGGCATGATCTCAGCTCACTGCGACCTCCTGGGTTCAAGCAATTCTTGTGCCTCAGTGTCCCAAGTAGCTGGGACTACAGGGACACGCCACCATACCTGGCTAATTTTTGTATTTTTACTAGGGTCAGGGTTTCGCCATGTTGGCCAGGCTGGTCTGTAACTCCTGGCTTCAAGCAATTCACCTGCCTCGGCCTCCTAAAGTGCTGGGATTAGAAGGGTGAGTTGCCGCACCCAGCCTAAAGGGCACTTTTAAGCCAGTTGAAACCAAACACTTTTACCAAAATGGTGACACAAAATTTATGTAGGCAATATCACACTTAAAGTTAAGGCTTTTCCTTGTGGCAGAGGGAGTTGGTATTGAAGCAGCAACAATTCCTTATAGGCAGTGGCTAAGTGCAAATTCTTGGGCTCGATAACTGAGCTGAGTTGACAGTTTGGTAGTGGGAAGGAGAGGAAAAATGGAAGTATTCAAAATCAGAAATCAGAAAGGCAACTCGAGTCTAACGAGATGTGCATAGACGTGGAAAGAGGTGCACCTGAAGCCAGAAGCCAGGGTGGGAAAGGACTCTAGGCCAAGATCCTCAAATTAGTTATCTTTTCATTTAGTCTCTAAATTTGAATAACTGCTGTCGGAAAGATATCAATGAAACACAGTGCTTAAATGCCCAACTTAACATCTTTCAATTGTATCTCTTTGTCTTAGGATACAGTCATGCATTCTTGATGTATGATTTAATGTGTCCTGGAAACTGTTGTATTCTTTATCCCTCTAGTTGTATTTCCAGCATTTCCCCATCTCTTTTGTTCATCTGTACAATATAAACTGAGTTGCAGTCCAGAAATGCACCATGAGTTTTACCTCTGATCCTTTTCACATATTGTTTCCTTTGCCTGGAACCGCTCTATAACACCTTTATACCCATACTTCCTGCCCCCTACACGCGTAAGATTTTATTTCCAGTGTTTGCCACAGAAGCCAGAAAACCAGAAATCATGTTATTTCCTTATGTTTAGTCTTATTGGTTCCCAACACTAGAATGTAACTCCATAAAAGTAGGGAAAGCGTGTGTTGTTCTTCATTGTATATCCACTTCCTAGACCACTGCCTGACATATGCAGGCACTCTGAAAGTGTTTTTTTGAATAAATGATGAATGGATGAATGGCTAGATTGATGGATGAATGGCTGGATGGATGAACACACAGTATATACTCAATAAATGCCTATTGTGTAGATGTCCAATAAGGGTTACAATTGTAACTGGTGCAAAGGGCATGCACTCATGGAACCAGATCTAATTCTCCTGGATGTCAGCTTGATATGTTAGCCAGAGTGCTATTTGATTTTTTAATATAAAAATGGTCCTATCTCTGGAGTGTTAAGAGTCACTAAATGTCTCTGGGCAATTAGCATTCTATTGGTATTATTCCATTACACAGTAATTATAAGCATTCAGTGAGCAGTAAGGTAGAACGAAGGCATAAGTGTTGTCACTTTTATTGAGCATTTATTATATGTCAGACACTGCTTAAAGGGTTTATTGGGTAATCTTATCTTCTTCTTGGCATCACTCAGCATAGTAACACTATCCCAATTTTACATACAACATTAATGTATATGTAGCCTATGTGGATCAATAGTGTGGTATCACTGATCACTGAGATTGAAATAACTTCCTAGAAAGTCCAAGGGATGTAAAGATTCAAGTTCTTACTTTGTATATGTCAAACTCATTAATGAAACAATTGTTTATTCCATTTGTTATTGCCATGTTTTCGTTCCCATTTTACCACATACTTCAGATACTCCCAAATGCCTGTCTTTTTAACTCTACCCTCTCTCTCTCTCCTTCCCTAGCTCCTAAATTTCACTTTCTTTGTCTAGCACGTCTGTTTTTTATTGTTTTGCCCCTCCCCTATTCTTGATTGCTGAAGCCTGAAAGACAAGCTTGTCTAGGCAGAAATGGAACACAGCCAAAACTTTGCAAAATTAGAGAGATTTTTAGCAGATTTGAAAGGAGAAAAAATTTTCTTTTCTGTCATGCAGAGATGAAGAAATTTATGCTCACAACCCTTATGGCCATGTGTCAATGTTAAGGAGCCATGGACTGTGATTTTAGTCAGGCCTGTGTGTGTGTGTGTATATGTGTATATGTGATGGCAGAATCATTTTTCATGATGTCTCTCAATGAGACAGTAGTTTATTGACTTTCATAATGAGATAGTTTTATCCTTATGTCCTCAGCTTTCAAATAATGATAGTTGTATTACTAAAACAAATGGCTTGGGGTGTTCATGGTGTTCATTCATTTTGTTTTTATTGTTTGGGTGGGGGATCTTTCTTTTTACCCACCTGTTATTAGTTGGATTGTATCCACCCTAAATGATATGTTGATGTCCTAACCTTCACTTCTTCAGAATATGCCTTTATTTTGAAATGAAGTCATTGGACATGTAACTAGTTAAGTTAAAATGAGGTCACAGTGGATTAGAGTGGGCACTTCATCCAATGGCTGGTCTTTTATAAAAAGAGGATCCTCCTCTAGAGGTTTGGGTAGGAGCATAGCTCTGCCAACACCTTGATTTTGAACTTCTAGCCTCCAGAGGTATGAGACAATACATCTCTGATGTTTTAAGCCAGTCTGTGGTGCTTTGTTACAGCAGCCCTAGGAAATATTCTACCTTTTAAGAGAAATTAACCTGGAAAGTTATTGACCATACAATGAGGAGATTCCTAGGATGACTACTATGTTAGTGGTTATATTTTAAAGAAGTTTATTCTGCCAGGCATAGTGGCACATGCCTGTAATCCCAGAGTGTGCCACTGTGCCTGACATGTTGGGAGGCTGAGGTGGTAGAATTGCTTGAGGCTAGCAGTTTGAGACCAGCTTGTTCAGCACAGAGAGAGTCTGTCTCTACAAAAATAAAGAAATAAATACATTATCTGGTTGTAGTAGTGTGCTCCTGTAGTCCCAGCTACTCAGGAGGCTTAGGTGGGAGGATTGCTTGAGCCTAGGGTTTCAAAGCTGCAGTGAGCTGTGATTGTACCACAGCCTTCAGTCTGGGTGACACAGTGAGACCCCACCTCAAAATAAGTAAATAAGTAAATAAATAAATAAAGCAATTTATTCTGAGCCAATATAGCTGACTCTGGTCCAGTGAAAACACAAACCCAAGAAGCCTTGAGTAAGTGGTCCCAAGGCAGTTGAATTAGAGTGTGGATTTATATACTTCAGGAAGGCAGGAGTTACAGGCAGATATAAATCAATACTTGGAAGGTATACATAGTTTCAGCAGACTATCTTGAAGCAGGGGCTTACAGGTTATAGGTGGATTCATAGATTCTTTTATTTGCAGTTGTTTAAAGGAGTATGGTTCTGTCTAAAATTTGGAATCTGCAGAAAAGAATGCTTTAAGGTAAGATAAGGATGCTATGTAGCATGATTGATGGTGGGCAAGGGTGACCTAATTCTTGCTTTGCATGGCCTTAGATCTTGTTTCCAATTTGGTACTTTATTGTCACAAAGAGTCTGTTCTGTCTTAGAGTCTCTATTTTAACATTAATGCTGGGAAGTTGTTGCTCCTAAACTCTAAAGTGGAGGGAGTATAATGAGGTTTGTCCGACCTCCATTCCCATTATGACTGAAAACTCAGTTTTTAAGGTTTCTCTGGGATCCCCTTGGCCAAGAGGGTATCTATTCTGTTGGTTGGCGGGGGCGGGGGGGGGATTAGGATTTTATATGTAGTTTATAACTAACAGATACACATTCAAGGCAACTGAGTATTTTTCAAGAAAATCAAGAAACTTCTAGCCATAATGATGGTGCTATTAATGTTGGTCCTTTATCTATTTGCTCTCCTCCTAAGTATTTTCTACTCTCTTTGGAGATCACTTTCCCCACCATCCCCTATGGTTAGCCCTGAACTTTGAAAGAGTAGTGTTACAATGGATGAGGCCGCCCAGAGGGTATATTAGCCTAGTGCCATGGAGATGGCCTTAATCTCTGGAAACCTTCACATTCTTTGGCCCAGGTCACATCTAAGAGATGAAAAGCTATGGTCTTTGCTCTTGTGTGTGTTTAGTTCCTTTCTTATCTCCCAGAGACTCTGCCAGATTAAATAGCAGATATCTAAAAAGTATTTCAGGCCCTCGCTACCTAAAGGGAAAAAGACATTATTGTTATCTTCTGAGGTAGGACATTAAAAATTGTGATCTCTATCACATATTTAGCTTTTCCCTTGTTGATATTATCTTTGGATTAGAAGTTGAAAGTCAAGCACCTTTTACTTTGAAAATATATCATTACATCTTCATTTGTATTCCTGGGGATAACAACAGAACAGTGATTTGCACCATGGTTCTGCCCACATTGTCCTTTTTGGTAACTGTCAATAGCTATTAATAGAGTAATTGCTTAATAAAAGAAGATTAATTTAATTAATGGAAATTGAGCAACTTTCTTTAAAAGCAATAAGACACAATTTATTTCATTATTATCATAAAAATAAAAATGATCATAGTAGAAAATTTGAACAAAACAAACAATGAAGGAAACAAACCACCCACAATTGCTTAACATTTGTGTTTTAATTTCCAGCATTTTTCCATTAAGGTTCAGTAATATGCTTAAACCATAGTTTTAGTTTGGTATCTTGCTTTTTATTTCACTTGTCATTATCAGAATTTTTTTCTCTTATACAAAATACTCTGCAAGCATCATCTTAAGTAACTGCATAATATTTCTTCAATTAGGATATATCATCATTTCTATAAATGTCTGTTTCTGCAACTTCTATTTAATAACTTAAAAGTTTTAAAAATACATTTAAAAAGTTTTCATTTTAAATATACTCACCAACTATCTGATGAATGAATATCTATGGTCAAACTACCCACATTTGTTAATAATATTCTGTATAAGTTCTACCATTTTTTCCTTTTTCTCCAAAACTCAGCATCCACAAAGAACTAGCCTGGAGATGTTATGATAACACCACTCATTTTACTTTCTTCATGCTAAATTCTGTGAAAGATATTGTTACTGGAAAAGGGTCTGATCCAGACTCCAAGAGGGTTTTTGGACCTCACAAAAGAAAGAATTCGGGGCAAGCCCATAGAGTAAAGTGAAAACAACTTTATTAAGAAAGTAAAGGAATAAAAGAATGCCTACTGCATAGCCAGAGCAGTGGCACAGGCTGCTCAACTGAGTATATTTACAGTTATTTCTTGATTATACACTAAACAAGGGTTGGATTATTCATGAGTTTTCCAGAACTGAGAGTTCTTCCCCTTTTTAGACCACATAGGGTAACTTCTGGATGTTGTCATGGCATTTGTAAGATGTCATGGTGATGATGGGTGTGTCTTTTAACAGTCTAATGCATTATAATTAGCGTATAATGAACAGTGAGGATGAACAGAGGTAACTTTTATTGCCATCTTGGTCTTGGTAAGTTTTAGTTTCTTTCCCTCATCCTGTTTCAACAGCAGGGTCTTTGTGACTTTTGTCTTGTGCCAACCTTCTATCTCATCCCTTGACTAAGAATGCCTAACCTCCTGGGAATGCAGCCCTGTAGGTCTCAGCCTTATTTTACTTAGTACCTATTCAAGATGTGGTCGCTCTGGTTCAAATGCTTCTGACAATAACAAAGTGAATCAGAAACCACACTGATATTTCAAGCACGTATAACAAACAAAATATACATGGTCGTAACTATAATTCAAAGTCAAAATATCATACAAAATCCATGTATAAAAATGTTATTGTAGTTTAAATAGGAAAGGTATTTCAGGTAGGGACATCCAGAAACTGAACATAAAAAATGAGATTTGAGTTAGAATTTAAGATGAATACATATGTTTAAAGTAGTTGTACATTTGAATGGGATGAATGGAGAGAAGACAGAAGTAAAGGTTAGAACTATCATTATAATGGAAAATAGAAATTTCAGCATATCTCCTTTAAGCAATTTTGAGTTGCTGAAAAACCTGCTTTCTGTAAGGCACAATTTTTCACGTTGCTGAAAAATCTTTGCTTTCTGTAAGGCACAATTTCTGATGCTTATGACATACTAAACTCGGGCTGCTGCACCACTTGATCCAATGTTTGTGCATTTCTGCCTCTACAAATTGGTTGTATGGTTAACTAAAATAATTTGCTTTTGTTTCTAAAACAATTTATACTAATATTTCCTGTTATTGTAAATATATAGCAATTGAAATCATATAGGCAAAGAAATATACCTGCAAAAAAAAGATTTTTCTCTTCTATAAATGCAAACTTAGTGCATGGAAAACACACAGCATAGATGAACTCCATGCAAATTATGGCATAATTATTGGTTGGAGGAGAGACAATTATAAAAGTGTGGAGGAACAAATTTGTAAATATAGAAGTATTATACACATAAATTGCTTCAAAAATGTTTCTAAGAACTTACTCTAATATTGCAAAAAATATGTGATTGATGCAGCTGGTAAATTCATACTTTAAAAAATGGCCTAAGCTTTCTATGAAACAATTGGCAAATGAATGTATATTTATGCATTTTTTTCTTGAATCAAAATTTTTAGAAATTATGTCATTTAAATCCACCTAATTTTAATTGATCAATCAAAGATGAAAAGTAAAAAACATTTCATAGTTGAGGTTTAATACAGTAAATGTCTGGATGATATAAGGACTTGAATTCCAGACTAAGAAGTTTTAACTTTATTTTGGGATGTTTGCAAGATATTGTATGATTTGAGGCAGAGAAGCAACATAACCAGATGTGTCCTTCTAAAATGACATCAACAAGCTGTCAGTCTTGCTCAAGATGAATTAAAATAGACTAGAAGAAAGAAGAATAGTGAAGATTTTTTTGATAAAATAAGACAAGTAATATAAAAAACTGCATTATTGACACTCAGAATGAGGACAGAAATGGATACTTTTAAGCTAGAACATAGGAATTAGCAATTGCTTAAATGTAGTGCCAAGGAGATGATAACCAAGATTTTAGGATTAAAATACTGTACAGATGAAAGTGACAATAAGAATAACAGGAAAGAAAGGAGAGAAATACATGAGGAATGAGCAGTAAGGAGGCACAGAAAGTCAAGTTTGACTTTGTGTCTGTCAAATGGAGAGTTTGAGTTACACATCCTATTCTCTCTTCTCAGTCAAGAGGATCTAGTCTCCTATGGACAGTAAATAACTAAACAGAATCTGGAGCTTGGTGGTTGGTATTTATTTGCAGAGAGGTGCTACATGAAGCCATAAGAGGAAAGATGTAATCATATACAGTTACAGCCAAGTGATCCCAACCTCACAGAAGTAAAGGAAGTTGAGAGTTCATGTAGGAGCAATTAGTTAAACACATGTGGGGAGAAAAGGGTCTATAACCTGTAACAACTAAGATGTTAACGGTGACCTTAGATAATTAGTTAAAAATAATCATCAGAGTCTTTGAGGAGCTAAGGAGCTAGTCTGTGGTCACAAACGGGAAGCAGTAAATGTGGAATTCTAAGAAATCTGCCTTGGAAATTATGAATAAAATAAAAATTAGAATTTGAAAAGGTGATTTTATTAATGGCAGAGGTCTTAGGAAAAATAATCCATTGAGGCAGATAAAATTACTATTGAAGAATCCATTTGAATTTTAACTTGAAAAAAACATTCTATTAGTAAATTACAAATAAACAAAATAGGCACTATAACATTAAGACAAACTTCTTTAGTATTGTGTGAACAAAGGTAGGTGTGCTGAAAAAGTGCTTTTCTAAAATAATGTAGAGAAATTGAACTGGTTATATACATAAATATCTGTATATGTATATTTAGGAGAAAGCATAATATTAAAAAATAGAGGAAAAAGTAACATATACTTCCACCAATATATGGGGTTTGGGAAGCTTGGTAGCCCAGAGAACATTTACAAATTGCCAAACATGCACTTCGCAGTTGGTACGGAGAATATAAATAAATTTAATTTTAAATAACACTTAAGAACGAGAGACCTAATTATAAAAAAGTTTTCTTTTTTAATTCTATTTCATTTTATCTGATTATATCAAGGAGAAAATCCCAGTTTGGTGTTCACATGTCTTTCGTTTCCTAACTTCTTTTTATATTAAAAGAGAATGGTCCCCCACCTCAGAGCATTTGTCAGGCAATATCTGTCAAGAGTTTAATCATTTGCTTTAATTGAATTCATTTTTATAGTTACCTTTTATATATAGCAAATTGTATTCATTTTCTAATTATTGTAGTGATATAAACACTCGTTGAAGATAAGTTCAAGTTAAACAAGTGTGGTAATCAAATATATACTCACTAAATAATAGTACAGATAGATATATGAAGTTATATCCTCACAGGATGTAACTTTTCCACAGTAGTGAAAATGGTACCAAAAGACAACTGCTTGGGAAACAGTGGCCTAAAAAAATGTTTTAATCTGGGAATTAGAAAATAAATGACCTGCCAATGGTTAATTTGTTGACTTTTGAGACAATTATAGAATAATTCAGAGCATTAGATTACTTATTAATAAGGAATACTCATTAGGAGTGTGAGGAGGTCACATGAACTAATTTATGGCAAATGAATTAAACAATCTTAAGTATTTGGTCTCCAAAATGCATTACTTATTGGTCAGCATTCCCACTTGTCATGAAAGTTGTGATTTGTTCAAGAAAAGTGTACTTTAGAATAGAATATTATTTATTGCCTTAACAACTTTATTCAGCACCTACTATGTAGCAAGCACTGTCATATCTCTTTGAGCAATATATGGATCTCTTTTCACATAGCTAACAGTCCTGTGTGGTTAAAAATGAACAGTCAGTTTAATTCAGGCATTAAAATCTATTCATCATATTACCAAGCTCAATCATTTCCTTTTCACTACTAGACAAGTTTAGAACTGCAAATAGAAATGATTTTTTTTTTTGGAGGTATGACAGATTCTCCACTTCCATTATGAAGGAATTATTCAACTCATCTATAATAACAACCTCATGTCCCAGGGAAATTCAAATTGAAGGCCTGAATGATACTCATTATAGTCTTCTAATTATTTGGTTTCCCAAAAACATAGCCAAGAAAATATGGGCCTTCCCTTTTAGCTATCATAATAAACAGTGATGTGAATAGTGCAATCTACCAATTAGAGGACCTACATAGAGCACATTTTTGATAGAAGAATTAAAGAGGAAGGGTAAGAGATTCAGGGCCAGCCAATAGTGGAACCTTGGCTTGCGAAGCAATGGAAGTATGTAGGAGGCAGGATAGGTTAGGTAGTGCCATAATAACAAACATCCCCAAATCCCAGTAGGTTAAAGATAAAGGATTATTTCTTGTTCACAATGCACGTCTGTCTTGTTATGAGCCTCTACTCCATGTGGTTTTCACTCTGGAATACTAGCTGATAAAAGCTCCATCGTTCAATAATAGCACTATCTCAACATAGCAATGTTTTGTTGAATAGAGCACTGAAGACTCAAGCACGGCAATTAAACACTCTGGCCCCACAATAACATAGGAAACTTCTGTTCCATTTCATGGCCTAGAAATAGTCTCAAGGCCACATATAATAGATATGTGGAGGTATATTATTTTTGACTTTATAGGGATAGAGAAAAATATATTTTGGTGAATAATAATATCTACTACACTATGTAATAATATTAATTTCCTCATGTCATCTTATGCCCATTTCAGAGTACCAAAAGCAAAAACAAAGAAAAAAGAAAAGAAAATCAAACGCAGACTTTATTTTAACTATGAATTATAACATAATACTTCCATATTCTTTCGTTTGGCTGTGTCAAATAGATTTCTTCAGCAGATGGGCATTTAAAAGAAGAAGAGGAAGAGGAAAAGAAGTAAGGAGTTTGAATTAGGTCTTAATACTTGAGGATGAACATTCACTATTCAATACTAAAATTAAAAAAAAAAAAAACTCTAGTCTTTTTCTCAAAGAAAATTTATTCAGATGAGCTTTGCTGGCCTGGCAGTATATTTGATTTATAAAGAAACTTGAATATAAATATAAGAATTATTAGCAAAGTGTGGTACATGCAATTAAAATGTATACAGAAAAAATACTGTCTCAGAGAAATTTTAATTGAAATTTTGTATTTACTCAATGCTTTAATTTGAAAGTTCAAAGTGTATTAGATGGAATGCAAAATACTACATTGGATTTACCTTATATAGAAGTAATCTATTGTTGCATGACAAACTATCTCAAAACATAGTGGCTTAAAGTAACAATTAGTTTAATTCTCATAATTCTGTAGGTTGGATTGACTTTTTTGCTGGTGTCGCCTTAACTTTCTCATGGAATTACATTCATCTGGAGGCTCATTTGAGGCTCATGTTCTACAGCGGCGTTGCTCACGTAATAGGTACCTCAGCTGGATTGTCCAGAAAGGCTGTCTCCCCACATATTCCTTCATCTCTGGCTTCTTCACCTGGTAGAAGCCACATTTCAAAGAATCAAGCCTCAATATATCAGCACTTTTCGAACTTCTGCTTGTTTCGTGTTTGTTGATGCCCTATGGGCCAAAGGAAGGCCAGAATCAGTGTTGGAAGGGCTACCTAATAGCTTAAATACTAGGAAGTATGGTTCTTTTGGAGTTAGTACTATAGCAATATGCTGCTGGCCACCTTCTGCGTCCATTGAGTCCTTTCTCTTCAGCATGCAAAACATTTTGACTTTCTGGTGAGACCCCATATATCTGATCCAAACATGTCACCAAGATTGATGTCTGAAGCCTTATAATTTGCTTTAGGTCCAGATGTGAATGAGGATCCCTATTGCAACCCTTCTTGATCAGGAGACTAGTGAACTACAAAAAGGTTTTACTAGGTACCACCTTAAATCTTACTTAGGTCTTACAAGAAGTTTTACAACCTTATTTTCCAATTAATCTTTATCCTGAAGCTATTTTTTTTATTAAAAAAATAGAAGGGTGGAAAGACTTAAAAAATGACAATTTTTTAAAAATTTAATTTAATTTAATTTAATTTAAATTTCTGGGATACATGTGCAGGGCCTGCAGGTTTGTTAAATGTGTATCATGGTGGTTTGCTGCACCTATCAACCCATCACCTGGGTATTAAGCCCCACATGCATTAGACATTTTTAAAATTACTAATTAAGTAGTACTTGGTTATTTTTTTTAGTTTCTCTACTTTCTACTTTCAATTGAATGCATTTTCTTTAAAGTCTTCTCTTTGCTTTTATACCTGCCCATTACATAGCTCACAAAAGGCAAATCACATTTTCAATGTTATTTGAAATCTCCATATCCATATATACAAATTCATTTGGCATATTTTCTATTATTCAAGTTACTGTATGTAATGGTCTTTTCAATTATTTTATAACCATCCTTTCTTTCAGTTTTCAATAGTAGTTTTCGTAGTTAACTTCCCTCTTCAACAAAGAATGTCCTTGCTGTGGGTTGAACTGTTCCCTCATATAATATCATGTCTACCACACTCTGCTGGTCTAAAGCAACTCATGAAGCCATACCAGTTTCAAATGTGGATGAACAAAATCTACCTTGATGAGAAAAAATGCAAAATACAGTTGGGTAAATAGACTACCTTGATGAGCGACATTGCAAAATAAAGTGGCTTTTTTTTCAATCTATGTTTTTGTATGATAATTATAATAATGCAAAAATATGTTTGAAAATCACTTGCTTATCATTAAAAAACATACAAATTTAGTTTATTTGTTAATGATACATAATAATACTTAGTGTTGTTTCAGACAAAAATAGGCATATTTTTATGCCAGAAGCTAAAGTTGGAAAATCTCATTACTAATGAGTTTATTGATTACCACCTGGTTTTATTAAATGAAGGAATTTTTTGGACAATGTGAATTTTTTGAGGATTGCCTTATGTCTTTAAATGTTATTTTCATTTCATGACTCAACATGGGCTTTTGTCAATAATTTTATAGAGATAATCATCAGAAAATATATCTGGTCTTTCTGGTTGTCACTTCAGATCCTAATGGCCATGTCTGGAGACAGATGGTCTTGCTTACTCCGCAGATAGACCTTTGTTAATTTTGATTACTCTGGAGCAATTCTGGGTGGGGCTATATAATAGTTGTTTTCCTTGTGTCCTTGAGAATCATCTTCAAATACCCTGATGCTTCAAACATTCTGGCTGAAAACATATATACAGTAGCCTCTCACTCTCAAACCGATAACTGGTGTCCACAGAAATATTATCTTCTCATATTCCTGATGGGGTTGGGTATCCCAGCCCTGGGATGCTGACTCTCTAGCCTCTGTAATTCTTTGATTATTATTTTAAAGTCATCATATATTTATTTCCATTTCTCTTTCAAAAGCCTTAGGGAAAAAGCCCACTCTGGCTCCTAAAGAATGGACTTGATACAAATGTATAGATGTCTTCCAACTTTTGCTTCCCATATTCTTGAAAATTGTCAGGCTGAGTGAAAGAAATAATAAATAGAGGAAACATTTTTTTAACGTAGAAATGACATTTTTACTCATAAATAATCACTTCTAAAATAAAACAATTAGCATTCATGTTAATGACTGTCTATGTTTATAGATAGAAAATTAAGTTTTTAAAAAGCATTTTAAAAGAAGCAGTGTAGAATCTGAGAGCAGAAGAGTTTGTTATATAGGAATTTTTACTTCTAGGCCTGTATGCCTGGCTTTGGCTAAGTTTATAGTGAATTGCCAAGTGCTGTAGAACGAAGAAAAGACAGTTCCCTAGCCCACTGGCACTGCTGAATGGAACATTCATAACAGAATTCTTGGACTTAAAGACCGTGGCTTATATTTTTTACTGAAAAGTACTTGGGATACGATAGAAGTTTGGATTGGTGGCAGAAGATGGGGTTTTAATCATGGCGTTCCACTTACGAGACATGTGGATATCAAATTCTAGTATGCCTGATGCCTCAGTTTCTTCATTTCTAAATTGATGCTAATAATACCTAACTTCTCTATCTGGTATGGGTAGAAAGTAAAATAACATGTGTTCAAGCACTCTCTGAATGTAAAGAATTGTAACTTACCATTTTTGATAAGATGTTTCTCATCATCATAATTATCTTGAATTCTTGTAAAGATAAAATTGTATTCACCAAAAGAAACCAGCAGGTTGTTTCTATGTGAAACTGTGCAGAAACCAGTGATAGGAATTTAGGCTTCAAAAATCAATTGCCTAAGTATAGGAGAGAAAAGTCATGCTGTGGCAATAGTTCACTGAAACAATGTTATGGGGCGTTAAGTTGATCTCAAACTTAATATGAGTACACAGTGTGAAGTGACTGCAAAACTCTGGCATGATTAGCAGGAAAAGAGTTTACACGCTGTAGGAAGTTGTTGTCTTATTCTTCTCTGCATTGATTAAACCACACACCCAGAATATTGAGTGCAATTATAGGCACAATGTTTTAAAGAATTAGAGGAAATCTGGAGTGATTCCAGGGTGACATTTGTGAAAGGCTTAGAAATCATATCACCTGAGAAAAAATTGAGTGAACTCAGAGAAGCTGGGAAAGAATGAATTAATTTATCCTGTGTTCTTCTGAGGACAAAGCTAGAACCAGTGGTAGAATTTATTAAAAAAAGAAAAAAAAGGCCGGGCGCGGTGGCTCACGCCTGTAATCCCAGCACTTTGGGAGGCCGAGGCGGGCGGATCACGAGGTCAGGAGATCGAGACCATCCCGGCTAAAACGGTGAAACCCCGTCTCTACTAAAAATACAAAAAATTAGCCGGGCGTAGTGGCGGGCGCCTGTAGTCCCAGCTACTTGGGAGGCTGAGGCAGGAGAATGGCGTGAACCCGGGAGGCGGAGCTTGCAGTGAGCCGAGATCCCGCCACTGCACTCCAGCCTGGGCGACAGAGCGAGACTCCGTCTCAAAAAAAAAAAAAAAAAAAAAAAAAAAAACAAAACATAGCTCAGGATAGAGAAAGCATTTATAAAATCCAGAGTTGCTTGAAATCAAGATATGATGACTCACTGACCAGGGAATTTACCCTCCTTGGAGGTGCTTCAAGAGAGGCTGCCTGACCTCTCTCACCACACTTGCATAGGATGGGAATTTCCAGTTGTGTTGGAGTTTTTATTGGATGATCTCAAGTTCTTCCAACAATTCAACATACATACTCAAGACTGCTAGGAAATATTTAGTATAGTGCTCACTTAGGCTGAATACGTACTAAAGTTGGAACAATACGGAGAAGACTAGCATGACCACCATACAAGGATGACACACAAATTTTTTAAGTGTCAGTATATATGTATATAAAATACAATAAAATTATAAAATAAATTGTTTAGTATAACAAAAGCATCATTTTCTGAAACCCATGAAATCCTGATTTCATGAGATGTTTCATTAAAAATACAGTCTACCTATAAGATACTTTGGGGATACTCTACCTGCTATAGTTCGTCTAGAGTATGATGATACACATTGTTAGATTGGAAAGTCTGAATTCTAACAATAAAGACACCTGAAAAATATGTTTGGCCCAATTTTTTCTTAACTTATTTGATCATGCCATATTTATATATATTTCTATCTATTTATTTTTACATATAATCTCTATTACTAACCTGTATGATGATTGGCACAAGAAATCATCTGGGCATATTAAAAGTTATGATTTTAAAAATAAGTGATCCAGATCTCTTCTAATTTATAATATATATATATTATCAGTTGAAAATGTCAAGGCTTTATTTTCAAATATGAGGCAGTTTTCAGAAGGCAACACAATTTGATCTAGCTTCCTAGGATGGCAGAGGAGTTATGACAAAACTGAGCACCTAACATAACAAGCCTTCCAGCATCATTCCAGCTATTAGTAATGAGTATCAAAAAACTTGAGGGTAGACTTGTTTCCCGACAGAACTATCTGAATCTGGCGGGTTCAATAAGTATGTTTTACCCTATTGTATTTTGAAGAGTTAAACTGTTACTTGACCAAAGGCTGAAATCCTAGATGTGTCTAGAGTTCAGCAGTATTTTCCTGATGTCTCAGCTAGCTATTTCTCTTCAACGTATATCCATTTGGTTCAAGGTTTTTTTATATATATTTTTGCTTTTGCATCTCTCCAGCTTCCCAGCAGTGTTTCCTAGGAGCAATGAGATGTTTATTATATGTACCACAAATTTGACGTTATTCTACATTTTTCTTTATTTATCCCAGCTTATGATCATGTCATTCCCCTACCATTTGTGTGGATTTTTCTAGATGAGATTTTTTTTTTGTACTGCTAATGATGACAACACCTCTGCATTTAGTCCTCAGGCAGACTCTCCTGGAATTTGTTGTTTAGAACTGGAAATTATTGATCTGCCTAGGCTTGATCTGTGCTTCCTTTATCCAAGCTGACAATATTTGCTCTATGATTCAGCTAACATCTCCTTTTCTCAGGGTCATCCCTTTTATTTTATCCTCTAGCATGTGGACAGTCCTCCTATGGCAATGTGTTCTAACCCCCTCCTGTGATCTGATCCTGACAGGGCCAGAGAAAATGTTCAGGTTAATGAAGAGCCTCATTATAAACACACATCCACTTGCTATTATGTTGACTCACATTAAATTCTCCACTTGATTATATTCTGGGTTGAATTATCTAACATTTAATGATGTACTAGGCATTGAATAGTATAGTAAATACTGCTGCCTAGTACATCTAGGAAGGGGAAGGCGTTGGAAATAATTTAAAAGAAGTATTACGAGGGAAAAGTACACAAAAATATATCGCAAATTTATCATAATGCCTGAGTAAAGTAGCTATTTTCAGAACTCAGAATTGGAATATAATGTCAAGTATGTATTGCTTATCAAGCCTACCCCAAATCAGTGTGAGAGAGTTTCACAATATATAAACGTTATAGCTTTGCTGAACTGTAAATACAATAAGATCAAAGACTGACTTTTTGACCGACCGATATATCCTACAATGTCATGGTTTTTGTAAGAAATAGATGGTACTCCAAAAAGTGATAATTGAAAAAAGTTTGAATAAAAAGGATCTTTATGAGGAAATCATGGTTAAAAGAAACCAACAGAGGATGGCAAAGCACTTTTAGGTTAGTTTATTAGTCTGTTTTTACACTACTATAAAGAATTACCTGAGACTGGGTAATTTATAAAGAAAAAAAGCTTTAATTGACTCATAGTTCCACAGGCTTAACAGGAAGAGTGACTGGGAGGCCTCAGGAAACTTACAATCATCACAGAGGGCAAAGGGGAAGCAAGCACATCTTACCAGGGCAGAGTAGGATAAAGAGAGAGCAAAGGGGGAAGTGCCACACACACTTATACCATCAGATTTCATGATAACTCACTCACTGTCAATAGGGCAGCATGGGAGAAATCTGCCCCCATGATCCAATCACCTTCCACCAGGTCCCTCCTCCAACATTGGTAATTACAATTCAACATGAGATTTGGATAGGGACACAGAACCATATCACTTAGCAAGAGAAGGAAGACTTTATTATCCTTAGATCTGAAAGGGGAAAGGCAATGAGTGGCTACAAGAACTCATTGAGAGCTGTAGCTTCAGAAAAGACTAGGTAGCCTGTTAGAAGCTGCCTTCATGAAGTAATATAGCCACTGTCAAACAGTAGCCCAACAGTGAGGAGCACAAGAAATAAGCACCTAGCTCACTTTCTCCCCAACCTCCAATCCTCCATTAGTGCCTCCACTGGCCAAGTTCAACTAGAATATAGGGAGCAATGAAATCCATATAAATCCATATATAATGATCTGCCATCTGAAGCATAGAATGGGATGGAGAATGGTAGAGAGTGAATGTGAAAGAACAAACAAAAAAGTACCCTGCACAATGACAAATACTGAATACTATGCCTGGAACTCAATAGATATTTGTTGGATGGACAGATGGTTTTTTGGCAGGTTGGATGAATGAAAAGAAAATTTGAATTTACTTATTTCATTTATAGTAAAAATTTGTGAGTTTTTTTCTGGCTGCTCAGCCTCTGGACTCCTTTGCTTGAGGAATTTGTCATTTTCTG
Source organism: Homo sapiens (assembly GCF_000001405.40). Taxonomy (NCBI): domain Eukaryota; kingdom Metazoa; phylum Chordata; class Mammalia; order Primates; family Hominidae; genus Homo; species Homo sapiens. Next base: position 41,120,152 of record NC_000011.10, on the reverse strand, counting down.
AGTTTTAGTATATGGTAGGCCTCTTCCTTCAATTGTGAAAAATTTTAAGGCCAGATCTCTGCTAGAAGTTGTCTATTATAAGGTAGCTAGGCAGATATGGTGATTTGGACTGAGACGAAATCAGAATGGAAAATTTTAGCATTGATTCTAGTTTTGACAACAGTTTTTTCTCCTTTAAAACTCCCAGAAAGAATGCTACTACTCTCTTTTTGAAGGTAAAAGTTTCTGTGTAATCCTACACTAGTCATTTTTTTAATAGCAAAAACTGAAAGTTCAGCGTTGCAAAATTGAAACTAATGTCCTCAGCTCATCTATACATAAATCATTATTTATTTCAATAGTTTGGATCTGTGAAGCATAAATGTATCTAGCCTAAGTGAAACCAGGTCAACTTTTCAAGAGAGAGCAAACATGAAAGCCATCACAGGAAACACATATTTCATAATCCTGAAAGTCATGAGACTGCCTGGTAGCAAACATAAGGTTTTAGTTCATTACTCTTCTAACTTTCATTGGCAAGGTCCCTTAACCTTGAACTTATAATTCTAGATAGTGGCCAAATCTCTTCAAACTTTGGAAAGAGCCATTAGTGGCATGACGTTTGAGGGATTCTCCAACAGGTTATAAAACAGAACAGCAAAAATGTTCTGCCACCTAAGTGGTTTAGGCAAATTGACTTACCTAATGGGATTACCTTTGCATTAACTTAAATTATTCCAATGTCTTGCTCAAGTACAGCAAGCTCTCCTTTGTGTTTTCTTCCAGAAATAATTTAATCTACCACAGAGTGACTTCTCCACTCACTAGCTGTGTGACCTTAGGGAAGTTTCTCAATCTCTTTGCATCCCCTTTTTTCTCTCTGAAAAACTGAGATGATTGCAGTAGCTATCTCACATACTGGAAAATGAAAATTAAAATAATTTAAAATATGCTATGTACTTAAAACAGTGCCTGAACATATAAAGATTGTTTGGAAAATGTTAGCTGAAGAGATATATGAACATCGTCAGCAAACGGCAATGAAAAAGTACAGTGAAACAATACAGAAAATCAAGAGGGAAGGCAAAGAAAGCCATGGATGATAATGAATTGTTAAAGCATGGTACCCTTTACACTTCTCTTGAGTTAATCACCTATAGTATTGTTTACAAAAATTTGCAATGTCTTTTAAATTTAACAAATAAAAAGAAATAAGCAGAGAAAAAAAACACAGGAGGAGCACAACTATTTTTTGAAAAAAAAAGATAAGAAAAGGATTTATTTTGGAAGGCTTCATAAATAGGACACTCTATGATGTAATGAAAAATGCCCTTGATGGTGATCCTTATAATGAGTGATAAGTTCCACAGGGCTATTTATTGTCTAACAACACTCAAACTAGGTCAATGGCATCACAATGAAAGTTGCTTTACTAAAAAGACAACCTCTTGCCATAACAAAAGGAAGAGGTTCTGCATGTGGAAGACATAGAAGAATTGGAGGTGGGGAGACTGATTTGTCTTTTCAGAGAAGAGAGAGAAGCTACTCAATGACTGGTGGAAATGGAATTTACCAATTGAGAAACGAATGAATTGACTATCGTAATGGGAAATTTAGGGTTGATAGAGATACATTAAATGTGACTAGTGGAGAAAGGAATGGACAGTGACCAAACCTAAGTAAAAGATAATTTTGTTCTAAGCTTTTGGCTTGTGTAAGAAAAGAGCAAGACAGAAATTCTGCTTTGCTGTCTTTGATTCTAGCTCCCACCTTCCTGCTTTCAACTTCAGGCTGAGGGGCTTTTTAATGCTTAGAGTTCAATCTGCAGTATGTTGGATGTCTGACAACTTTTGGGGGCTGTGAAAGCTGTCAAAATAAATTGTCCTCATAATGTAAGAGGGAAGCCAAGCTCCACATCTTTCTGGATGCAGCGAATGTGCATAATCAGCTAGAAAAACAGCATTGTGCTTCAGCAGCCTACTGGATATATTGGTCAAGGGTGAATTTCCAAGGACATCCCTTTGGAATTTCTATACAATTCTTTAGGTTTTGAGAATAAGTCAGTTTCATTTTCCTGGGGCAATGCATTTGTAATGTATACATTGACACATGATAAAGGAATGACCATTGAAGGGGTAGTAATTTTTAGAATTATTACCTAAACTTTCTTCCTTATCTTAGGTCAGTCACCTTTAACATTTAAATGTTCACCTTTACCACAGAAGAGTTTAGCTGTTATCAATATCTTTCACTATTTAAATAGGTTTTATGGTGCATGGAATATTTAAATCTCCATTTTAGTTTTAAATTCTTGCACTCTGCTCATAAGTGTAAAATAAGCTAATGCGAATTTTGCTTGAAATACTAATTAATAATGAAATTTCTTCTCATTTTTGAAATGGTCCTATTGCACCATTTTGTTCATTTTTTCAATTATAATATTGGAGGGTAGGGGCAAAAGACCAGGTTTATGCTTTTTACTGATTTAATAATGTCACAACACGATATCCTACAACCTGAGAATGACTTAGACTTTTTATTCTATCAAATATTTTCCTTAGAAAATGCAATATCCCATTAAATGAAGTGTAAAAATAATGATGACATCAATGCTTAATTCCACCACTCTTACAAAACAATGCTCTTTTCCACATGCACTTTTTACATACATACATAAATAAAATTGCATAGTTGCTATCATAGTTTACAGAATGACATTTGTATTAAGCTATTTTCACGTAATATTATATCATAAAATTAGTTAGCCATTATCACTGATATTTGAAAGCTTGTCTAGTATTTTGTTATGTTGATACTTAATATTTTGTTATGTTTTTTAAAATTTGTATCAGTAAACCACTCTAAAAGTGGATTTGGCAAGTGGCTACAAACAGAGCAATTTATTTAGTTCTCAGTGCTGCAGTCAGCAATTTGAGCTGAGCTCAGCTGGGTAGTTCTGTTCTCAGCAGGGCTCTTTCACCTGTCAGCAGTCAACTGCAGGTAGGGTAGATGACTTTGCTTTGGGGAGTTGGCTTGTTTTCAGCTAAAGTAACGGGAGTCCCTGGGCCGCAAGTTTTTCATTCTCCAGCAGGCTAACACTGGGCTGCCAGTGTTCCAGTGTTCCTAGTACAAACTGTTAGACATTCTACTGGCCAAAGCAAAGCCTGATGCCAGTCCAGGTTCAAGAAGTGTGGAAGTACGTTTCATTTCTTGATGTGAGAGCTGCAGTCACATTGCAAAGGGCATGGCCTATGGTGAGGTGGTGAGGGTGTGTGGGATAAAAATTTATGCACACTTTACAATATTAAATATTTCTGTTGCAATTAACATTGCAGTGAACTTTATTGTACTTATAGCTTTTGTTAATTTCTGCTGAATAATGTCAATAACTTAATCAAAATTATCAGGATAAATTCCTGGGGGTAGAGTTAGTAAATGATACATTAAAATATCATCAGGATAGCATCAAATTAATGGAGGGTTTTAAGAGTCATTTTCATTGGTTTTAGCAACTCACTTTGTCTAACATCTCAGTCCTTCCACTCCCTTCCCATTTTACTCTTTCTCCAAAATGACCGTAGTAAATACTATTGTTTTGGAAACTTAGTAAATCCTCAATAATATTGGTTATTATTATTACTGTTACTGTATTTTGCTCTTTCCACCAGCCTTCCTGCAACAATACTACCTTCAATTGCTCTTTCTCTGTTCTAGGATCAGCCAATCATCACAGATCATTCATTTAAAATAGACTAATACATTGTTATTTGATTAAATATAGATATAAACTTCAGCTGTTTACTATGTAATTGGGCTTTGTTAAATGCTATATATATATTAACTAAATTCTCCTGCAACCTATGAGCTAGGTATTTTATGATTCAATTTTATAGCTGAAAAACCTGAGGCTTCATAGCTTATCCAAAGTCACATAGGATGCATATGGTGGAGCTGGGACTTGGATTATGTTTCTTTGAAACCAAAGCTTGTAGTCTTAAATGCTCTGTGCTGGTTTTTACTCTTGATGATACATATTCATATACATATCCATTTATATTTAACACAGTGACTAGAAGCAGAGTACATGCTAAATAAATGGTAGCTTAAAGACATGAAAAGTAATACAGGTTAATTAATACTGTCACATATTTGAACATTGCTGGGCTAGCTCTCATGGTGGAAAGGGGAAGGCTAGAAGAGTCACAGAGGAGCTGGACTCACCTTTGGAACAGGATAATCATAAAAGGGGTCAGACCAAACTTCTAAGAACCAAAAACCTTGCTAGCTAGGAGGCAGGCAAATAGCATCAGTAATGCCTTGGATAAAATGAAACAAGGCTGCAATAATGAGATTGTGATTCAGGAACATAGCTCTGGTTACCAGTTGCGGGAGACTGACAAGGACAATGTTAGTGCACAATCCGGGGAGATCCTGATTACCTTTAGAGAACTTAGAAATGAGCGTCAAAGTGGATCTCAGCTATTGGGCCTAAAACATTGAGGTATTTCATGAATTAGAGGCAGAATATTAATATAAATTTTATTGAAATCTGAAACTCACAAGTGTTTAAACTGGGTACACTATTATTTTTTCCCATCGCAAATGAACACAATTAAAACCTCAGGTTTTTAAGGCTTATTTATATTGCCTTCCTTCTTCAATGTGTGTTTTAGCAGAAAAGAATGAATAGCAAAAATAATTTTTGACAGTATTTTTGTTTTGGTTGACTCCATTTTACTGCTAAATAAGGAGCAAAATCACTAGAATGTCTATGGGCTAAAAAAAAAAGAAAAAAAAAGATGGGGGGATATAGGGAACAGTGATCTAGTCAGTGAAATTAATTAAGAGTTGACTGTAGTAATAGCTACTTAGCAAGTCATTTGTTCTTTTCTTAAAATTCAAATTTTATGACTAAACCTCAAGAATTTGTTAATTAACATATCAAAAGAAGGTCCTGCTTTTCCTTTAGCTCTGAAAGTTTTAGTAATGTAGTTACAGTTTGTTCTTTAAGTCTTTCTGAAAAAGTTACTTAGCTTTAGAGAAATAAGATTTAAAACATTTTTAATGTTTATAACTTTTTATTATAAAAATTTTCAAGCATATATCAGAGAGAAAATACTATAATAAACTCCTATAAACATGTAACCTGCCTTCAACAGTTATGAAAAAATGGCCAGTCCTGTTTTATCCCGGCCCTCATCTACTCCTCCTCCACTGTGTTATTCTTAAAGCAAATTCCAGGCATAATTTCATCCACAAATACTTCTCTAAAATTACTTTTGAACTTTTGAAAAACTTATTTACTAAGCTATTACAACTTTTTATATCATTTCTGATTCAGTGGAATTATAGATTACCTTGAATCATTTACTACTTTCTTTGATTTTCAGTTACGTAGCTGAACTAAGTTTTAAATGTATGAGCTTGTTCAATACTCCTTAGTCATGTGCTATAGTACTGTATTATATCCTTGTCATAAACTATGCAAAAACATTCTTATTGAATCAGCTTCAGTGAATTAATATTGTTTGATTGTACTTATTTTTAAAATTTAGAGATGTGTAAAAAAGGGAGATTATGAGGATGAAATGTTTACTGATTTTTTGGGGGAAAGTGCTATTAAATTTTACTTAAATTGCTATTTGTTTCTAAAAATTTTTAACCCAAATGATAATGTCTTTTGAGATTGAGCAGGTATACACTTGAACCAACTGAAGTCTTCAGGACATCCTTTGAAACAAATCTTAGATTAGTTATATATCAAGTAAGGTAGCTATATACTAATAGGCTGGCATATACATAAGAGGGAAGGTTTTGTTCTCTTTCCAGGGAATTCTTGTTTGCTTCATAGCATCAGCTGTCTGGAATTCTAGAATTTACTTGTTTTTGTTGTTGTTGTAGTAAATAAATAATAAATAACAGATTTTTAAAAAAAGATTTAAAGCCATTGAAAATTTTCTTGGAAATAGTTGATTTTATAGTATTCCAGTGCTGTCACAATGTAATACTGAAAACTGAAAGTTTTCATTTCGTTCATTACAATTTTTTGATCCTCAAATATAAGGTCCTATATTGATAAATAATTGTTATATTTTCGAGAGTTCAGAAAAGACATATATACATTAGCAGTTTGTGAAGCTATTTTTATACTGATAAACTTTAATAACAGTTTGATTGCCTTAATAGAAAATGGGCTCTTTTAAACACTGATTATATTTAGATTCATCTAATGTTTAAATATTGTGTTCTCATGGTGCTTCTAATATTTATGTATTTTGGAGATATTGCATGTACCTTCTATTCTGTTAAAGAGATTGTTTTCTGCCACTTTATGTGTTTCCAACAGATAATCATGAAAGGATGTATGCAGAAATGTTAAAAAAAAAACTCATGAAACAATAAGGTATAAATCTTAGTGCAATGGTCAGAATCCAGCATGGGACAGATGATTAAAGGGAGAGTAGTCTCAAGAAAACTTGGTGCTGATTTCAGTGGGCCAAAGGCTTGGGGAAGAGGCTCAGATTGCTTGGTAGAGAAGAAGCGTACAGCCAAGGTATCCCAGTCTGCTGGACAAGATTTTATTATATCTTCTTCACCCTCTAGCAACTAATCATTTCATCTTTAAACCTCCAACACATTTTAAAACATGCAGAAAATTTTATTTTTTGTGAATTGCTGAGTGACTTTCAGAAATTTGGTCTCTGCCTGTGGTATAGTTTAGACAAAGCCATTATCCCTCCAAACTGTGTGGTAATGACAGAACACATGCTGCTTAATGTAAACTCACAGCCCGGTGCTGGGCAGACATGATTAAGCTGTCATCTTCCCCAACAGCATCAGCAGGAGAAAAATAAAGAAGTAAAATCATCTTATTCATATTTATTAGGGGGCTTTGCAGTGGGTCTGTGCCCTCATGCAATTGACATTTTTGCTCATGTTTATGGCTGATGAGCGGTGGATCAATTTAAGTTAATCCTTTGCTAGCCTAGAAAAAAAAATACTGACTTATAAAGTGGCATCACCTCCATGTCTCCTTCCTCTCTATGTCTTAGCAAATATGTACATTCATTTATTCTGAAAGTTTAGCATGGTTAGATATTGTTTGCAAAATTTAAAATATCATAATATGTCTCAACCTATACACAAATAAAGACTTCAGAAAATGTACTTGTTTAGTTTTTAATTCTGTGTTTGTATCCTTTAACCCAATATACGCTAATTCCTGCATGCACAGTCATACACACAAATTAATAAATGTACACGTGCACACACACACACCTACTCATATATGTTTTTTGTTGTTTTCATCATTTGTTTTTCTACCACATTAGTGAAAATCAGAGCATTCAATGAGGAAAATCATGATCTTGAGTATAATGAATGTGCTCTGACTCTCTTTTTACTCAGATTTGAAAAATAAATCTGTACCTATGCATTAATTCTTAGGTATAATCCTTGAATAAAATGCTTTTCCAACATGTACATGTGAAGGTGTGCAAAAGTCAGAAAGGAGAGTACATGATTGAAATTATAAAATGACAGTGGGGTACCTATCAGTTCCAAGAAAAACAGAAGTGCATTTGTTTATAAAATTTTAAAGGAACAAGAAGAGGGCTTATTCTATGCCCATTGCCTTGATTCAAAGCCACTACTTCAACTCCCCTGATTCAATTTGGAATATAGTAAGATTGACAGAGAAAGAGATTAAAGATCTGTAACCTTCCTGCAAACAACCCCATGCTGCCTTGCCCACCTAATAGACAGCATCTAAGACAGGGGAAGAACACAGTCTCCTAGTTCATTGAATTCTGAGCTTTCCTATCTTGGGCTGTCAAGGAGATGCCAATTTCTGCCGAAGTGTCTGCTCTCCAGGAGATGCTGAGATTAGAAACTGGCCAGAAAGGTTTTACTTGTTTTTGTCATTGAGCAATCAGTGTCAGGATGTGAGGAACTTACCTCATTGGATGTAGGGGTGACATCTTGATACATTAGCTTGCTGAAGAGTTGGCAGGACCATGACAGCTTCTGGCTGTTGGCATCCTGGATTCATTTACTTCCCAAACTGTTAATGTAGCAAATTAACCTTGTCTGATGAACTTCTGCTACATTTTGAAGGGTCATTGGATATAGACAGAGATAATAAGCAAAGTATTTCTAATACTTTTTACATCCTCTCTCACTCGTCATCTCTTAACTTGCTTGTTGCCTAACCTCTTCTGCTAGACCTTTCTATGAAAAAAAATATATTTTCTCTAATCTCTGATAGAAAATACTGAATCTGGGTATATTTCTATTATCTATGATAGTCAGAACTTTTTTCTATAAGGTTAATCATGATGGACAATCTCCATGAGGATATTGATGAGCTAGTTGGTACCACCACCAGATATGTAAAATCTAGACAGGGAAAGGTTACTTTTACTTGTGCTTCTAAATTAAGGTTTTTGTCAGTGTCACAGGTGCTCTGTGGCCACTGCAAATTCCTACGTTCCAACCACAGCAGAGCAACCTGTCTGTAATTTCATGTTTCAAAGTGCTAAGGAGAAAAATAGAGACCCTGGACTTTCATGTCTTTGCCTCCATTTTAACTACTGAGATGAAGGCATGCATTTGTATCACCACCTTTTTTCCTCGTCTTTGCCAAATACTGAAAAACAAATTGTATTTTCATAGAATAAATTAAAATCTGGAGGAGATTTAATAGTTTAATATACTTTATCTACAGGAAGTGGAAGTACAGAGCGGTGGTTATGAATTCAAAGCTATGTTCACAGAAAATAAGATTGATTCTGTCCCTGGGCTAGGAACACTGCTGCCTGTGTCTGCCTTTTGTATGTCACTGGGCTCTCACAACAACTTTATGAGACAGGTAATGATGAGCTTCATTACTTACAGCTGCAAAGAGGCAGCATCAAGAAGTTGTAAAGAGTATGTAGGGGCTTTGGAAACAGCTTCCCTTTTCAAATTGTGACAATGTCTCTTACTCATTGTGCAACTTTGGATAAGGCATAAATTCTCAACCCTTTAATTTCTTCATTTATAGAATGCCGATAATAATAATGCCTTTCTCATCTATTAGTGGCTTACATGAGTTAAAACATCAATCTATGAGTATAATGCCCAGCACAGTGCTTCTCCAAAGTAGTCTCCAGCCCTTCAGCATCTGCATCTCTGAGAACTTCCTAGAAATGCAAATTCTTGGGTTACAACTCAGACATATTGAATCAGAAATTCTGGGGGTGAACTTCATTAATATATGTGTTAACAAGATCTCCAGGTTACTCGGATGCTTGCTTACAGCTTAGAACCACTGGAATAGAACAAATAAATACTTTAAAAATGCTGAATTTGAATTTGAAAAAAGTGCTCCTTAAAAAAACACCCAGTTGTGACTTTGTGTATTCAGTATTGAACCCTTCCCAATATTTGTATTAATATCACGTGACTGAAGAGTCAAGAAGAGATGAAATATTGACCTTCAACCCTATGAAAATATATCTTTGAAATTGGTTAATAAAACTTGCAAAACGTAACAATAAAAAGTTTTCAGCACAATATTATTCATGTGGAAGACAAGGTACTCACCACCACATGTGGAATAATTTAATTGCTTCATGTATGCCTGCGATGGTAAACACTACTTAACATTTAGCTTGACATCTAGGAGTACAGTTTAGAAGTCATTTCTAATATTTATTATCTCAGTGATGTTGAATAAGTTATTTACATTCTCTTTGTCTTAGTTTACTCATTTTTAAGATGGGAACAATAAGAATATATAAATCTATAGTGAGAATTAAAAATGTGATTAATGTAAAGTGAAAATGGCTGGTTTTAAGTAAATATTAGCTATTATTAAGCTTGCACTTTGCATTCTGTATTAAGTCATTAAATCATCTCAATAGCCACATGTAGTAAATAATATTATGTCTTTATATCATCGATGGGAATTCTGAGGATCATAGAGATTAAAGAATAAGCCGTAAGTCACCCAGTTGTGTACTAGAGCCAGGATTGAAGCCAGAAAGTCTAATTCCAAATCTATCCACTTAAATATAGATAAGCAGAGTAGTTGTAGATATTTCTGACTTCCCATGGAGCAATAAAATAGTGGGTTGAGGAAAAACCTCAGGAAGATAAACTGTGAGGTATTAACCAGGAATTTCCCCATAAAGAGGTTGGTGTTGCATTTTGTCTTTGGTACACGCTGTTGTAGAGGAAAAATTATAAAGACCATTGTCTCAAGAAATGATCTCGAAGAAAAAGCAATACTACAAGACAAAAAAACCCAAACACCTTAAAGTTGAGGAAAGTATTCCCTTCCTTCCCTTGATGCTCTTAAAGAGATTAATCAAAGGGTTACTTTGAGTTAGGTCTAGAAGAAGAATTTCAATGGGAAGAAATGGTGTTGTAGGATGGGTTTGATGAGCTGTCTGATTCCTTTCACAAAATTCCTTGGACTCATTTTTAGAATCTGTAAAATGTAAATGTAAAACTAGATGATTAATAAATTATCTTCTAGTTCCGTTACGCACTTTTTAGATATTGTTTTTAATTATCAGCAAAAGAGAAAACATAAAAGATATTTAGAGACGGTAAAGAAGGAGACTTTCCAAAATTAAAAGGTTGTCATTTCATTGAATCTTAGCTCAAAGCCCTTGAGGGCTCTGGGGCCAAAGCAATGTAAGTTTTCTTCTAGTTTTATATCTGGCTTTGTTTCTGATTCTAAATAAAGCCTTTATTGTCTTTCTATAACAGTATATCTAAACCATCTCCATCATGACAATTTCTTCAAATTCATAATTATATCAACTGCTTGATTTGTGATTTTATAGGGTTGCTTTAAAAGACAAACAGTGAAGGCATGAGAGCTGTCTTTTAGCAATTGAAATCCGTCAGTAATTATTTTCCACTCTGAATCTCAATCTCACCTTTCCTAACATAATCAATTTTCTCCAATTATATAGTAGAAAAGTACAGGGTAACTAAATGACTGGAAGAACTTTATTTTTTTCTGGGATTGGAAAGGGATAAAGGGATGAAGATAGGAGAGAAAACACAAGGAAATATATCAGTTAGATCAGTTAAAAACATTAAGTAATTTATATTATCAGAAACTAATACAATTATCTATATAGAATGGAAAATGTCACATCAAAAAATAATATCAAAAAAGGACTTTGAGACCCAGCTCCTGTTTATAATGCTCACCAATGTGCTCTGAATTTGCAACTGTGGGAATGAACGTGGATGTGCTATTTTGCCTAGCAACTCTTCATGCAATTAATATTAGACATCAAACAAATACATTTTCTAATTCTTGGTAGGTTGTTAATTTTTATCAAAGTCAGTCAAGATAATAATTTCAGTCATCATAGCATACAAGAAAGGTTTACTTCACTTCTAAAATATATGTTTCCAGTGGAAATAATTAGAATCTTTTAGAATGGGGACTATTTGTCAAGGGTCGATAATTTAAACAAAATGTGAAGCTTTCAGAATTAGCAAAATACTATTGGTTTCATCAAGATGACATTTTTTATTACCTTCAGCTTCATACAATATACAAATTAATGGAAATAATATATTTGACAAGTAGATATCCTAATGAATTTGCGATCTGGGCCTTTCTTAAAGAGTAGTTATAGGTTTGGTTGAAGTTCCACAAAATATAGACTCTTTGGGGAAGAATGAACAAAAATAAGTGCCTCTCTCCCTTTATGTGAGTTAATATATCTTAAAGACAGAATTTGAATTATAATCAAGTAGGGAAGCTTAGTTTGTAAATTAAAATGTATTACTAACCTTATCTTAAGCACAAATCGTGGTAAGGCTCTAAATGAGAGAATGGATTATATAAAGAAAAGATTAAGCAAGTACTGCAGATACTACATGACAAGTGAAAATGGGCGTGTGGACATCTGCCTGCATGTATGCTCTGATGGTTATTACATAGCTTAAAGGCTAAGGGTAGGGGAAGGGGAAAAAGACTAGGGGAATTAGAACATAATATAATGATACAATATTTGTTCTACTTGATAAGAATCACTTGTAACCAGCCCTTTAGTGCTTATCAGGAAGTGTTTTATTAACATGTTATGTTGAGCATTTGCCCTGAAATTATGTTTGCATTCTTAGTTGGTTTAGAGAGCACTCTCCTCTCTCCTCTCTACTCTCCCCTCTCCCCTCTCCCCTCTCCCCTCTCCCCTCTCCCTTCTCTTCTCTTTTCTTTTCTTTGAGATGGACTCTCGCTCTATCACCCAGGCTGGAGTGCAATGGTGCAATCTCGGCTCACAGCAAACTCCGCCTCCCATTTTCAAGTGATTCTCCTGCCTCAGCCTTCTGAGTAGCTGGGAATACAGGTGCCATCAACACACATGGCTAATTTTTGTATTTTCAATAGATGTGGGGCTTCGCCATGTTGGCCAGGCTGGTCTCAAACTCCTGACCTCAGGTGATCTGCCTGCTTCGGCCTATCAAAGTGCTGGGATTACAGTTGTGAGCCACCACACCCAGTCACTTTTTTATTTTTCATCTCATAAATGTAAACTTATGTTTCTTAGTGACATAATAAAATCTTCTCATTTAAATAATCTTCAAATTAATTGGTTTGATATATTTTGTTATTCTCTTTCTTGTTTCTGCTTCATTTTTATTTTTATTCTTTGTTTCTATTTTAGAAATAAAACATAAATACTCCTTAAAGGCCATAAATGAGAGATATTTCACTTGCTATGAAAAATTATATTTCAGGATATATTATTATAGCTACATGTTTTATCATGTTTTAGATCGATATCTACATGTATCTCTAATACAGTATTGTTTTACAGTTGTTTAATAAAAAGATCAATAGCAAAACTCTTCAAATGTTTGTATCATAAGCTGCCAATTAAGTAACTGCATTAGAAGGTGTTTATTAATATAGGCTGAACATCACAAATCAGAACATCTAAAATCCAAATGCTCCAGAATTTAAAACTTTTTTGAGTACCAACATGGCACTCAAAGGAAATGCTCATTGGAGCATTTTGAATTTTGGGTTTTTGAATTTGGGGATGCTCAACTGGTAAGTATCATGCACACATTCCAAAATTCAAAAAAAAAAAAAAAAATCAAAACCTAAAACGCTTCTGGTCTCAAGTATTTAATTTTTTTTTTAAAGATGAGGTTTCACTCTCTCACCCAAGCTAGAGTACATGGTGCAATCACAGCTCACTGCATTCTCAAACTCCTAGACTCAAGGGATCCTCCTGCCCCACCCTCCCAAGTAGCTGGGACTACAGAACACCACCATGTCTATTTTTCCTTTAATTTTTTTGTAGAAGTAGGGTCTCGCCATCTTGCTCAGGCTGTTCTCAATCTCCTGGGCTCAAGTGATCCTCCCACCTTCACCTCCCAAAATGAGTTGCTGTACCCCGCCAACCATTTTGGATAAGGGTACTCACTCTGTACTGTAAGGATACTCAACCCGTACTATTCTCTGATGTATCAAATATTTACACTTCAGAAATATGAGAAAGATGATGAAAAAGGAAGCTCATGAGCCAAATAACTACTGAAAGCATAAGCAGTATGCCCTACGTAATGAATGGGTTTTGGTGTGATACGGTATGTGACAACATAGACTTATGAATTACATAGTCCTGGATATTACCTGTTACTTGTTAGGTGACAGTGAGTAATTTTTCCACATTCATAAGCTTCTGAGTTTTTTTTTTTTCATAGATAAATTCTTAGAAGGGTTTGATGATCAAAGTAGACAATGCATGTAAAATGCTTAGCACAGTGCCTCATGTCAAATAGACACTAAATAATACATCTAGCTATTAGCATAGTTAACCATCACAACTTTACTTGCTGCATTGCTGCCTCTGCTATACCCCATTTCTCATCTCCACTTTTCTACACACACACACACACACAAATGCGCAGACAGATAATACAAGTCATGGAAAGAATATAATAAAGGTAAAGTATTATAAAAAAAGGAGAGAAAGTCCTGTACTAAGAACTCAGGGACCTAAGTTGATACTTAGTTCTGTCACTGACTTATTACAGTACATTGAATAAGAAACTTAACCTCTCCATTCCTGTTTCCATGCAGTTAAGATGATAACTTTGGGCTAAATGTGTTTTTTGATTGAATGGATCAAGAAAAAAAGGATGAAATGACACATTACACCTGAGTAGGTACAAAAAAGGCAAGAGACTGTAATGATTCTTTTATTCAGTACTTGATAAAAAGAGAGAGAAATATCTTGGTATTATTGTTATATCATGTTTAGAAAAGTCCTTTATTATTTTGTTATAATAAAATGCATATCATATGTGCATTCCCTTCCTTTATACAGTCCTCTGTATTATTGTTTGATGTTGGATGAACTACTTCTGCAGAAGTCTCTTTCCACTGGGAAGCTGGTTCTCTGTAAATTTCCAACACAATCTCTCCAATTGTACATCGAAGTTGTAGTTGCTTCTCAGTCTGATGCCACTGCATTTACCTGGATAGCACTTGTTTCTCCTTTCTTCATCATGACAAATAAAGCTCTTGATTATCTGTGCCTTCACCATATCTAGTTCCTATTGCCTTTCTTTGACTTAGCACATCTTATTGTATAGATTTTAATTCAATAAATATTTCTTGAAAAACTACCTGTGCTAATCACTGAGGAGAGACACAAAAATTAATGAGATGAACTACTTTGCTCTTGGAGAGCTTATAGACTAAAGAGCAGACCAGAAGATAAACAGATATATTAATATAATAGATTATGTGCGTAGTGATGTATATATAAGATGCAATTGGAACTTCGAAGCAGGGCATGACTTTGATGTGCAGTAGAATTTTTTTGGATGGGATGATGCTTAGACTGCATTCAGAATAATGCATAGAAGTTTTTCAAGGAAAGATTTATGGGAAATATTTTCCAAGCAAGCTGATCATCAAGACTGAAGTCAAAAGGGACCACGGTGTGTAGAAAACCAAAACCAATATATGGGGGAAAATTAAGAATAAGTTGGGGCAATGAAGATCAGATAATGTAGGGTGCTTAATTCTATTTCTTAATAATTTTATTGCAATATAATTTACATACAATAAACCCATTTATTTTAAATGTGTGGTTCAATGATTTTTAGTAAATTTACAGTGATATGTCCATCGCCAAATTTTTTTTTAACATTTCTTAACAACAAATAGGAACCTTTTACCCATTTGCAGTCACTGCCAATCCCCATCTCCAGCTCTAGGCAACCAATAGTCTATTTTCTGTCTTTACAGATTCTCCATTTCTGGACATTTTGTGTAAATGAAATTATATAATTTATGACCTTTTTACACATAGCATGTTTTTGAGATATATTGATTTCATAACAGAAATCAGTACTTTATTCCTGACAAATATTATTCTGTTGTATGGATACATAATATTTTCATATGTTCAACAGTTTATCTATATTTTTATTGTTTTCACTTTTTAGCTATTATAAATACTGTTGCCACGAACATTTATATACAAGTCTTTGTGTGGACATGTTTTCATTTCTTTCAAGTAAACACCTAGGAGCAGAACTGCTGGGTCATATGTTCACTCCACATTTAGCATTTTAAGAAACTGATGAACTGTTTGCCAATGTGATTGTACGATCTCATTTTCCCACCTGCAGTATAAAAGGGTTTCAATTTATCCACATTCTCGAAAACACTAGTTATTATCTCTCTTTTCCATTATAGCCTTCTTAGTAGGTATAAATTTTGAACCTTATTATAATTTTAATTAGCATTCCTTGATACTGTAGTGATATTGAGAATATGGTTATGTTCTTACTGACCATTTGTATTTATTCTTTGGTGAAATACATATTCAAATCTGTTGCTCATTTTTAATTGGCTTCTTTATTTGACTTTAGTTGACTTCTTATTGAGTTGTAATGGTTATTTACGTTTTTGGATAAAAGTATCTTATTGGATATAAGTTTGTATATATTTTCTCCTGTTGCCAACCTTTCATTTTCTTAACTATATCTTTTGAGAAGCAAAAGTTATTAATCGTGATAATACCCAATTTATCCAGTTTTTCTCATATTTTATGTGCTCATGTGTTGTATCTAAGAAATATTTGCCTAACTCAAAGGAACAAAGATTTGATCCTATATTTTCTTGTAATATGCTTAGTTCTATCATCCATTCTGATTTAATGTTTATATATAGTTTGAAGTAGGGGTCTACCTTCATCATCGGAATATGCATATTGAATTGTACCAGCACAGTTTGTGGTAGTTGCTATCCTTTCACTATTAAATTGCCTTAGCACCTTTCTCAAAAATCAGTTGACCATAAATGTTAAGATTCATTTCTGAGTTCTTAATTTTTTGCCATGGATCTATGTCTATTCTTATGCAAACACCATACTCTCTTGATTCCTATAGCTTTGTAATACATTTTAAAACTGAGAAGTGTAAGTCCTACAACTTTGCTCTTCCTTTTAAATATTATGCTGGCATTTTTTGCTGTTTTAAGGAGCATTGCCTATCCCTTGGGCAATGGAAAGCCACTGTTTATGCACTTATCATCTTTCCCAGACTATAAACCTCTTTAGTGAGGAAAGTCTGTCGTACTCATTTCTATGTCTATACCAGTTGGTATGTTGCACAGCCTCAGAATATGTTTGTTGAAGATGTAATATTCTTCAACAGACACATTATGAAGAATGACATTATGACTACTCAGTGTATTATAATATCAATCCATATATGCTGATGAGATTTGGTAGGCTGCATTAGAAAGAGCACTGGATTGATTGAGGGGAAATGCTAATTTCAGTCCCTATCTGTGATGCATTAGTATTTGACCTTGACAAAGTATGGAACTACTCTGAACAACAATTTCCACATTTTCAAAGATGAGGTTAGTGCTAATTTTTTTAAGCTATCTTCTGAATTAAGATATCATTACCAATATTAGGAAAAATAATATTTTACTTATCAATTGCTGTGTGACAGGCCATATAATAAACAAAAAGAAAATAAATATAAGGAACAGGCCATGTTGTCACAGAATTTGTAATTCAGATCAGATGGTAGAGTATACATATTTATAATAATGCTTTTTTTAAAAAATAAACATTATTATGTTAGAATAGTATATCTTCTTTTCTTTTTTATTTTACCTTTGATAGAGATGGTTTCCTTTTGAATTGACATTCAGTTATTGAATATAATTCTGCAGATTTCCAGTTATATTTGGCAAGTCATCAGCACCTTCATTTTCACATACTTAAAAAAGTATTATTATTCAAGCTTTACACATCAAGCATAGAGATTTATGTACATTAGCATTCTTTGTTCCTATGCCTTAACTTATGTGGCAGAACTATTATCTCACATGCCATATTTGGGATTTTGGAAATGAGCACAGCGTTGTTTAAATCCAGTGAGCGCACTTCCTCTGCCCTTTGGTCAGAAATGTATGCAATCTAAAAATGTGAGAGGAAGAGAGAAATGAGTTGAATAACCCAAATATAGTAGCTTATTTCAGAGATCATTTACTATTACAGCAACCAAAGCAACCACTTCTCAAAAATCCAAAGTAGATAGCTCTACTTTCTCATGGTTTACGTGATGATTTTTCTATAAGTATGAAAGTAATATTTTAGCCAGAAGGTCCTGTGGTTTTTATTGGAGAGAATATACTTCAATACGAATTCATGGATGACATCAATAATTTGTTACTTCTTAATAATTTTGGAAAACACACCTCAGTGGAAACTACTTAATCTTTTTCTTTCAAAAAATTATTTATCTGTGTAAATTAAGCCACCAGACAAGAGTACTAGAGAGTGTAATTGACTAGAAATGCAGGTTATACTGATGAATCAATTGGTATTACCCATGAAAGGTAAAATGCAATAAGTGGAATAAACATTTTTTATTCAAGCATTTTTAGACTCAGCTTTAATGACGATAACGTTAAGTTTCTTCTTCATTCCATAAGCAAGTGTGCAGAGTAATATTAAAATTACTTTTTTTTAACTTTTATTTTAGGTTCAGGGGTACATGTACGGGTTTGTTATATAGGAAAACTCATGTCACGGGGGTTTGTTGTACAGATTATTTCATCACCAAGTAACTGAGCCTAGTATTCAATAGTTATTTTTTTCTGTTCTTCTTTCTTCTCCTACTCTTTACCCTCAAGTAGGCCCCAGTGCCTGTTGCTTTCCTCTTTGTGTCATTGTGTTCTTATCATTTGGCTCCCACTTACAAGTGAGAAAATGAACTATTTGTTTTTCTGTTTCTGTGTTAGTTTGCTGAGTATGATGGCCTCCAGTTTCATCCACGTTCCTGCAAAGGTAATGCTCTCTTTTTTTATGGCTGTGATGTATATGTACCACATTTTCTTTTCCAGTCTACCACTAATGGACATTTAGGTTGATTCCATGTATTTGCTTCTGTGAATAGTGCTGCAGTGAACATATGTGTGCATGTGTCTTCATGGTAAAAGGATTTATATTCCTTTGGGTATATACCCAGTAATGGGATCGCTGGGTGGAATAGTAGTTCTGTTTTTACCTCTTTGAGGAATCACCACATTGCTTACCACAATGGTTGAACAAATTTGCACTCCCACCAACAGTGTATAAGCATTCCCTTTTCTCTGCAACCTCACCACCATCTGTTATTTGTTGACTTTTTAATAACAGCCATTCTCCCTGGTGTGAGCTGGTATCTCATTGTGGTTTCGATTGCCTTTCTCTGATGATCAGTGATACTGAGCTTTTTTTCATACGCTTGTTGCCCACATGTATATCTCCTTTTGAGAAGTATCTGCTCATATTCTTTGTCCACTTTTAAATGGTTTTTTTTCTTGTAAATTTAACTTCCTTATAGATGCTGGACTTTGCTACATATTAGACCTTTGTCAGATGCGATAGGAATATTTTCTTCTACTCTGTAGGTGGCCTATTTACTCTGTTGGTAGTTTATTTTGCTGTGCAGAAGCTCTTAAGTTTTATTAGATCCTATTTGTCAATTTTTGCTTTTGTTGCAATTGCTTTTGGCACTTTCTCATGAAATCTTTGCCAGTTCCTCTGTCTAGAATGATGTTGCCCAGGTTGTCTTCCAGGGTTTTTATGGTTTTAGGTGTTATATTTAAGTCTTTAATCCATCTTGAGTTGACTTTTGTATATGGCTAGACAGCTATCTCAGCACAATTTATTTAATAAGGAGTCCTTTTTCCATTGCTTGTTTCTGTCAGCTTTGTCAAAGATCAGATGGTTGTAGGTGTGTAACTTTAATTCTGGGCTCTCTATTCTGTTCCATTTGTTTATGTGTCTGTTTTTGTGCCAGTACCATGCTGTTTTGGTTACTGCAGCCCTGTAGTGTAGTTTAAAGTTGGATAGCATGACACCTCCAGCTTTGTTCTTTTTGCTTAGGATTTCATTGGCTATTCATGCTCCTTTTTGGTTCCACGTGAATTTTAAAATAGTTTTCTTCTAGTTCTGTGAAGAATGTCATTGGTTTGATAGAAATAGCATTGAATATGTAAGTTGCTTTGGGCTGTATGGCTATTTTTATTATTATTGTTATTATTATTATTATTATTTTGAGATGGACTTTCTTTCTTGTTGCCCAGGCTGGAATGCAATGGCACGATCTCAGCTCACTGCAAACCTCCACCTCATGAGTTCAAGCAATTCTTCTGTCTCAGCCTCATGAGCAGCTGGGATTACAGGCACCTGCCACCACTCCCAGCTACTTTTTTGTATTTTTAGTAGAGACAGGGTTTCACTATATTGGCCAATCTGGTCTTGAACTCCTGACCTCAGGATCCACCCACCTCGGGCCTCCCAAAGTGTTGTAATTACAGTCGTGAGCCACCGCACCCAGCCAGCTATTTTAATGATACTGATTCTCCCTCTCCATGAGCATGAAACATTTTTCCATTTGTTTGCATCATCTCTGATTTCTTTGAGCAATGTTTTAAAATTTCTCATTATAGAGTTCTTTCACTTTCCTGGTTAACTGTATTCCTAGGTGGATTTTTGTTTTGTTTTGTTTTGTTTTGTTTTTTGTAGCAATTGTGAATGGGGTTGCATTTCTGATTTGGCTCTTGGCTTGGCTATGGTTGTTGCATAGGAATACTAGTGATTTTTGTACTTTTTTTTGGGAGGGGGTATCCCGAGACTTTGCTCAAGTTGTTTATCAGCTGAAGAAGCTTTTGCACTCAGACTATGGGGTTTTCCAGATACAGAATTATGTCATCTACAAAGAGAGATAGTTTGACATCCTTTCTTCCTATTTGGATACCCTTTATTTATTTATCTTGGCTGACTGCTCTGGCCAGAAATTCCAATACTATGTAGAATAGAATTGGTGAGAGAGGGCATTCTGTCTTGTGCTGATTCAAGAGAACTGCTCCTAGCTTTTGCCTATTTAGTGTGATGTTCACTGTGGGTTTGTCATAGATAGCTCTTATTATTTTGAGTTATGTTTCTTTAATATCTGGTTTATAGAGAGTTTGTAACATGAAATGATGTTAAAATTCTTGAAAGCCTTTTTGCCTCTATTGACATAATCACGTGGTTTTTGTCTATATTTCTGTATATGTGATAAATCACATTTATTGATTTGTGTATGTTGAACCAACCTTTCATCCCAGAGA
The DNA here is from genome assembly GCF_000001405.40 of Homo sapiens. Lineage (NCBI taxonomy): Eukaryota > Metazoa > Chordata > Mammalia > Primates > Hominidae > Homo > Homo sapiens. The sequence continues at coordinate 41,099,511 of NC_000011.10, read as the reverse complement.
TAAAACCTACTTGATCATAGTGGATTAGCTTTTTGATGTGCTGCTGGATTTGATTTGCCAGTATTTTGTTGAGGATTTTTGTATCTATGTTCATGGATATTGGTCTGAAGTTTTTTTTTTTCTTTTTTTTTTTATGTCTCTGCCAGGTTTTGGTATCAGGATGATGCTGGCCTCGTAGAATGACTTGGGGAGGAGTTACTTTTTCTCAGTTTTTTGGAATAGTTTCAGTCGGAATGGTATCAGCTATTCTTTGTATATCTGGTTGAATTTGGCTCTGAATCTGTCTAGAGACCTGGGCTTTTTTTGGATGGTAGGCTATTTCTTATTGATTTAATTTCAGAGCTCATTATTGGCCTATTCCAGGAGTCAATTTCTTACTAGTTCAGTCTTGGGAGGGTATACATGTCCAGGAATTCATCCATCTCTTCTAGGTTTTCTAGTTTGTGTACACAGAGGTATTCATCACAGTCTCTGATTGTTGTTTCTATTTCTGTGGAGTCAGAGTAGTAAAGTCCCCTTTATCATTACTAATTGTGTTTATCTTCTCTCTTTTCTTCTTTATTATTCTAGCTAGCAGCGTCTCTATCTTATCAATTTTTTTTCAGAAAACCATCTCCTACATTCATTGATCTTTTGAATTTTTGGTATCTAAATTTCCTTCAGTTCAGCTCTGATATTGGTTATTTTCTGTCTTCTGCTAACTTTTTTGTTGGTTTTCTCTTGCTTTTCTAGTTCTTTTAGTTGTGATGTTAGGTTGTTAAAAAATTACTTTTTCAATCAAGAAAAGCTTTGTATGTTTCATTCAATTTATAAGTTTTTCCCTAAGCAGTTTATGCCAATACAAGGTCTTTTATTAAATTTACTTTCCTAGGTCACTAAGGTACAAGCAAAGATTTAAAATGAGTTTTATTTTAGAATCACAGAAGCTTACTTGCTGTAAACACTTAGCGCTGAAATATTTTATTCTGGAATGTTTACTCCTAGTGTTTTAGAAATGAATTTCAGTATCTTGATATAAGTTAACAATTTTCTAGGAAGCAATCTGATTTTGCAGAAAGCCAGTCACCTGAGCTATGGTTCCTGTTATTTTGGGGTTAATGAATCTTTTGTACATAAAAGAGACATCAGATAATTTTAGATTACAATAATTTAAAAATTGAAGCTAAACTGGAGGGATATGAGATATCTGACCAATGAAAGAATTGAGAAACAGTCAGAGATATTACAAGCAGTGTGGCCGCAGTGATTTTCTAGAACCCTAAAGACAATGAGTTCTATACCCTGAAATCCCTTCATGGCCATAATCATATGCCTATCTTCTCAGATTAGAGACTTGGAGTTTGGGGGAAGTAAGGAAAGCAGAGGAGCAGCCCCCCATGTTAGTGTCCGTATCTACTTTGAACCAGGGGTGAGTCATGTTATTTGGCTTACTCTTCACCTCCAGAGTCTCTCTGCTTTCAGGCATATTGGGAAATCCAGCTCTAGGAGCTGATCACAGGGAAGGAATTTTTTTTAATGGAAATATAGGGACACAGACGGAGGAAAGCAATGAGATATTGGTTTAGTTTAGAGAGGTACAAAGCAGGACAAGGATGCTAACCTGTCAGGGCATGGGGGTGTGTTAAAACTTCAGATAGCCACCAATATGAACAGGGATGTGAGGCATGACCATGGCTGCTGGTACGTACAGTGGTCTTGGTGTGATTTAGGAAATAAGTCCTTTGTTCAAGCCATCTTTGGGAAAGTTGTTAAAATAAGATACTTTGTTACCATCCTCAAGAAAAGTACCATAATAAATATATAAATCTCTGATGTTTGAGAAGTAAACACTATTCCTTTAGGGGACTGATAAAATTGGTCCTGGTAGTATCTTACAATAGGGTAGATGAATAATTCTGATAAATTCATTTCAAATATTTCATTAGGTGTTATTTCAGGTTCTTCAATGGTTTCTCCATAGGTCACTATTATTTTTAGAGATCTTCTGGGTATGACTCACATTTCTCATCTTGGGAGCCCCCTCAAACCTCATACAGAAGAACATTCTTTGTACTAGGGTGGTGTTCAAATGTCTAATGTTAGTCAATAGTGGCATAATAGTACCATGGTAACATTTTCATCTAATCCATCTATAGGAATCTTTAGTTTGTACTTGGGGCCTACTGGATTGGCATTTAGGCATCCAGAGGACAATCAACAACACAGTTCCTAAAAAATCCCTAACCAAATTCTCCTTCTAGTTTACCATCTTAGGCTTTTTCCACTGTTTTTCAGGATTCTTGCATATTTCTTGATATGTTGATTGTAGTAGGGTTAGAAACGCCACAACTGTACTTCTAGTGCACATTCATGAGCATCACGACTCCTCCAGGTTTCCTATGCCTTCAAGGCTCTTTCCTGAAGTTCTGTTCAGCAACCTGTCTACATGAGAACCTGCCCCATCTCTTAGGAAAAAGAAGCAATATGCTTCAGTGGGTAGGAACTTGAGACTTGCCTTGATTCTAAGCCACTTTTCCTATCATCCCTTCTTCATACCTTTGAGGACCACGTAAGATATCAGAATAAAACTAACCTGGAAACTGTAATCAAGTTCAAATGTATTCTTTTTGCTGCAGCCAAGGTGACCTTTACTCACACTAGTGGGAGTACAACAGTCCTGTAGATAAAATCTTTCAGTGGCTCTTCTTTGCTCTTTGGATGGAGTCAAAATCTTTTACTAGGACTTACAAAGCTTTACCTTATAGGATGCTACAACCTCTTTCTAACACTCAGTCCAAGTCCCTCCATCTTTGCCGTTTGCATTCACATTGTATATTTCAGGGCAGCAAACAGGACACTTCCTCCTGGCCTCTCTTCTTTCTCCCTCCTTTATCTTCTGTTTCCCTTTCTTACTCCCTATCTCCTTTTTTATTCTTAAAAATATGTTTACTATAAACACAAAGAAGCACCAACTCAATTGCTGCCAATGAGATGAATGATCTCAGGAGAAAGCATATAATCTCAACAATTATCCCCAGAATGCTGTTCATTTTTATTCCATCCATTGCTGCTGATTAAAGTCTGACTGATGACTGGTCTCCTGGCTTCTCTGATGGGATTGATGGCTCTGAAGTGATCTTTGTGTCTGCTTCTGAATTACTTCATGCTTATTAATTGGTGGTGTATTTTTTTCCCTTACAAAAGAAAGGGTAATATTAAAGTTTAATGGTGTTTGAATCACATTATTATCCTTGACCTGCATGGCCTGGGATAATAAGGTGAAGAACCACAAAATGCAAAAGAATGTTAATAATCTAATTTATGAAAAAATGTAATTCTGTGCTTTGTAAATATATTCAAATGAGTGTGCCCCTATATATATTATAATGTCGATTAGAGTTAGAGTTCATTTCATTGACCTCTAGAACATGAATTCCATCAGGTTAATACTATATCTTATTTTTTTGTCCATACTACTTAATACTATATCTATTATTTCCATAATATTTATCTATAATACTTAATACTACTAAACTTAGTAGGCTCTCATTCAGTGTTGAGTGAATAACTATGCTTACAGGAGGAAATACTCTAGCACAGCGGGAGTTAACATATGTGTGTTTGGGTTTTAGGCGCAAAAATTAATTGTTGACCACTCCTCACCTTGAGGTTTGAATCAATTAAAAACTCACACATGAGTCAGACAGATGGAAATCAAAACACCACCGTTATCACTAATAAAGCTCATTTGGAGAATATGTCTTCACCTGCAGTGAAAACCTGACTTTCTAATGTAAAACCCAAATTCCTGAATTAAAGAGACTTAATTACTTGGTTACAGATATGATTATATATTCCTTCTTAACCTTCCACTCCAACTCCCACTTCTATCCCAGGGTTAGAAAGAGGCTATGCCTCTGTAGGAAAGAAAATCATAAAAGAACACTCAGAAAAAGGCAGGTCCAAATGAATATTGTCAAAGTGCACTGAACCATGGGTTCCATGTTTCCTCTTCCAATCATAAGTTACCTTTCTTCCCATGGAGAAGAGTTCTGGTGAAAGAGACTTACATGTTTTTTCTGCTCTATGAAATTATCCTTTATAAGACACAAAAGGTAGGTATTAAGTACCCCTCCTAATACAGTTTGACTCTGTGTCCCCACCCAAATCTTATCTAGAATTGTAATCCCGATGTCTTGAGGGAGGGACTTGGTGGGAGGTGATTGGATTATGGGGGTGGATTTTCCCCCATGCTGTTCTTGTCATACTGAGTGAGTTCTCACAAGATCTGATGGTTTAAAAGTGAGGCACTTGCTCGTTGTGCGCTCTCTCTCTCTCCAGCCTCCATGTGAGGAAGGTGCCTGCTTCCCCTTCACCTTCCTCCAGGATTGTAAGTTTCCTAAGGCCTTCCCAGCTATGCAGAACTGTGAGTCAATTAAACCTCTTTTGTTGATAAATTACCCAGTCTCAGATAGTATTTTCATAGCAGTGTGAAAACAGACTAATACATCTCCCCATTTTCCTGCTCTTAATTGACATAGAAAATCTAAATTTTTTTAATGCACTCAGATGAAAATACCAAAGAAAAGTCAGAGATGTATTTTAAAGTCATGAAACTCTGTCTTTAAGCTCTACCTTTTTAGACAGAATGAAATAGGGATCATCTGTAACAAGCTCTGTGATTTTTTTCACCTAGTTTAAAAAATTATCTATTCAATAAATATTGATGAGCATCTGTTATGTGCTAGTCACCATTCTAGGTAAGAGAGATGGACCCATTGACAAGAAAGATAAATGCTTTGATCTTGTATAGGGCTTACATTTTAATGTGAAAAACATAAAGATAAGAAAGAAAAGTATATAATATACACTAAATAGTGATAAGAACAGTGAGTATTATGAAGAAACATAAAATATTATATGGGGTTAATAGATAGCTATTCACACAGGATCATTAAAGAAGAGTTCTCTCAGTAGGTGCTTTTATTTTTATTATTTTTTTATTTTTTGAGACAGAGTCTCGCTGTGTTGTCCAGGCTGGAGTGCAGTGGTGCAATCTCGGCTCACTGTAAGCTCCGCCTCCTGGGTTCATGCCATTCTCCTGCCTCAGCCTCCCGAGTAGCTGAGACTACAGGCACACGCCACCAGGCCGGCTAATTTTTTGTATTTTTAGTAGAGACGGGGTTTCACCGTGTTAGCCAGGATGGTCTGTATCTCCTGACCTCGTGATCCGCCCGTCTTGGCCAGTAGGTGCTCTTTAAAGGCCAGGACATTCTAGTCACAGCTAACAGCAAGTGCAAAGGTCCTGAAGCAGAAACTAGCTTTAAGGAGAATATAGTTGATTTGGAGTCAATAAGAGGAAGTGCTTTTGAGATAAAAGGAAGAGAGTCAAGTCTGTCACTTTTTTTTTTTCCCCCGATACGGAGTCTCGCTCTGTCGCCAGGCTGGAGTGCAGTGGTGTGATCTCGTGATCACCGCTCACTGCAACCTCCGTCTCCCGGGTTCAAGCAATTCTCCTGCCTCAGCCTCCTGAGTAGCTGGGACTACAGGCACATGCCACTACACCTGGCTATTTTTGTGTGTTTTTTTTTTTTTTTTTTTTTTTGGTGGAGACGGGGTTTCATCATGTTAGCCAGGATGGTCTCGATCTCCTGACCTTGTGATCCGCCCGCCTTGGTCTCCCAAAGTGCTGGGATTATAGATGTGATCCACCGGGCCCGGCCGGTCTGTTACTTTTTTATCCCCAAAGGTTGTGGAAAACCACTAATGATTTGGAGCATCAAATATACATTTTAAAGTATCTCATTATATGCAGGTAAATGGCCATAATGTTTCCAGAATGGAAGCAATGGGGAACCCAGTAAGAGGTTTCTCTGGGAGAAAATGGAAACAGCTACCACAGAGATATGTGGACAGTGTAGCTGTATGGCACGCTGTTCAAAGGGCCCAGTGTTTTCAAGAGAGGATAAAGAGAAATAATCTAGAAGAAAGAATAAAGAGCAAATAGTATACATATTCCACTTCCAAGTATTTACAGTAGAGGAGAGATGAAGAATAACAAAAAAATTAGGCCAAAAGATACTAAGAGTTCAGGACAATTTCTGAATTTGTGTGCTGCCACCATAAATGTGATAGTGTTTTAATTGGCTCACAAATTGTTGCTGCTGCAAGTTGTATTCATTCTCTGAATACAGTTATGAAGGAAAGTATTACCTTTTGGTGTTATATTCAGACATGCTGCTGATGAACAATCAGTGTAAGTATTAGACTTGCCTTTGGCTACATGTGTCTGTTTTGCATACATCTCTTTATCATTCTTTTTCCTTTGAAAGATGGATGGAAAATTATTAAAGAACAGAGGAGTTGGGACTTTGAGTTAAAGTAGTTTTGTGGAGCTGATTACATACTATTTAAGTTCTTATATAAATAAATGAAAATAACTATTATCAACAGATTACTCTATGGGTGTGTATATTTTCGAAGAAACATAATACCGTTACTACTGTTAATTCAGATATACACTATGTTCTAGAAATTGATGAAGTACTTTCCATATATTAATACATGTAATGTGTATAAAACATTACAGAGGATTCCAGTCATACTGCTCATTTCTCTTTATTCTAGAGTTAAAAGAACATCTTATAATTTTCATGCTAATAAATGTATATATTTCATCATTGCATGCCATGAGGCATAACAATAAACAGCATTCTGAAGGTTTACTCTAACTCACTGCTTTACTAATTGCAAGTCTGGATGCTCAGTCTCTTTATTAATGTTGTAGTTAGACTAAAAGCAGGATATTGTCTGTCTGAGTTATGCATAGAAATAATACTGGACAGTACAGTTGGTTATGAGCCAGAGGGAGTAATTCAACATTGGCAGAATCAGTGGATTAGAGGCAGCATCATTGGTTTCTTTCATCTTCCAATTATATTATTCCCCCAAGGAATCTCAGAGTACACTGGCTCAAGAGAATGCCTAGGATTATTCTGCCTGGACTAAGAAATGCCATATTATAGCCTTTTGATGCAATTAGCCCTGAAAAGATGTTGATCATTCACTGTACAAATAGTTGTTGAGAGTTTACTACAGTCAACAGTGCCATTTTCAGCCCTGTCAGGGGTAACAGTGATTAAGTGCCTGTGGCATAGAGCACTAATGAGGCACTGTGTAATATTCACAGAGAATAAGTAATAGTAATTTGGTGTGGAAAGCTTACTTTCTCATCGTCTACTTCCTCCGAGACTTATTTTTCTTTAATGCCTGATGCCTCCAAGATAACAAAGAACAGTGAGTGAGATTAGATACATATGAACTTTAAATAAAATAACCTTTATCATAAAATCAGATTGAACCATACAAAAAATGGCAATATTCAAACATTTCTAGCCTACAAAAAATAAAAATTATTTTATAATTCAACCAAATAATACGTTTTTATTGTAAAAAAATACTTAAAATAATGAAAATGGTGATAATACTTAAGTCCCACCACCCAGGGGCTTCTACTATAATTATATTTGTATATTTTTATCTCAATCTTTATTCTGCATATTTAGTGCAACTATGATAATTCCTTATAGGCAATATTGTATCCCATTGATTTTCTACTCCTCAAATTCTATTTTCCAATTGTGAGAACTTGCATACATTACTAAGCTCATCCACAAGATAGGCTAATATTAGGATCTAACTCACAGGACATTGGTCCAACTTAAATTACACGCCAGCCACCTGGTTAGTGTTCAAAAATGTTAACTATTATTAATAAAAATAGAAGAAATATTTGTCATTACAAAATCTTAAAATCATAATGGGTATATGATGTACATATCTCATTACGTGAATGTCTATTTATTATACTTTTATTGTAGGGTATTTAGACTCCTAAGTTTTGCTCAAATAGTAGTCAAGGTATACTTTTTTATTTATTGAGAATAACATGGGATCTGTTGTGCAATGTCCATAAAGATCAAAGTTTGCAGGAATGTCCCTAAGACATTTACCTTTTTCCTCATTCTAAAAGAATGAGAAGAGTAAGAGTGGTAGAGTTAGAGATTCCTGATTTCGAGTTTTGTCTACTCCTTGTCTGCTGGTGTCATTAGGATAATTATTTAATTATTTTAGCCATAAGCAATTTGTTTACTGCTTAGTGTTTAGTAGTTAACCTAAAGGTGATTCTTCTTATTTTTAATGGCATATGGTCATTCTCCAGAGAAAGCGTCTTCCATTTCTGTATTTTCAATTTTAATTATACATATCATTATATATGTTTAATGAAACATATCACTAAACTTCCTCTATTATCTATCTAATAATAGTATTATGTAATAATATAATGAAATACTATAAAGTAATGTATTATTATGTAATAATAGTATTACATAGACAACAGAGACAGTTTAGTGTAAATAGTAGTATTACATCTCTGGTCTAAAGTTGACCAGTGTGCCATCTCAGTTTTGGCAACACAAAAGGATCCTCAGCAACAGCTGCTCATTCAATGCTTTTTTCTTTCTTGTGCTGCAAGTTAATGATTAATATGCAGATTAGTCTGTTTTCACAATGCTATAAAGAACTGCCTGAGACTGGGTAATTTATAAACAAAAACATTTTAAAAGACTCACAGTTCTGCCTGGCTGAGGAGGCCTCAGGAAACTTACAATCATGATGGAAGGCAAAGGGAAAACAAAGACCTTCTTCACGTGGTGACTGGAAAGAGAGAGCTAGTAAGAGCAGGGATAACTGCCTTATAAAACCCTCAGATCTTTTGAGAACTCACTATCGCAGGAACATCATAGGGGAAACTGCCCCCAAGATGCAATCACCTTCTCACCTGGTCCCTCCTTCAACATGTGGGGATTATGGGGATTACAATTCGAGGTGAGATTTGGGTGGGGACATAGAGCCAAACCATTTTAACACATTTGCTACTAAGTGGCAGATACCCAGGACAAAGTAGCTGCATTAGTCAGTGGTAGAAAAATTCATTTGGGTAAGTTTGTCTTGTGCCCTCAGAAATGTGATATTTCTTAATTATTGATGAAAAATATCAAGCATATCAATCTTTTTGAAACTAAAATATGTTTGTGTCTTTATTTTTTTTAAATGCAGTGCATGCTCAATATAGGAAATGAGAAAACAGAGATAAAACCAAAAATAAACAACAAACTAGAACACATAATTCTTACATTTACCCAAGAAATAAACGCTGTGAGATGTGAACACCATGATGTATAATTTTTCCAGATGTTGTTCATTACTCCCTCTCTCTGTTTCTCTCTCCTCTCACATACCATGCATACTCTTTATATCTCTCCCTATATAACTCATATTATGCACATTCTTCTGGCACTGACTTTTCACTTAATGATATATTGCAAACATTTTCCAAAGTCAATCAGGCTTTCCTTGCAGCATCATTTTCAATCACTCAATACTATTCCTTTCCCTAAATATAGTAAAATAGCTCCTATATTTGGACATTTAGTCTTTCCATGAATTTTTTTTTGAATATCAATATTCTATTCTTACTATTAAATTGTTTCCAATCACCTTATTCTTTGAAAATAACTGTATATATTAGCATAGTATTTCAATTCCCAGTGATCACTTCTAAGTGCACAATATTTATCACATGATTATGATAATTTATATTACTAAAAATTAGAAATCTATATTTTTCTTTAAAGACCCCTGATGACCTTGACAACACATCTATTATCGTTTCGACATAATTTATAATAAATTCAGGTTGTGGATAGATAAGGCATTGATATTTACAAGAAATAGCTAAAAATACATCACCCAAACATTGTAAATTATATGTCAGATATACATCTGGGAGATATTCAACTCTGTATTAAGAAAAATAAATTGAATTAACTGACACCAAGTCAGGTTATTTGTAAAAATGCACCAATTTTTTTTTTACAAAAATTATAGATTTAGCAATCTGACCTGCACTTACGTTGAATAGAAGATTGCTTGAGCAATGATCCTATGAAAACTGGCCTTTACATTACCTGGGATTAATGGTCAATTCCTCAGTTAATGTCCTGAATTTTCTGGACCAAAGCCAAAGTCATCTGTAGTCTTACTCTCCAGTCATTACCTGGAGTAATGATGGATTTTTCTAAAAGCATCATTGGTGCCATGACAATAATTGGCACCTTTAAGAGCTATTCTGCTTGCTTTATTTTTCTTGCTTGTTTACTCTAGACTACCGATCAAGTGGCCACTGGGAAGAATTACTTGTTTTCAAATCCATAATTATCAAATGCCATATATAAGGATATAAACATGCAAACCCACATATTTAAGTTCTTAAGTATAGAAAGTGAACAAGAAACTCTGTTAAATCTCTATTGACTGGAGCTGGGATGCAATAGTTCCTGGTCTATGGGGACCCTACATTTATTTTCTGAGATATAATACATTCTACTAGAAATGTGGAATTTTATGTTAATATATAAATACTTATACACAAGATGGATGTATAACTACTTTCAAAGACGTATGTGTGGGTTAGACTGTTTTGGTAAGTAGCCTGATTGAACATAGCTTGGGAATATTATGTATCTCTTAAATAGTTTTCTATGTTTCGGTTATCTAAATCTAAGAGAAAAAGGAGATAATTTCTTATCTAGACTCTTCCTTCTGCAAGTCAAGCCCTCAAATAAATGTACATTAGTATTGGAGGTAATCTCCATTTTGTGGATAGTCTCTTTCAGGATTTAGCTTCAGCCACAGTTCAGTTTTTTCTTCTAACTCATTTCCTCTCTGATCTATTCAAATTATTACTTATTTAAACTTTGGGGTAAATAAGGAATCAATTACCAGTGTCCTATTAAAGATAACCATTTAACTTTTTAAACTTTTGCTTTTCTCCTCAACTTATCACTTTGAGAGTAGAGTATGGTTCTTGAATCAGATTTTAAATTCAAAGATGACATCACTGCCTCAACATTTTCAAATTATTTTCACTTTTCAAGGAAGCCACCTGGTGACTATTTTTAAGGACATTGGTTTGTATAATTGATACAGTTGATGGCTATGGAAAAGAGCCAGGTTAATACCAATGAGGTTAATAATAATGACAACTATAATTCTTTACTGATATTTGCCACAGCATGTCATTAGACATATTACATACAATCTCCTTTAATATTTTCTTAAAAAATCAAAAACAAGAAAATAGGAAATAGGCATTATTTTGCTGTTTTTGAGATGAAGAAGCCAAGGTCTGAATTATTTAATTATTTGCTTTAGACTCAGACCTGGATCAACTCATTGCTCTGATATTTTTGCTGGTTGAGCAAGTAAATTACTTATTTGGGACTCAATTTCTGATTATTAAAGATTCATAAACTTCCTTCAAGTCCAAATTCCATGTTCTTGCTTCATTAGGAGTTTTCAAAAGGGTAGATGGTCTATTTTGTCTGCCTGTCCAATGATTTTGCAAGCCATTTACAACCTTATAATAAATCCTTTCTGCTTAAATCAGCTAATGTGTATTCTGTTCTTTGTGACTGAATACTTTCGTTAACTTAGCGCTCTAATAAATAAGTCATTCACTTATTTGTTCATTGGTATGAACAAGAGATAAAATGCCCTCAAACAACTTATATAGTCAAATAATTGATAGCTAATATTTACTAAAGACTTATCAGACACTTAAGACTTTTTCCAACACATTATTTAATGTTAACAATCACTTATGTATTAGGACTGATTATGTTCTTGTTTTGCAGATGAAGAAACTGAGTTTTAGAGAAGTCAAGCACATCCCAAGTTTATTAAACTTATAAAGGGCACAAATAGCTTTTGAATTCAGATGGTCTGACTTAACAATTACAGCACTGAGAAGAGATTTATTACAATCATCATTAACATAATTAATGGGAGTAGTGGCAAGAACCTGTAGTTCCAGCTACTTTGGAGGCTGAGGTGGGATTATTGCTTGAGGCCAGGAATTCAAAACCAGCCTGGGTAATATCGCAAAATCCTGTCCCTTAAAAAAATTACTAACATATACCAAATTAATTGCAATTGCAATGAAGATGATGAAGGAGAACTACAAGATATTAGAGAAACAATTAAACAAGTTGGAAATGCTCATGACCATTGAAGGTTTTGACAGTTTTATGTGTATGTTTGGTGGAGCTGGGTAGGGATAATTGATTTACATTTGTGTTTTTAACAATGTCACTCCAACTGCTAAGTAAAATATGTTTTGGAGATTGAGCTAGCCCAGATGTTCAGAAACTGAAATGGGCGTGGATTCAGCTATGGTATTGGCAGTAGGAATGGGGAAAAATGGAAAAACGAGACTGATATTTCATAGAGAGATTCAGAAAAATGCAATGATTAACTTAAAAATGAGAAGAGGGAATCTGTTAAGGGTGATGTCCAGATTTCCGGTTTGTGACAGTAATGAGATGGTGGTGCAATTTATTCCATGTTCATGTTTACAATTCCAGGACACATTCTTCTGGTGCAGGAATGGCAGACTAATGAAGAAGGAGTAGAATTGTACAAAGAATGTTGTCACCAATATTCCTGACTTAAAAATTGCATGCTACATTTTTCTGAAGAAACAATGTTAGTGAGTTCCACAACTCTGAAAAAAAAAAAAAGACTCATATCTATTTCCCTGCAGACTTATTAATCTTGTTTGGCTTTATTCCATACATCGACAGCAGTCAAACTTTAGCAGTAAACTTTTTTGAAAAAAAATGAAACTTTTAATAACATCTTATAAAGTTAGTCTTTTGGAGGGGATGGAAGTCACCATAGCAGTTTTTAGCTGCTTTGAACTGCATTTTGCTCATCTTAAAAATAGATCCTGAACCACAAAGTCACCATGCCTGTAAGAAAGCACAAAGAAAAGAAATTTAAAACTCTTTTCATATTAAAAATATAGCTATTCTTATCATAATTTGAACTGAATATTTTAGATTCCTAAAATGTCAATTAAAGCTTAAATTTATAATTCAAATGAAAGGAACATGCTACCTGTCTTAAATATGGTCTTAAAATATTTAAAAATTAAAGTTCTAAAACCTTTATAGCAACGTTTTACAATATTTTTGCACCAATAAATCCCATGATTTAAAAGTGTTTGTTTATTGCACAAGTGCTTTTATTAAATAACAACAGCTTTTGTTATACAACAATATATAATACAATATATAAGTGCTAAATAGAATGGTAATGAACACAATGATTTATATCAGCATAGTGTAGTGATATAATTTCAGCCCAAGCAAATAGCCTTGATTTTTACTTAAATAATGCAACTTTATAACACATCTATTGTTCTTTGAAATAATGAAAATAAGGCATAAAGTGTTAGTGGAAGCACATGCTTTATTTTGAAGTATTGAAGAGTAAATTTAAAATTGTGTTTTACTGTTTTAATGGAGAACCTGACATTTGATACACTAGGATTCAGATTGGGTACACTTAATTTGGAGAAAAATGGGACTTTTGGTACAAAAGGCAGAGAAGCTTTTAATTTGAAAAGTGGAGAGAGAAATGGGTGGAAGGATTCAGTTTTTTTCTTTTCTTTCTTTTTTTTTTTTTTTTTTTTTTTTGGTGTCTTAAAAATCACTTATGAATCCCTTTCCTTCAAGGTCACTCAAACATAATGAAACAGAAACCTCAGCTTTGTATTGAGATTGCCAGTTATCGAAAAAATCCATCTTAAGTACTTGCCTGCTCAATTTCATGTCTGGTACTAATCTGTTGCTAAGAGTCAAAAACAAGGGGAGAGTTACAATCTCTTGAACTGATATTTTGCTAATGCCATTGATTTCTGTAAGGATATGATTCTTGCTTTCTTAGAAACATTTCCAGGCGTTGAGAGAGTCAACCACCTCAGGTTCCTGAAGCATAACAAGAATGGCAGTGGACAGTGATGGGTACTCTGTATTAGACACAGAGGTAAGCACAGACTAGGCATTGAGTTATTTGATCCTCCTAACAACACTACGTGATAGTTATATTATTATTAATATTTTATAAATTGCTTAGTGAGGTTACATAACTTTCCCAGAAACACACAGCTAGTGAGAGAGCCAGTCAATATTAACTCTCACTATTAACACTACCACTTCTTACTGCTACAACTTTAAGAGAGATATACTTGTTTGAAAAAGGCAAAGATTCATTATATTTTTTTTTTGAAAGGTCCCAGGACAATTCAGTTGGGCAGCCTAGCTTGAGAGCCCAGGGTAAAGATGACGTGGTGTTTACTTTTTTTCCTGCTCCAAATATTTATCAATGTTCAAGAGGATTTGGAAATTAAGAGTGGATTTGTCATTCTCATTCTTGAGCATTGAATAGATGTTTCAGTTTACTTCTGTCCATATGACAATATCCAATTCTTAAACTTCACTAGCTTAAGGATTAAAGGACAAGTGTCATTATGAGCAAAGACTTGTGAGTAGAAGTCTGAGGAGTTATACATGCAAATAAGATATCTGTGTCGATCTTGGCTAATATTGGGAGTTTATCTTTTAACCACTATTTATATATGCTAAGCATGCTTACTTAAGCATACTTTCACATGGAATCCTAACTAAGCTTTTAGAGAATTGAGTTTCAACCACTTAAATTACAATTAATACAGAGGATAAGGAATTTTTTTTGGTTTGTTTGTTTTTTGTTTGTTTTAGACAGAGTCTCACTCTTTCACCCGGGCTGGAGTGTAGTGGCGTGATCTTGGCTCACTGCAACCTCCACCTTCCGGGTTCAAGCGATTCTCCTGCCTCAGCCTCTTGAGTAGCTGGGTTTACAGATGCCCACCACCACACCCAGCTAATTTGTGTATTTTTAGCAGAGATGGGGTTTCACCATGTTGGCCAGGCTGGTCTCGAATTCCTGACCTCAGGTGATCCACCCGCCTCGGCCTCCCAAAGTGCTGTGATTACAGGCGTGAGCCACTGTGCCCAGCCAATTTTTAAAAAATTTTTAAACTGAAGCAAATTAGGAGATAATTTTGGATTGTGTAACATTTCAAAGGAAGAAGGGTAGGAAGTAATAATATCAGTCACAGAAATAAGATAGTAACATTTAAAAATGTATGTGTTAAAACTTTTTAATATTAATATATAGTATCTTCTTTCACCCTCACAGCAAGCCTTAGAGACAGAAACTATTGAAGTCTCCATTGCATAGCCAAGGACAGAAGCTCAGAGAGATTAAGTAATTTGCCCAAGATCACAAAGCTAGTACAAATGCTAGCCAACATTTGAAACCAGCTCTCTCTTACTCCAAAGTTCCTTTTCTTAATCAATACACCAGATGATCTGGGGTTTTACATCACAATTTAAAGGAGGTCATTACTTCTCCCTTTGTTGCTGCTGGCTCTACTCTTTCTTTTCTTGAGCAGATACACTGGCAATGTTCTTTTCCTAGCAATCCAAGAAGTCCCTACAGGTATTAGCTCACTTTAAGCCTTGTAAATTCCTTTGGAAAATGTTATTTACCTATCAATTAATATGTGAGATATTGTATTGTATACTTGAGAGTTCTATGCAAAGGAGACATCGTCTCTGTGATACAGCAGTTTACAATCTTGCAAATATCAAAAGCATGTGACATCAAGGAACCTTGAAGTCTTACATATTCTCTACCTATTTGCCAAAAAAGTACTTATTATTTCTCTCAATTGTGTTTCCACTGTCATGAATCACAATATTCCAAAGTTGGATATCCCATATTTCCCTTGCCATCTTGTCACAACAGGCAAGTGAGAGTAATATGTACATTATCTCTGCTGCAGCATGGGTTGTCCAAATCCAAGGGCCACTACAGTGTTTTTATTCCGCATCTTATAATATTTAAATTTTTTTCGCCTGACAGTATAGCCATTTCTTGTAAAGCCTCACAAAGTCTCATTTTGATATCACAGTAGTCCAAGAATAAATCAGAAATTAGATTAGAAAGCGTGGGTCTTCCTCCCTAGCTGTATCATCCACATGGACTCTCAGGATGCAGCAAGATGTCTCTGTGATAAAGCACTTGTGAATGGAAAACCCTGTCCTAAGCAGGCTGATGAAATGTGGCGGGCTGAGAAAGTCGGTGTAATGTTTCTGTTCTCTGTTGCATTCTTAATCACATTTTATCTGCTACCTTAGGTTTTGATAAAAAGATACCAATCACAATTATTTCAAGAAATAATTCCCCTGTTACCTGCTAGTGTATGGGTAACTCGCATATGGTAACTCTCTAGAAAATATTTGTCTTCCTATTCTGCTTGCAGTTAAGTTTAAAAAATACATTTAATAATAGAATCAGATAAATAATACTTTGTGGGTTATCCAAAATTCATGGTCATATTTTGTCAAATCTTCAAGATTATTTTCACAAGTTGCTAAATAGCTTTTGTGTTCAAAATGTACTCAAAAATATCTTTTCTTTCTTTACACCTTGCACAATCTGGTGAATAAAGGTGCCCTAACATTAGTAGGCTTGTAGGGCTTCTCTCTAGCGCTTTATTCCTTTGTGATGCTCTGAGACAGGAAGCGTGGACATTTCATATTATAAAGGAAAAACATATAATTTATCAGCCAAACCACTCATTGGTGAAAAAGGATTTTATCTTTTGTTCAAACATATTATCACTATAATAAACATCTAACCTAGCTATTTTTTGAGACCTCTGGTTCAAGAGGAAGACTTAATGGAAGAAGGGGATGGAAGAAATAAACAATAGGTCAAAGGGGAAGAAAAAACAAGAAGAAATCATATCAGAATATGAAAACCAAGGAAAAGAGAAAATGTAGCACAAAGGATAAACAAGGAAGGAGTGTATAGAAGCAGTTAAGAGCACAAGTTGCAGAGCAAACAGACCTGCGTAAATTGCTGGCTGTGCCCTTGTTAGTTCTGTGACCTTGGACAAATTATTTAATCTTATTTGCCATCACAAAATAGAAGTGATAATCCTCTTTTTTATTATTCAAGTCATTGTGAGAATTAAATGACTTTCTATGTAAAACGCTTAGCTCAGTGCTTGGCACAAAGTCAGTCACTGCTCAATAAGAGGAACTCTAAGATTTCACCAGCTCCAGAAAAAAAAAAAAAAAAAAAAAGCGTGAGATTTGAGTGGGGTGGTAGATTGCCAGTCACTGCTATCTCTAATATCATTCCAGGTCAGCTACATTCAATGCTGCTAACCTCTGAACTAGTCTCTAATTTTGTGTTAATGCTTTTGCAACTGCGTATTTACAAGTCCAGCAGGAGAACAGTCTGACCCACCAGTCAACATTCACGTATATCGTGTCTCTGAGATGCGTTTCTATAGAAGCTGATTCCACTTCATGTATTTGTCTGAGATAATGCAGTTTTGTGGCATTTCATTCTTCATGGACTTCCTGGGAACTGATTTAAGGTGCACACATCAATCAGAGCCTAATCAAGCTCAAAGCCAGCAGCTTCTCAGGGGATGAGACAAGCGACCATTGAGACCAGTTCAATCAAGGTGGCCCTTGGGTTCAAAGGCTGCCATCTGAAATAAATCTGGAAAGTGCCTTTTAAATTCAATGAGCACTGATGAAGCAGCTGCCCATAGGGAGACCCCGACTGTACGGTATAAATACATCTATCCCAGAGCAGCCATAAATAACCCTCTCGTTTTTATGCATAATTAACAGAGCAGTAGCTAGTAGTTTGGCTGAATTATAATGACACATTCTAAGGCTACTTTCGTCTGTCTTAGCTTTAGAATATAATAATATTAAATTATTAGCCTATATGCTATGGTATGCTTGTCTGTGTGTGCCTGTGTGTATCTGTGTGTGTGTATAAACATTTATATTTTTTTGTTTATTCTGCGTAGGAATAGTAAATGCAACTTTAAGAAAAATATTGGAAACCCCAATGGTTCTAAGTCCTTTAGCTCTCATTATTTTAACATAAGGTCTCCCTGCAATAGGTGGATAATAAGCTAAACCGAAACCAAGGTTGTTCTTAACATATGGGACCTGCTGAAAGAGAAGGAGAGAAGTTTAGCAGGCAGAAATGACTCCTCAAGCAGAAATACCTTTTGAAGCCAGCAAGTAGTAATCTTGATGCTTGAATGGCTGGTATGAGGTGAAGACTGCTGGGTGAGAATTCACTGCTGCATCTTTGTGGGACCTTTTTATTCAGTGCCTTCTTGTCTATGTAAAATAAAATAAACCAACTTTTTGTTATTTTTTATATTTCCATGAAGAAGTCCATTGGGTCCAACAAAATCATGCAGTTTTAAGTTCAGTCTGTTTCATATGGGCTTCCCAACATGCATTCCCATTCAAAGGTCAATTACTTGCTTGCTTACTTTTTGTGGCACATTTGAATTAATGATACATTTGATGTCAAATTACAACTTTCCATTAAGAAAACTTGATTGACAATTATAATAACTCAGGTACAATAATGTGTCTTTCCTATGACTCTCCAAATAAACTCTGGGTCTGACTATTGGACTGCTATTTTCATTTTAAGAGACAATTTCTACCTTCAGAAATCCTCAGAAAATGAAACTGAACCCAAAGTGAAGAGAATAGTTTACACACATAGACATTGTAAGCAATGAATTATTAGGGTAAAACAATGCAAGGTTTTCCATGGTATCAAATTTCTTCTCAGACAGGAAACTAAAATACAAAATCTAGGATAATTTGGCCATGAAACAATAAATAAATAAATAACAGGCAAGAATGACAATCAAGGTAATTCTCCCTCTAAATGGAAAGTAATTTCTCCAATCCAAAGCTCAAATAAGATCAGAGAATCAAGTAGTTTCTGTTTTAGCCTTAATCAAAGATAGTGATAATTTTTTTTGAAATCTTGAGAGCAATGTAGAGCAATAGAAAAGATTCTGATAGGCCAGGGATGGTGGCTCATGCCTGTAATCCCAGCACTTTGGGAGGCTGAGGCTGGCAAACCACCTGAGGTCGGGAGTTCGAGACCAGCCTGACCACCATGGAGAAACTCCGTCTCTACTAAAAATACAAAAAATTTGCCGGGCATAGTGGCACATGCCTGTAATCCCAGCTACTCAGGAGGCTGAGGTAGGAGAATCGCTTGTACCCAGGAGGCAGAGGTTGCAGTGAGCCCAGATCGTGCCATTGCACTCCACCCTGGGCAACAAGAGTGAAACTCCATCTCAAACAAAAAAAAAAAAAAAAAAAAAAGGAGGAGACTCTGACATTTGGGTCAACATCATCCCATGCTTATCATTTTACCATTATGCAATTGTAATTAGTGCAAACACTATCACTTCCTCTGTGTTCCTCAATTTTTCTACCTAGGAAAAAGGATTAGTTGTAGTTGGAATATGTCTTTTAAAAATGGCTTGGAAATCCTATTTATGAATGCTACAGAGTACCATTTACAGATATAAACTCACCCCTAAAATTAACTTCTGGAATGTTTTTGTATGTGGGACAAACAAAACAGAAAGTAATAGCTACAAACTGGACACCAAAAGTCACCATGACCCATGACTCCCATTATGTGTCCCATTATGTGATGATGATGATGATGATAAACAGGTTAATACCTTGAAAGAAAATGGACATAAATACAGTAGAATCTGTGGATAGTCAGGAACTGAATGACCTCCTTGGTATCTCTAAAGCAGGGATATCCAATCCCTTGGCTTCCCTGGGCAACATTGGAAGAAGAAGAATTGCCTTGGGCCACACACAAAGCACACTAACACTAATGATAGCTGATGAGCTTTAAAAAATCACAAAAAAAATCCTCATAAAGTTTTAAGAAAGTTTATGAATTTGTGTTGAGCCACATTTGAAGCCATCCTGGTCTGCATTCAGCCCATAGGCCACTGGTTGGACAAGCTTTGTTCTAAGCTTTCATATTTTACTAACCAAGTAGATCTGAGCTCTTCCAGTGATGTTTTTTGAGTTTACGAATAAGCTCACTGATAGGGACATAGTGTCTTTTCTCTGAACTTACGAACCCAGATATTGCAATACATCTTTTTGCTCTTGGGGGGCACATAAGTTACCCACATAAGGCATTTGTATAGCAGATAGTCCTAAAGATTTTTTAATTTATTGGGAGTGAATAGTATAGCAACACTATTTACAATTAAATATCAAACGTGCCTATCCTTCAAAATTGTTACATCACATCTCTTCCCATACTCTGGACTTTTGTATTCATGCCTTGTCACCCTCCTTCTTGTCTCTCTGGTAGATATTGCTACTTCTCCATGCCAAATATGATCAAGTCTCCTACCAACTTCAGAACAACTTCTCTCACTCTCCCTGTATTATACAAAGCAATCTGACCCTCCTCAGAGGCTATCTTCAGCCTCAGTTACAAGGCTGTATTTGCATAACCAAATGTAGTAGTGGGAAAGGAATTGAGAGATCACCTATGGCCAAAGATATGGGCCTTTTAGACAATCGTAAAGGTGTTAGGTTTTATTTCTAGCCAGATGGGAAGCTATAAGAGGGTTTTGAGAATAAGAGACAAATTAGCCCTAACATTTATTTTGACAGTATTACTCTGGATGACAAACAGAAAATTCTGTGGGAGAAAAAAGTAGTGGAAACAAGGAAACACTTTAGGAGGTTATTGCAATTATGCAGGCAAGGTGGAATGGAGGTTTGTATGAAGGTAGTTATTAGTAGTTGAGGTGGCGAAAAATTCACAGATTTAGAAATTGAAGATACAGCCCATAACATTTGCTTATGGACTGCATAGAGCACATGAAGGGGAAAAAAAGCCTTTTCAAGGTTTTTGGCCTCATCTGATGATATGGTTTGGCTCTGTATCCCCACCCAAATCTCATCTCAAATTGTAATCCCCATGTGTCAGAAGAGGTGCCTGGTGGGAGGTGATTGGTTCATGGAGGCGGGTTTCCCCTTTGCTTGTTCTCTTAATGAGTGAGTTCTCACAAGACCTGGTTGTCTGAAAAGATGTGGCACCTACCCCTTTGCTCGCTCTCTCTCCTGCCCTGCCATTGTGAGACCTGTTTGCTTTTCCTTCACCTTCTGCTATGATTGTAAGTTTCCTGAGGCCTCCAAGTCCTGCTTCTTGTTAAGCCTGTGAAACTGTGAGTCAATTAAATCTCTTTTCTTCATAAATTACCCAGTATCACGGAGTTCTTTATAACAGTGTGAGAATGAACTGATACAGAAAATTGGTACTAGGAAAGTGGAGCACTGCCATAAAGATACCTGAAAATGTGAAAGCAACTTTGGAACTGGGTAATGGGCAGAAGTTGGAACAGTTTGGAGGGCTTAGAAGAAGACAAGAAAATGTCAGAAAGTTTAGAACTTTCTAGAGACTTGGAGGCCTCAGAAGAAAGGAAGATGTGGGAAAATTTGGAACTTCCTAGAGACTTGTTGAATGGCTTTCACCAAAATGCTGATAGTGATAGGGAAAATAAAGTCCAGGCTGAGGTGGTCTCAGATGGAGATGAGGAAATTATTGGGAACTGAAACGTAGGTCACACTTGCTATGCTTTAGCAAAGAGACTGGTGGCGTTTTGCCCCTGCCCTAGAGATCTGTGGAACTTTGAACTTGAGAGAGATGATTTAGGGTACCTGGTTGAAGAAATTTCTAAGCAACAAAGCATTCGATAAGTTACCTGTTTCTAGAAGTGTACAGTCATATTTGTTCACAAAGAGGTAATCTGAAATTGAAGCTTATGTTTAAAAGGGAAGCAGAGCATAAACGTTTGGAAAATTTGCGGTGTGACCATGTGGAATAAAAGAAAAACCCATTTTCTGGAGAAGAAATTTAAGCCTGCTGCAGAAATTTGCATAGGTAATGAGGAGCAGGATGTTAATAGCCAAGACAACAGGGAAAATGTCTCCAGGAAATGTTAGAGTTCTTCACAGCAGCCCCTCCCTTCATAGGCCCCCAGGTGTAAGAAGGAAAATTTGTTTCCTGGTTTGGGCCCAGGGCCCTGCCACTCTGTGCAGCCTTGCAACATGACACCCTCCATCTCAGCCACTCCAGCTCCAGCCATGGCTAAAATGGGACAAGGTACAGCTCAGGCCATTGCTCCAGGGGGTACAAGCCCCAAGCCTTGACAGCTTCCATGTGGTGTTGGGCTTGCAGGAATGCAGAAGGCAAGAATTGAGGTTTGGGAACCTCCACCTAGATTTCAGAGGATGTATGGAAATGCCTGGATGTCCAGGCAGAAGTCTGCTGCTGGGGCAGAGCCTTCATGGAAAACCTCTGCTAGGTCAGTGAGGAGGAGAAATGTGGGGTTGGAGCCCCCACACAGAGTCTCCACTAAGGCACTGCCTACTGGAGCTGTGAGAAAAAGGCCACCATCCTCAAGACCCCAGAATGCTAGATCCACTGACTGCTTGCACTGTGCAACCAAGAAAGCCACAGGCATTGAACACCAACCCATGAAAGCAGCCATGGGGACTGAACCCTGCAGAGTGACAGGGGCAGAGCTGCACAAGGGCATGTGAGCCCACCCCTTGCATAACATTCCCTGGATGTGAGACATGGAATCAAAGGAGATTATTGTGGAATTTTCAGATTTAATGACTGCCCGGCCTGGTTTTGGACTTGCATTGGGCCTGTGACCCCCCTTTTTTGGCCAATTTCTCCCATTTGTAACAAGCGCATTTACCCAATACTTGTACCCTCACTGTATCTTGGAAATAATTAACTTGCTTTTGATTTTACAGGCTTCTAGGCAGAAGGGTCTTGCCTTGTCTCAGATGAGACTACGGACTTGGACTTTTGAGTTAATACCAGAATAAGTTAAGACCTTGGGGGACTGCTGAAAAGGCATGATTGGTTTTGAAATGTGAAAAGGACGTGAGATTTGAGAGGGGCCATGGGCAAAATGATGTGGTTTGGCTCTGTGGCCCCACTCAAATCTCATAAAGATGAAATATAATAATGTAATCCTCAGGTATTGAAGGTGGGGCCCAGTAGGGAGTGACTGGATCATACGGGCAAATTTCCTCCTTGCTGTTCTTGCGATAATTGAGAGAGTTCTCACAAGATCTGGTTGTTTGAAAATGTGTAGCACCTCCCACTTCACTCTCTCGCTCTCCTGCTCCACCATGTTAAGATGTGCTTGCTTCTCCTTTCCTGAGGCCTTCAAGTCATGCTTCCTTTTAAGCCTGCAGAACTGTAAGTAAATTAAACCTCTTTAATTCATCAATTACCCAGTCTTAGATAGTTCTTTATAGCATTGTGAGGATGGACTAATACATCTGGCAATACTTGAAGTGGACACTGCTATGAAAAGGCAGATTGGGAAAATGGTTGAATCAAAAGTTTGGTGAAAACTTACTGAGTTTTAGGATGTGTTAGATATTGCATTGGAGATGTTGAATAGAAAATTGAATATGAGGTTCAGGAGATAGGTTCAGGATAAAGATTAAATGTGGCAATCCTAATAATATAGATACTAGTTAAAGGCTTGAGATTGGACGAGATCATCTATGGAGATGAGTAAAGAGAGGAAAGAGAGTAGGTCTTCAAGCTAATACAGAAGGCACTTTAATGTTTAGACATCAAGACAAGAGGGTAGAAAGTTGAAATAGACAATGAATGTATAGAAGAACCAGTAGAAGTGGTGTTCCTGAAGCCATGTAAAGAAAGTTGTTCAAGAAGATTAGAAGGATTTATTGAATCAGAGGTTACTAAAAGGTTTAGTAAGATGACAACTAGGATTTAGCAATTGAGTTGGTCAGCTAATTGCTTTGACAACAGCGCAGTTGGTGAAATGGCAGAGTTTAAAATCTGATTGGAGTGCATACAAGAGAAAATTTAAGGGAATTAAGGGCAGATAATACACATAGATAACTCTTTGGACGAAATATGCTATTAGGAGAAAAAAATGTAGTGAATGTTGATTAGGAGATGTGAAATTATGAGAAGTTTCAGATTTTTAAAAATTTGTCTCAGCTGTTAATTTGTTTGATGGGAGATATAGTGTATTAATGTGCTAATGGGTTTGGTTTAGAAGATAGATAGTGAAAATTTTGGTGTAATAAAAAGGAGCAATTGCAGGAAAGAAGGCCTTGAGTGGAGAGGTAATAAAATAATACCTTCCACTAATGTTTGTGTTAGATATAGGTAAAGGAGAAAAATTTAAAAGCCCATCCTAGAGGCTTAATAAAGCCTGACTATTATTATTGTCTAGCAACTTGCATATATTATTCATTCTCATTCTGGTAAACTAACTAAAACAATATTTTTTTATCTGGGAATTAAAATAGTTGAAAATAAGTTTAACAAACTTATGAGAGTTATTGGCAATTGTCACCCTCACTTTCACTGCTGGTATTGATTCTCTCAAGGAGGAACTCAGAAGAGAACAGCCTGGGGCAAAGTGACCGTTGAGCCTAAACATCTCCTGCAGAGTGGCTTCCATGTGGTTTCATTCCAGCATGGCACATGTATACATATGTAACTAACCTGCACAATGTGCACATGTACCCTAAAACTTAGAGTATAATAAAAAAAAAAAAAAAACATTAAAAATAAAAAAAAAAAAAAAAAAAAAAGAAAATTGAAGGTTGTGGGAGGATGGGGTGAGACTTAAATACTGAAGCATTCAGCATAACTCCTTCCTTTAAGACGAGACTTGGATTTTCAGAACCATTGAAGCCCATTTCGTTGGCCTCCATTCTAAGTTTTTATTGTTGTTGTTGGTTTGTTTAATTTGTAGACAACCATGCCTAAAATAAGCTTAACCTACCAGGTAGTAAGCTTGAAATAATGCTACTCCATAATGAAAGTCATTGCTAATGGACAAGCAGAGGGTTGGCTCTTAAATTGCAGAGTTTTCAAGGACTTTCTATGGACTCCAGATGTAATTCCAAACTGGTTTTTCAGTAAGTCAGAAAAGACTTAAAATGGCCTATTTCCCCTGTTCTTTGTAGCAATTTACTCTAAGTACTGATTATTTTGTCAAGCCTTTTGAGCTCAAAGCTCTCACTATAATATCTTCAGCCTTGATGGACTGTGGTTAGAGGAGTAAGTGCTAGAAATGAAATGTCTTGTTTATTTAAGAAAAGAATCAAAAGTGAAACAGGGCTTGCTCTGTATGGGGAAAACTGAGTAAATGCTGATGAGCAATAATTGGGAGCCTTTATTTTCATATGAAAAATCTAATACAGAAAATCCCCACTGACACAGAATGGCAAGGCAAATGATTTCATTATAGAGTAAGGAATATCTTTAAAGTGGAAAGATCTCTCTTTATATTTTCTTCAGAAGTTTTAAGAAGAGGCACATATAAAGTATAAATCTATCATCCTTTATTCTCCTGAGGTTAGTGAAGGGGTTGCCTCTTAAAGAAGTGGTGTATTCTTAGTACTCTTAAGTTTTTCATCTTGTGGAGTTTCTCTTTAAAATTTAAGTAATACATTTTTAGAAATTGGACTGATGACAAAAAAATCTTGACTATTTGTTATCGATGATTATTATGACAGATATCAAATATTTCAGTAATATTTTAAACATTAATTTAATTGAAAGTTGTATCTGAAATAGCATTTCTTGAATAATACCACAACTAAGAGGGCAGTTGTTCACATATTCTGCAAAACAATAGTTACTAAAACAATGCAAGATATCATGGATCTCATTTACTGTGATTATGTATGTTGGAAAAAGGACTGCTTATTTCTACTTCATAATTATTGTTAAGCCCTTTATTATGTACTCAATGTGATACTATGTAGCACTGAGGAAACAAGGGGAAAAGAGATGAAATGGCAAGAATAACAAAAAATTGATGTAATTTGTTTTTTACTTAAAGATCTACAAGACAACAGTCAATTTGTTGACACCTAAACCATATTACCCATTGAACTGAGAACCAATATAAGCTTGCATTTATTCATCTTGCACATATATATTGAACCATGATTCTTGTCCTTAAACTATCTTAGCAAAAATGATAGTAACAATGAAAAATCATTAGCCCCCTGAATTCACTGTCTAGTGGAGTTCTAACATGGGTTAGCCGTGTGACTACTGCTATGGTTTGGATATGGTTTGTTTGTCCCCACCAAATCACATGTTGAAATTTAATCCCCAGTGTGGTGGTCTTTGAAGGTGGGGCCTGGGGAGAGGTGTTTCAATCATCACCGGGGTAGATCTCCCATAAATAGATGCTCCCCCTGGGAGGAAAGGAGCTCTTGCTCTATTTGTTCCAGAGAAAGCCAGTTGTTAAAAAAACCCCTCACTTTCCCCCTCCTCTTGCTTCCTTTCTCATTATGTGATCTCTGCACGCACTGGCTCCCCTTTTCCTTCTGCTGTGAGTGGGAGCATCCTGAGGCCCTCACCAGATACACAATCTTGAACCTTCCAGCCACCATAACTCTGAACCAAATGAACTGTTTTTCTTCATAAATTACCCAGCCTCAGGTATTCCTTTACAGTAACACAAAACAGACTATGACAACTGCAAGTTAAAGGTATTTCTGCTAAAAGGTGATGCACAGGTTCCCAGAAAAATTTTATCTTTGTCAGATTGTGCACTCAATATAGCAGTGTTTATAGGAACAAAACATAATATTGGGCAGATCACTCCCAACTTATACAAATCTATAATCAGAACACTTAACAAAAACATTTGCAATCCCAATAAAAAATTCCTGAAATAATTAAAATATTTGATTTTGTAGTTAATAAATGCTACAGAAAATGTAGGACTTTATGTTAATCATTTGGGAAGATGAGTGTTATTTGATAGAATGGGATATAAAGAAAAATTGAGGCTGTGGAGTTATGGAAACAAAGAAAATTGCACAGGGGTAAGGAAGAATTGCATAATCAGTCTTCCAGCCAGATCATGTGGCCAAACTAAGTGTATTAGTCGTTTCTCATATTGCTATAAAGAACTACCTGATACTGGGCAATTTATAAAGAAATGAGGTCTCATTGACTTACAGCTCCACAGGCTGTACAGGAAGCATGGCTGCGGAGGTCTCAGAAAACTTACAATCATGACTGAAGAGGGGAAGGGAAACAAGCACCTCTTCACATGGCAACAGGAGGTAAGGGAAGTGCTATAGACTATTAAACAACCATATCTCATAAGAACTCTGTCACAGGAACAGCAAGGGGGAAGTCCACCCCCATTATTCAATAAATCTCTCACCAAGCTCTGCTCAACATATGGAGATCACAATTTTTTTTTAATTTTAAAATACTTTATTACTAAAAATTGCTAATGATTATCTGAGCCTTCAACAAGTCATAATCTTTTTGCCAGTGGAGGGTCTTCAATGTTTGCCACATTGATTAATTTTTTCTTTCAAGAAAGATTTCTCTATAGCATGCAGTGCTGTTTGACAGCATTTTATCCACAAATTTCAAAATTGCAGTAAATCCTCCCAACTGTGCTGCTGCTTTATCTAAGTTTATGTAATATTCTGAATCCTTTGTTGCCATTCCAACAATGTTCCCAGCATCTTAACCAGGAATAGATTCCATTCAAAAAAACCAGTTTCTTTACTCATCTATAAGAAGCAACTCCTCATCCATTCAAGTTTTTTTATGAAATTGCAGCAATTCAGTCACATCTCCGGGCTGCAATTCTTATTTGCATTCTGTTGCTATTTCTATCACATCTGCAGTGACTTCCTCCACTAAAGTCTTGAAACCCTCAAAGTCATTCATAAGGGTTGGAATCAACTTCTTCCACACTTCTGTTAATACTGCCATGTTGACACCTTCCATGAATCATGGTATCTAGAATAGAGAATCCTTTCCAGGAAGTTTTCAATTTACTTTGCCCAGATCCGTCACAGGAAGTACTATCTATGGTAGCTAGAGCTTTTCAAAATGTATTGCTTAAATAATAAGATGTGAAAGTCAAAATTGTTTCTTGGCCCATGGGCTGAAGAATGAATACTGTTAGCAGGCATGAAAACATTAATCTCCTTGTATATCTTTATCAGAGCTCTTGGGTAACCAGAATCATTTTTTCTGAGCAGTAGGCCTCAACAGTGGGATTAAAGTATTCAGTATACCATGCTTTCATCTAGGCTTTGCTGTTTCATTTATAGAGCAGAGAAAGAGCAGAGTTCGCATAATTTGTAAGGGCTCTAAACTTTTTTAGGCATTTTATTTTATTTATTTATTTTTTCTATTTTACTTTAAGTTCCGGGACACATGTGCAGAATGTGCAGGTTTGTAGCATAGGTATACATGGGCCATGGTGGTTTGCTGCACCTATCAACCTGTCATCTAGATTTTAAGCTCTGTATCCATTAGGTATTTTTCCTAATGCTTTCCCTACCCTTGCATCCCACCCCCTAATAGGCCCTGGTGTGTGTTGTTCCCCTCCCTGTGTCCATGTGTTCTCATTGTTCAACTCTAACATGAGTGAGAACATGTGGTGTTTGGTTTTCTGTTACTCTGTTAGTTTGCTGAGGATGATGGCTTCCAGCTTCATCCAAGTCCCTGCAAAGGACATGATCTCATTCCTTTTTATGGATGTGTAGTATTCCATGGTGTATATGACCACATTTTCTTTATCTGGTCTAACATTGATGGGCATTTGGGTTGTTTCTATGTCTTTGTTATTGTAAATAGTGCTGTAATAAGCATACGTGTGCATGTATCTTTATAATATAATGATTTATATTCCTTTGGGTATATACTTAGTAATGGGGTTGCTGGATCAAATGGTATTTCTGGTTCTAGATCCTTGAGGAATTCCACAATGGTTGAATTAATTTACATTCCCACCAACAGTGTAGAAGTGTTTCTATTTCTCCACAGCCTCACTAGCATCTTTTGTTTCTTGACTTTTCAGTAATTGTCATTCTGATTGGCATGAAATGTTATCTCATTATGGTTTTGATGTGCATTTCTCTAATGATCAGTGATGTTGAGCTTTTTTTCATGTTTCTTGGTCACATAAATGTCTTATTTTGAGAAGTTTTTGTTCATATCCTTTACCCACTTTTTGATGGTTTGTTGTTGTTGTTATTGTACATTTGTTTAAGTTCCTTGTGGATTCTGGATATTAGACCTTTGTTGGATGGGTAGATTGCAAAAATTTTCTCCCATTCTGTAGATTGCCTTTTCATTCTGGTGATAGTTTCTTTTGCTATGCAGAAGCTTTTTAGTTTAATTTGATCCCATTTGTTAATTTTGGCTTTTGTTGCAATTGCTTTTGGTGTTTTCATGATGAAATCTTTGCCTATGCCTATGTCCTGAATGGTATAGCCTCAGTTTTCTTCTAGGGTTTTTATGATTTGGGGTTTTGCATTTAAGTTGTTAATCCATCTTGAGATAATTTTGTATAAGGTGTAAAAAAGGGCTCCAGTTTCAGTTTTCTGCATATGGCTAGCCGGTTTTCTCAGCACCATTTATTAAACAGGGAATCCTTTCCCCATTGTTTGTTTTTGTCAGGTTTGTCAAATATCAGATGGTTGTAGATGTGTGGTGTTAGTTCTGAAGTCCCTGTTTTGTTCCATTGGTCTATATGTTTGTTTTTGTACCAGTACCATGCTGTTTTGGTTACTATAGCCTTTTAGTGTAGTTTGAAGTCAGGTAACATGATGCTTCCAGTTTTGTTCTTTTTGTTTAGGATTGTCTTGGTTATACAGGCTCTTTTCTGGTTCCATATGAAATTTAAAGTAATTTTTTTCTAATTCTGTGAAGAATGTCAATGGTAGTTTAATGAAAATAGCATTGAATCTATAAATCCTTTTGGGTAGGATGGCCATTTTCATGATACTGATTCTTCCTATCCATAAGGATGGAATGATTTTTCATTTGTTTGTGTCCTCTCTTATTTCCTTGAGCAGTGGTTTGTAGTTCTCCTTGAAGAGGCCCTGCATGTCCCTTGTTAGCTGTATTTCCAGGTATTTATTTTCTTTGTAGCAATTGTGAATGGGGGTTCATTCATGATTTGGCTCTCTGCTTGTGTATTGTTGGTAGGTAGGAATGCTTGTGATTTTTGCACATTGATTTCATATCCTGAGACTTTGTTGAAGTTGCTTATCAGTTGAAGAGTTTTTGTGTTGAGGTGATGTGGTTTTCTAAATAAACAGTCATGCCATCTGCAAACAGACAATTTGACTTCCTTTCTTCCTATTTGAATACACTATACTTTTCTCTCTTGCCTGATTGCCCTGGCCAGAACTTCCAATACTAAATTGAATAGGAGTGGTGAGAGAGGGCATCCTTGTCTTGTGCTGGTTTTCAAAGGAAATGGTTCCAGCTTTTGCCCATTCCACATGATAATGGCTATGGGTTTGTCATAAATAGCTTGTATTATTTGGAGATATGTTCCATCAATACCTAGTTTATTGAGAGTTTTTAACATGAAAGGATGTTGAATTTTATTGAAGGCCTTTTCTGTCTCTATTAGAATAATCAAGTGTTTTTTGTCATTGGTTCTGTTTATGTGGTGGATTACATTTATTGATTTGCGAATGTTGAATCAGCCTTGCATCCCAGGGATAAAGCCAACTTCATCATGGTGGTTTAAGCCTTTTAATGTGCTGCTGGATTCGGTTTGCCAGTATTTTACTGAGGATTTTTGCATTGATATTATCAGGAATATTGGCCTGAGTTTTCTTTTTTTGATGTATCTTTTCCAGGTTTTGGTCTCAGAATTATGCTGGCCTCATATAATGAGTTAGGGAGGAGTCCCTCTTTTTCAGTTGTTTCAAATAGTTTCAGAAGGAATGGTACCAGCTCCTCTTTGTTCTTTTGGTAGAATTCGGCCGTTAATCCATCTGGTTCTGGGCATTTTTTTTGTTTGTTTTTTGGTTGTTGGTTGGTAGGTTAATAATTACTGCCTCAATTTCAAAACTTGTTATTGGTCTATTCAGGGATTTGACTTATTCCTGGGAATAAGTATGTGTATGAAGGTGTTTTGGGGGAATAAGTATGCGAGGGTGTATGTGTCTAGGAATTTATCCATTTCTTTTAGATTTTCTAGTTTGCTTGAGTAGAGGTGTTTATAGTATTCTCTGATAGTAGTTTGTATTTCTGTGGGGTCAGTGGTGATATCCTGTTTATCATTTTTTATTGTGTCTATTTGATTCTTTTCTCTTCTTTATTAGTCTAGTTAGTGATATATTTTGTTAATTTTTTCAAAAAACAGCTCCTGGATTCATTTATTTTATTTATTTATTTTTTTTTGTTGGGGGGAGGGGACGGAGTCCCACTCTGTTGCCCAAGCTAGAGTGCGGTGGCACGCTCAGCTCACCGCAACCTCCACCTCCCCGGTTCAAGTGATTCTCCTGCCTCAGCCTCCTGAATAGCTGGAATTATAGGAACTTGCCACCATGCCCAGCTAATTTTTGTATTTTTAATAGACACAGGGTTTCACCACGTTGGCCAGGCTGGTCTTGAACTCCTGACCTCAGGTGATCTGCCTGCCTCGGCCTCCCAAAATGCTGGGACTACAGGCGTGAGCCACCACACCTGGCCTCATTGATGTTTTGAAGGGTTTTTCATATCTCTTTCTCCTTCAGTTCTGTTCTGATCTTATTTATTTCTCATTTTCTGCTAGCTTTTGGATTTGTTTGCTCTTGCTTCTTTAGTTCTTTTAATTGTGATGTTAGGGTGTCAGTTGGAGATCTTTCTAGCTTTCTGATGTGGCCATTTAGTGATATATAGATATCCTTCTTAAAACTGCTTTAGCTGTGTGCCAGAGATTCTAGTACGTTGTCTCTCTGTTCTCATTGGTTTCAAAGAACTTCTTGATTTCTGCCTTAATTTCCTTATTTACCCCCAAGTCATTCAGGAGCAAGTTGTTCAATTTCCACGTAGTTGTGTGGTTTTAAGTGAGTTTCTTAATCCTGAGTTTGATTTTCGTTGCACTGTGGTCTGAGAGACTGTTATTAATTCTTTTGCATTTGCTGAGGAGTGTTTTACTTCCAATTATGTGGTCAGTTGTAGAATAAGTGCCATGCGGCACTGAAAAGCATGTATATTCTGTTCATTTGGGGTGGAGAGTTCTGTAGATGTCTATTAGGTCCACTTGATCCAGGGCTGAGTTCAAGTCTTGAATATCCTTGTTAATTATTGGTCTCAAGCTGTCTAATATTGACAGTCGGGTGTTAAAGTCTTCTACTGTTATTGTGTGGGAGTCTAAGTCTCTTTGTAGGTCTCTAAGAACTTGCTTTATGAATCTGGGTGCTCCTGTATTGAGTGCATATATATTTAGGATAGTTAGCTCTTCTTGTTGAATTGATTCCTTTACCATTACATTATACCCTTCTTTGTCTTTTTGATGTTTGTTAGTTTAAAGTCTATTTCATCAGAGGCTAGGATTGCAACCCCTGCTTTTTTCTGCTTTCCATTTACTTGGTAAATTTTCCTCCATCCCTTTATTTTTGAGCCCATGTGTATCTTTGTGCATGAGATGGCTCTCCTGAATACCGCACATTGATGGGTCTTGACTCTTTATTCAATTTGCCAGTCTCTGTCTTTTAATTGGGCCGTTAAAACCATTTACATGTACTGTTAATATTGTTATGTGTGAATTTGATCCTGTCGTCATGATGCTAGTTGGTTATTTTGCACACTAGTTGATGCAGCTTCTTCATCATGTCATTGGTTTTCATATTTTGGTGTGTTTTTGCAGTGGCTGGTATCAGTTTTTTCTTTCCATATTTTTAGTGCTTGCTTCAGGAGCTCTTGCAAGGAAGGCCTGGTAGTGATGAATTCCCTCAGCATTTGCTTGTCTGGAAAGGATTTTATTTCTCTTTCACTTATGAAACTTAGTTTGGCTGGATATGAAATTCTGGGTTGGAAATTCTTTTCTTTAAGAATGTTGAATATTGGCCCCCACTCTCTTCTGGCATGTAGGGTTTCTGCTGAGAAATCCACTGTTAGCCTGATGGGCTTCCCTTTGTCGGTGACCTGGCCCTTCTCTCTGGCTGCCATTAACATTTTTTCCTTCATTTCAACCTTGAAGAATCTGATGATTATGTGTCTTTGGGTTGATCTTCTTGTGGAGTATCTTAGTGGTGTCTGTATTTCCTGAATTTGCATGTTGGCCTGTCTTGCTAGGTTGGGGAAGTTCTCCTCGATAATATCCTCAAGTGTGTTTTTCAACTTGGTTCCATTCTCCCCATCTCTTGCAGGTACTCCAATTAATCACAGGTTCGGTCTTTTTACATAATCCCATATTTCTTGGAGGTTTTGTCCATTCTTTTTCATTCTTTTTTCTCTAATCTGGTCTGCATGCCTTATTTAAGAAAGATGGTCTTCAGACTCTGATATCCTTTCTTCCACTTGATTAATTCGGCTATTGATACTTGTGTATGATCCACAAAGTTCTCATGCTGTGTTTTTCACTCCATCAGGTCATTTATGTTCCTCTCTAAACTGCTTATTGTAGTTAGCAGTTCCTGTAACCTTTTATCAATGTTCTTAGCTTCTTTGCATTGGGTTAGAACATGCTTCTTTAATTCAGTGGAGCTTGTTATTACCCACCTTCTGAAGCCTATTTCTGTCAATTTGTCCATCTTATTCTCCATCCAGTTCTGTGCTCTTGCTGGAGAAGTGTTGTGATCATTTGGAGGAGAGAAAAGGCATTCTGGCTTTTGGAATTTTCAGCATTTTTGCATTGTTTTTTCCTCATCTTTGTGGATTTATCCAACTTTGATCTTTGAGGCTGATGACCTTTGGATGGGGTTTTTGTGGAGGAAGCTTTTTTGTTGATGTTGTTGTTATTTCTGCGTCTCTGTGTTAGTTTTTCTTCTAACAGGCCCCTCTTCGGCACGTCTGCTGCAGTTTGCTGGGGGTCCACTCCAGACCCTGTTCGCCTGGGTATTACAGGTGGAGGCTGTAGAACAGCAAAGATTGCTACCTGCTCTTTCCTCCGGAAGCTTCATCCCAGAGGGATACTGGCCTGTTGCCAGCCAAAGCTCTCCTGTATGAGCTGTCCGTAGACCCCTGTTGGGAGGCCTCTCCTTGTCAGGAGGCATGGGGTCAGGGACCCACTTGAGGAGGCAGTATGTCCCTTAGCAGAGCTGGTGCGCTATGCTGGGAGAATGCCCCTTGTCAGGATCAGCCACTCTCTTCAGAGCCCGTGGGCAGGAAAGATTAAGTTCACTGAACCTGAGTCTGCACCGGCCCCTCCCCATAGGTTCTCTGTCCCAGGGAGTTGAGAGTTCTTTCTGTAAGCCCCTGACTGGAGCTGCTGGATTTCCTGCAGAGATGCCTCACCCAGTGAGGAGGAATCTAGAGAAGCAGTCTGGCCATAGTCGCTTTGCTGCACTGGGGTGAATTCTGCCCAGTCCAAACCTCCCAGTTTCCTTAGCTGTCAGGGGAAAACCACCTACAAAAGCCACAGTAATGGCGGTCTCCCCTCCCCTCACCAAACCTGTTCCCGGGTGGACTCCAGACTGCTGCGCTGACAGTGGGAATTGCAAGCCAGTGGTTCCTAGCTTTCTGGGCTCCATGGGAGTGGGATCCACTGAACAAGACCACTTGGCTCCCTGGCTCAGCCCCCTTTCCGGGGGAGTCTACCGTTCTCCTGTCTCACTGGAGTACCAGGCGCCGCTGTAGTGTGAAAAAACTCGTGCAGCTCAGTGCCTGCCTGAACAGCCACCCAGTTTTGTGCTTGAAACCTGGAACCCTGGTGGTGTAGGCTCACAAGGGAATCTTCTGATCCGCGGACTGCGAAAATCCCTGAGAAAAAATGTAGCACCTCTGGCAGGTAAAACAGTCCCTCAGGGCTTCGTTGGTTGGGGAAGGGAGGTCCCCCGACTCCGTGCACTTCCCACGTGAAGCAATGCCCCACCCTGCTTCTGCTCCCTCTGTGGGTTACACCCATTGCCTAACTAGTCTCAGTGAGATCCACTGGGTACCCCAGTTGGAAATGCAGAAATCACCCGCCTTCTGCATTGGTCTCGCTTGGAGCTGCAGAACAGAGCTGTTTCTATTCAGCCATCTTGGCCCCTGGTGGGTCACAATTTGACAAGAGTTTTGGCTGGGGACACAGAGCCAAACCATATCCCTAAGTGAAGAGAAAGCATGAAGAATAATTAGGCACCTCTATAGTACTATATTTCTCTATGGCTTGCTATGTTCAGCTGTTCCAGTGTACTCTGCAAAATATGAGTATTCCAGGAAAAAATCATTTATGAACCAACACTATTTTTCTTATGCTGTCATTATTTCCTATTTGTCAAACACAAATGGGCTACTTTACATCTGAAAGACACATGTTGTACCAGAACTGATGATATACAGGAATGCAGAGAATGCTTAATAAGGAAGAGGTGTTTTAAACTAAGCCATTATAATGGAGTTTGAATAAATAAGAGATTAACCTCATATAGGAAAGACTAGTGTTGTCATTCAATACTAAACTATGGCACCATATGCATAACTGCAACTACATTACAAAGTGGTACCTATCTGGGTGAATTGGTAAATAAATAATTAGTTGTAAGTGTTTCAAGCAATTAAAAATTAAGAATCACTTTTTTGTGTGTGTCTAGAGCATTCCTAAAGTTTATAACCAGATACAATGGAGTATAAACCACAGAATTGTTTTCAACTTTAACTGGGATCTTGTCATCTTTGCTGTCCCCTTTCCTTACTACCCACCTCCTGATCACAAAGACCTGCCAATTCTACCTCCAAACCACACCCAATCTCCACAGTCATGACCTTTGTCCAAGGCAGCAGCATATCTTCCACCACTTACTATGATCTGATTGATACTTTCTCTACATGGCAGCCAGAACAATCTTCTGTAATGCAACTCTGGTCATGCTATTTCTCTGCTCTAAAGATCTAGACTGGTCATTAATAACATTTTTTGTAAAAGCTCCTTACCTTGGCTTATAAAGCTGCTTTCTTGCTGACTCTATGGCCTTATTGGATATTGCTCTTCTTTAATTTACTTCGCTACAGCCTCCCTATCCATTTTCCTCTTTATAAAGCATATCAATGTTATGCTCTCTTCAGGGCCTTTCCACTAGCTGCCCCCTCTATTTGAAACACTCATGTCTAGTTCTTCAATATGCCAGCTCTCTCTCATCCTTCAAAGTTCAACCTCAGAGGGGCTATCCTGACTCTTCTATCTATAGTGCCTTCTCTGGGACCTATAACAAACTCTCCATCATTCTTATATACTTTATTTGCCTCTTAGCCCTTAGTAACTAAATGAATGTGTCTTATTTATTTTATAAAATTGATATAATGATTATGTGTCTCCCTCACCCAGCTACATTTTGAAACTAGATTTTTAGCTCAACTAGGGCAAGGTTCTAATTTGTTTTGTTTACTATTACATCCCTATCACAGAGAACAATGTCTGGTAATACTAGTTTCTTAATAAATAATAAAGGTATAGTTTTCTCTCATGCTAAATGGGAAAATAATGCTTACTTTGCAGGATGGTTAAGAAGACTCTGACACACAGTACAGATGCTGTTTGCCAAAAATTTATTCACTTCATTGATTCCTTATGTCTAGAAATGTGTTCTCTTTTAAACTAATGCAATCATTATATATTAGTTGCCTAGGGTTGTCATAAGAAATTATCACAAATTTGGATGGCTGAAAACAACAGATATGTATTGTCTCTTAGGTCTAAAATCAAAATGTAAGCAGAAGCAGGCTCACTCTCTCTCTCTCTCTCTCTCATTTCTGGTGGTTGCTAGAAATCCTTGAAATGCCATAGTTTCTGGCAGCATGATTCCAATCTCTGACTCTGTCTTCAAATGGCTGTCTTCCTTCTCTGTGTGTGTGTATCTGTATCTCTGTTGTGTCTTCTTTTAAGGATGTCAGTCACTGGATGATGGCCTAGCCAATTCCGGCATGACCTCGTCTTTACTAGTTACATCTGCACAGACCGTATTTTCAAACAATGTCACATTCCAAGTTTCTAGGTAGGTATGAATATTTGGAGGGCATTATGCTACCCAGTAAAGATTATTTTCAATATTGTTATAAGTTCATTGAGAATAGGGACCGTGCATTTCTGCTCATTCTTGCATCCCCATGCTACCTAGCAGAGTTGTTTCCTGGATTTAATTAGATAGATATTTACTTATAATTTTGGAAAAAAAAATTTGTTGGTCAAGCAGCAAAGAAAGAGTGCATCTGCATTAAAATACTGAATGGAAACTGTTGTTTTATCAAGAGAAGGTAATAAGCCAGGTGGAGTGATTACTCATATGACAGGTGTATTTCCTCCAATAGGAAACTGTATAATTCAAAACTTAAGTTTGTATGTTCTCATCATTTAGCTCCCATTTATATGTGAGAATGCATGGTTGCATATAGGTGAACAACACACACTGGTGCCTTTTGAAGGGTGAAAGGTGAGAAGAGAAAGAAGATAAGGAAAAATAACTAATGGGTACTAGGCTTAATACCTGGGTGATGAAATAATCTGTACAACAAACCTCCATGGCACAGGTTTACCTATGTAACAAACTCACACTTGTAATGCTGAAATTATAATAAGTTTTTTAAACTTTATTTCATTAAATTTTCCATAGTGAGAACTCCCTTCTGCCAGCATATGTTCTAAGTACAGGAGATGTAGCAGTGTAAAGGACCAAGAGGATTTTGCTCACTTGAGCTTGTCAATTCAAATGGAAGCAGCCAATTGAGCAGTGGATGCACCTCACCTCACACTGCTTTCTATGTGCTGCCCACCGTGTTAGACCTTCCAAGGGTAGGTGCCATATTGCATTTCCCAGCATATCTTCTAAGTACAGGAGATCTAACAGCAAAAAAGACCAAGATAAATTTATCCATTTGGGCTTGTCAATTCTAAAGGAAGCATCCAAATGGACAAACGTGAATCTGCCTCACCTCACACTACTTTCTATGTGCTGCCCATGATAGTATACCTTCCAAAGTCAGTGCCATGTTGCATTTCTTTAGCTTTATAGCTCTCACAAGTACCTGGGCCAAGCTATCATCAGGAATTCTGGGAACTAGATACTTGATTTAGAAAGATTTAAGAAACTTGATTTAAAAATATTTTTGTGGTCATATTGTATTAGAGTGGCAAACAACATACAGAATATCTCTGATTCCCTCCCCTCACCCCCAGTGTCACAGTGCCCGGTAACATATTCAGAGTCTAGAAGTCTTGCTGTGGATTAAGTGTATTAATTATCTGACCTAGTATATTTTAAATGAAGCAAATTTTAACAAAGAGAGCACTCCTCTCCACCTCTCCCTTCCCTTGTTATTTTCATATGACATCTATTAACATATTTTCTCATGGAAATCCTTTGATAAAAACTGCTTCTGAACAAAACCCAAATCGTGCTGAGAATTCTGTTATCAATAAGAGTAAGTTCCTAATCCCATTCCTATTCTTTCCTCCCTCGCCTTGCATCTCCACTCCTTCCCCTTCCACTCAACTTACATGAGAATAGACCATTGAAATAAAATGCTGAATTATTCAATATAGTATGATAAGTACAGCAGGAGGAGGATAGAAATATATAAAATATTTAGAAGAAATAAGTTTTCTCTGCTTGAGAATATTAAATGTCTTGGGGAGAGGTTATTAGGGATATTTGAGTTGATTTGGAAGGAAATGCACCTGTGTGGAGGGGGGAGGGGAAGGGGCGGGGAACATCCAGGGAAAAGATACTGATGAACTAAATTAATATTGTGGTATTGGGAACAGAGAGGAGAGAAGACACTTGAGAAAGATGTAGAGGTTGAGTTACGGGTATTGATTGGCTGCATGGATAAGAGAATGAAGACAGAGAAATCAAAGATACCTCTAATTTGTCTGGCTTAAAGATTTAAGTGGGAGAATGGTGGAATCACTGGTCACAAGTTAGATGAGGAAGAATAAAAATAGTTTTAAGAAGGTTAACAATAAATCCAGGTTTTTGTATTGTTTATGTTACTCCAATATATATATCTTGAAGCCCTAGCCCCAGTATGGCTGTATTTGGAGATGGGGGCTCTAAGCAAGTAATTACAGTTAGATGAAGTTATGATACAATTCATCCAACAGAATTAGTGTCCTCATAAGAAGAGAAACCAGATAATTTTCTCTCCATATGCGTACACCTAGAAAAGGACATATGTGAACCCAGGGAGAAGACAGCCATCTGCAAGCCAGGAAGAGGGTACTCGCCAGAAACAAAATCTGCCACCACTATGATCATAGGTTTCAAGCCTCCAGAAGTGTGAGAAAATTAATGTCTTATTTAAGCTAGACAGTCTGTGCTAATTTGTTATAGCAGCCAAAGCAGACTAATACAAGTGTTTTGAATCTTACAAGTTTGTATGATACCAGGAGTAGGCATTTAGAGTTTGTGTCTGTACTTTGGAGGAAGGGCTAAGTTAAAGATAGAGATTGAGCAGTTGTAACTCTCTATGATTACAATCTCCCCAGAAAAGAAAATGGAATTGTAGAGATCTGGGAAATACCAGCATGACACAGAGCGACATGCTAGCTTCTTCAGGACAAGGCATCTCAAACTTTAATGTGCATATAAGCCAACTGAGGATCTTGTTGAAATGAACATTCTTATTTGCTACACTCAGTGCAGTGCATTTTGTTTTTGAGACAGAGTCTCACTCTGTCACCCAGGCTGGAGTGCAATGGTGTGATCTCGGCTGATTGCAACCTCTGCCTCCCGGGTTCAAGTGATTCTTATGCCTCAGACCCCCGAGTAGCTGGAATTGCAGGTGCGTGCCACCATGCCTGACTAATTTTTGTATTTTTAGTAGAGATGGGGTTTCACCATGTTGGTCAGCATGGTCTGAAACTCCTGACCTCAAGTGATCCACCTTTCTCAGCCTCCCAAAGTGCTGGGATTACAGGCATGAGCCAGAGATTCTGCATTTCTAACAAACTTTCAGTCCACTGCTGCCTACCTAAGGACTACTCTTGAGTAGCAAATTTTTCGGAGATAGGACTTTTTATAAACACAGGTCTCTTGCACAGGCACAACCTACATAAGGGGAGTCTGTAAAGACTCTAAAAGGTGTAAAAAGAAAAACATTAAAACAGTTTATAATAACAAAATAAAAAGAAGAAGAAACTCCTATAAAAAGACACAAAATGTCATGAAAAAACAAGTCAATGAACCAGTGGGTCTTTGCCTCAGGTTCCTAAGTGGAGATCTCTACCACGTACATTATTTCTAAAATTTTGATCTATCAGCCATCTTCTGGAGATACTAGAACTTCTTGTATCTCTCTTTAAGAAA
Source organism: Homo sapiens (assembly GCF_000001405.40). NCBI lineage: Eukaryota > Metazoa > Chordata > Mammalia > Primates > Hominidae > Homo > Homo sapiens. The sequence goes on along the minus strand of NC_000011.10, from coordinate 41,059,375 downwards.
GCTATAATACCTGTTTATCAAGTTTCTCTGTGTTTATCTTTCTCATCTTCCTTTGTGTTAGATAAGGAACGTATCTAAGTTTTTTGTTGTTGTTGTTGTTTATTTGTCATCAAAACTTAGGACCTTAAACAAGTTCTTTCTCTTTTTCTTAAAAAAAAAAAAAAACTTTTATTTTAGTATCAGGAGTATATGTGCAGATTCCTTATATAGGCAAATTTTATGTCATTAGGGTTTGGTGCTGATTATTTCATCATCTAGGTAATAAGCATAGTATCTGTTAGGTAGTCTTTTTTTCTTTACCCTGCTCTCAACTTCTACCCTCAAGTCAGCCCTGGTGTCTATTGTTCCCTAGTTTGTGTCCATATGCACTCATTGTTTAGCTTCTACTTATAAGTGAGAACATGCAGTATTTGGTTTTCCATTCCTGCATTAGTTCCCTTAGAATAATGGCCTTCAGCTTCATTCACATTCCTGCAAACAACATGATCTCCATTTTTATGGCTGCATAATATTCGATGGTGTATAATCACCATATTTTCTTTATCCAGTCTACCATTGATGGGCATTTAGGTTGATTCCATGTCTTTGTTATTATGAATAGTGATGTGATGAACATATATGTGCATGTTTCTTCATGGTAGAAAAATTTATATTCCTTTGAGTACATTATCAATAACAGGTTGCTGGGTTGGATGGTAGGTTCTGTTTTAATTTCCTTGAGGAATCACCAAACTACATTCCACAGCAGCTGAAATAGTACACATTCCCATCAGTGTTACAGGATATTTGGGGTATTTATTTTCTGGCCAGAAACCTCTGTGGCCAGTGGCACCTTTGCCCAAGTTTAGCTTAGGCCCACTGGGCTCCTTTCGCCCACTTGGCCTAGCAGGCTGTGCTTGGCTCACACTACCTGCTTGGGTCCCATGCCTGCCAAGGGCAAGTCAGGCATGGAACAGTAAGGGGTGCATGAGTGAGCCTGAGTTCCAGCCACTGCACACAGTCATATGTGCAGTGGGGCAGGCAGCTACAGGTGCTGGCATGGGCACTGGCTCTTTGCGAGGCTGCAGCCAGACCAGCTGCACCACAAGCAGCTTCCACGGCTGGCACTGGGGAACACGGTGGTTCCTGGAAGCATGGAGATGCCAGGAACTGCAGGCCCCAAAGGGGGGAGTCACAGCCCTGGCTGAGGGAGCTCCCAGGTCTGGGGTCCCTGAAGAATCGCAGTTCTTCTTTCCTTCTCTTTGCTCACAGCATGGCAAGCCAGGAGGATGTCTCAGCCCTGTTTGTTTTACAGTTCTTTTATCCTCACCATTCAGTGGGTCCCAAGTTCTTGTCCTGTGAAAAGGAAGAATGAGGTACGCAGACAAGTAGAGGGTGAGCAAGATGAAGGGGAGCCTTACTGAGTGATAGAACAGCTCAGAGGAAAACCACAGGGGCAGCTCCTTTCTGTTCCCAGGGTGTTCCAAGGAGTGTTCGGCTCCTAGCAGAGAGGGTAGCTCCTCTCGGCTACACAATTCATCCTGACAGATGTTCAGCTATCAGCAGAGCAGAGACGGTAGCTCCTTTCTGCAGCTGGTTGTCCCATTATCTGTGCAGCACTCAGCAGAGAGGAGACCCTAGAGGGAATGGCTTCTCTCTGCAGGCATGTCATCCTGATATCTCTGCAACTGTCAGCAGAGAGGAGGCCCTAGGTTGGGTTGCTCTTCTCTGCAGCTGGTTGTCCTGAAGTCTGCTCAGCTCTGGCTGAGTCCAGGGCTTCTATGGGCCACAGAGGGGAGGCAGTGCATGCCTATTGGTCCATGGGCAGGCCCAGAAAAGGCACCTCAAGTTCCCAATCTGGTCTGTGGGACTGGCAGCCTGGCACCCAATTTTCAGGCCCTCCCTGGCCTGAAGATGGGGCCTTAGGGGGCCCGCCCCCTTCCACCCAGGAACCTGTCTGCTTCCTGCTGCTGTTCATGGTGCCCAGGCTATAGGTGTCGAGAGGTATCTGCAGGCCAGTGCAGAGCTGCTCTCAGCCCCTGCTCAGCTTCCCTCCTATGCTTATCAGTGCCCAAAGTTTGGAGGGTCTTAGGCGGCAAGGGACTGGTGTTTCAGCACTGCCTCGAGTGTGTGAACACCCAGCTGGGCTGTGAGAGTACCCAGGCTTTGTCCCAACTTTGCTACAGGATTAGAGCGGGCACAAATAGCAGGGAGAAGCCAAGCAGCGGGAGCAGGCATTTCCAAGCCTGCGAAGGTCGGGGAATGGGGGGCGGCGTTTCTGGGCCCCTGAGAGTACAGAGATGCCTGGGTCCATAGCCATGATTCGAGCAGCTGCAGCTTTGCCCTGGAGGGTGGGGCTCCTGCCTGCTCTTGGAACAAAGAGCACAGGGATGTCCAGTTTGCAGCCATGGCTTGGGTGGCTGCAGTGGCACCTGGTAAGCTCCTGCCTCTACTGAGTAGGGGTGGGGTTCCCACTTGTCCCTGACTCCTGCTGGCTCCATGAAGCATGCAGCAGCCCTGGCCAAGCTTCCTTGTAGCAGCTGGTGTGATGGCAGTGGCTGCTCCAGATGGCCCATCACTGCCATTACCAGCAGTATATGTGTTCCCTTTTCTCCATAACCTTGTCAGCATCTGTTATTTTTTAACTTTTTAATATTAGCCACTCTGACTGGTATGATATGGTATCTCATTGTGGTTTTGGTTTGCATTTATCTAATGATTAGTGGTATCGAGCATTTTTTTTACATGTTTGTTGACCACATAGATGTCTTCTTTTGAAATGTGTCTGTTCATGTCTTTGCCCACTTTTAAATGGGGTTGTTTGTTTTTCTGCTTGTTAATTTAAGTTCCTTATAGATTCTGGATATTTGACCTTTGTCAGATGCATAGTTTGCAAATATTTTCTCTCAATCTGTAGGTTGTCTGTTTAATCTGTTGATAATGTCTTTTGATGTGCAGGAGCTCTTTAGTTTAATTAGGTCTCACTTGTCAATTTTTGTTTTTATTGTAATTGCTTTTGATGTCTTTCTCATGAAATCTTTGCCTGGTTCTATGTCCAGAATAGTATATCCTAGAATTGTTACTTTTCAAGGGTTTTTATAGTTTTAGGTTTTACTTTTAAGTTCTTTAGACCTGTGCATTTGTCTTGGATTGTGAGGGCTGGAGTCATATTTAAGAAAGACTTAATGAATTGGGCATTGAGCTTGGAAGGGTGCGAATGTGTCTTCCTCTAAGAAGCACACATTTCTGCAAAGTGATATTAGTTTTTTTCATTCTTGGGTGTGGGAGTGATTGATATTTCTAGAGTGATATTTTGAGACACTTTACATAAATAAATAGAAATTTTACCTGAGGACCCATGATCTTGTGTACATGTAACTAACACTTCTTAATGCCAGTGGCTGTCCTTCAGTGGAATAACCTGAAAGAAAATATGCATTAAAAGCATATAATTTATATTTAGGAAAATCTTCAACCTTATTTTTTCTATTTGAGGTAGGGGTTGATGGCAATGTATAAGAACTGGACTATAGCTTATAGGTTTTTAACAGCCTAACACCTCTCTCCTAATGTGAGTTGGGTAAGCACTAGAGAGTTAAGTAATTTTCCTACTGCCACATAACTAGATCTTCTATTCTTTACTGTAGCATATTTTATTCTTGTAAAGAATGTTATCCCACAAAAGCATACGTATAGTCTGTATAAATTCAACCCCCTTTACAGAGACATAATTTTGTAAGTGTTTGATATAAAATTTATGGATAAGAGACTAGCTGTCTGGATGCAACAAGAGTTGATGTATAAATCAACCTCATTAGGAACTGAAAAGATGCAAATTAAAATCAAAGTTCAATACTATTACAGACATGAAAAATTAAAATTTGAAAATTTTGATTATTCCATGAGTTGGTTAAGATGTAGACTCTCTGCAGCTCTTTTACACTACCTGTATGCTTATAAGAGTATAAATTGGATTACCCAATTGGCAGACTCCACTAAGGCTGACCATACTAATCTCCATGTTTATAATAGCTTTATTTGTAAATGCCCCAAGCTGGAAACAACTCAAAAGGAGAATAAATAAATAAGTTATGCTGTATTTAAACAATGGCATAATATAGAGAAATGGCAATAGACTAGCACTACCTTCAAAAGCAAGGATGACTCACACTAAAGAAAGAACCAGACACCACAAGAGTAGATAAAATGGGATTCATTCACAAAAAAAATTTAAATAAAATTAATTTGTGGTATTATAAGTCAGGATAATGATAACCTCTGAGGAAAAGGGAGGCTAGAGAAATTGGAAGGTTAAAAGAAGAGGGCTTCTGAGGTTCTGGTATTTTTCTATTTCCTGATTCTTGTGGCAGTTACACGGAAGTGTTCACTTTGTGATAATTTTCCAAGCTGTACACTTATTATTTCTGTATTTTTTTGTGTATATATGGTATGAGTCAATAAATTTACAATACAAGTCGGTGTACAGAAAACTGAAAAATAAAGAGCATATGACATCTCCTTCCAACATGCTCTCATGATAGTTCAGGCTTCTCTTTTTACAACACTCATCACACTTGTGATATTTCTCATATCTGCTTTTCTTCTGGACTGTACACTGCATAGGACAAGAACCACACTTATCTTTCCACAGCTGGATCCTTACAGCCTAGCACAGTGCCTGGCACAAAATAAATGACTAAAACTTCTCCCAAATAACATCAATCAACCCAAAAGATAAGTTGCTTTCCAAATTACAATAAAAAGCACTAACTTCAAACTCGCTGAAATTGATTCTTAAAGTGGGCTATTCTGTAGCTTTTCAATCTTCTTCAAAGTACTTATGTTGCTTTTCTTTTTGCATCTTGTCAGATGGGTAAAGAAAATCACCCTGGTGGTGACAGCAACACCTCTAGATATTCAGCACTTTCAAAATCTTTGACATATTTTCTAAGGAACCAGTTCTAAAAAATCCATTCCCTGAGAATTCCCTTATCAGAATGTCCTCTTCTGTCTGACGGAGAGCAAGTTTCATGCTGTCTTTCAGTTTCCTACCTTCTCTCCCATGCAGTTATAAGTTGCCCAATGAACGTTCACCGGTTTGAATTGAATATTTTCACTGCAGAGAATTTCCACACTATTCACTTCATAGATATAAGATATAGCTTTCTTCTCCATTCTAATTAAAAGTCAGTGTGAGGAAATGAGTAACTGGGAGTGAATCTCATTTGTGTGCATGGGGGTTCAAATGCAAATGAGAATTAGAAAATACATAAGACACAGTTTGATTTAGACCTATGATTCAAAACTGGATTAGCAACTCACACTTGTCATCACATGTTTTTGTTTGATGACTATTCTTATTTTAACTAAAGAATAGTTCCAGTCATGCTAACCTATGACTCAATGAACAATGCAAATGACTTAACATGACAATTAAGTCCTATAACTCCCTAACACTGGAATTACTAAAGTGTTCCCCATCACAGGAAACAAATGAAAATTATCATGCTAAAATCATTTAAGTTTAAATGCACTGAATATATTTTTGAGTTAAAATCGTTAAGATTGGGAAGAGTTTAACATTTTAAATGGAAAAACATAAAAAGAAACATATTAATTCCCTTTAAAATAATCTCAACAATGATTTTTAAATTACTTCAACATGAGTTCTATATGGACTTAATTGGTTTTAGTAACTCAATACTTTCCAGTCTAGAATGTCTTCAGGGATCTCCAATTAAGTATAGTTGACTCAATTTCTATTTATATGAATTATCTATAGCTATGTAATAATATTACCAAAAAATTAGCAGTTTAAACATCCCACACTTATTATCTCACAGTTTCCCTACATCAGGATTCCAGACAGGGTTTAGCTTGTTTTCCACTTCAGTGTCTTACAAGGCTGCAGTCAAAGTGTCAGTTACGTCTTGGTTTTTATCCAGCTTTGTCTAAGAAAGGATCTTCTTCCAAGTTCATATGGATATTGACATAATTCAATTCTTTACAGCCTGTAATGATGAGGGTATTAGTTTCTTGCTGTTAGCCAGCAGCCGGTCTCAGTTCCTTGCCACATGGGCCTCTCCAGCATGCCTGCTTGTTTCATCAAAGTTAAGGAGAAAGTGTCTCCTAGCAAGAGGGGTATTTAACCTTATGCAACGTAATCAGCAAAGTGACATTCCATTACCTTTACCATAATATATTGTTTAGAAACAAATCCTGTGCCCTGCCAAAGGGAAGGAATGACACAAACAGGCAGGAGTATGAGGAGAGAGAAATCATTGGGAGTCATCTGACAGTTTTGTCACATGTGTCCATGAAATGGGAATCAATGGCTCTTGCCTAGTTTATGGCTCTATTCTGATAGTGCCCAGAAACATGCTACTTGATTTTCAGAAAGGTGACTTTTCAGTTCAAAATGTGTATTTCCAGTGGTTCCTGAATTAGATTTAATGGACTAGTAAAATTTGATTGAGAAGATGGTGGGAGAAAAAAAATGAACAATTGATATTAGGTTGCCAACTTTAATTTTGCCAAAAATGTATCAAAGGAAAATTAAAAGCAAATGTAATTATCATTTTGTAAACTGAAGAATGATCAAATACCCAAAAAAGGTAAGGGCAAAAATTTCAGAATAAAGAATCTGGCAACTTACTTTGTATTTTAAAATTCTATAATCATGTTGTTCTCTTTTCATCACAAACCAGTGAAAAGTTAGTCACCTACTCACTGTTTTTCAGATTGGCATTTGAGAACTACCATAGCAGAGACATGAGATTTTTTTCTATAATAAATTAAGATATATAACTTGCTTAACTCCTAAAGAAATTAACTAGATTTACTACTTAAATATGGAGCAAAGTAAAACTTTTAAATACGAAAGTGAACAGAGACCATGTAAAGGAAGCAGATGGACGGGAACATACCAGATGCCAGGAAGAAATGAGCAGAAACTAGGGCACTGGATTTGGCTGTAAGGTCTTTGGCCATCAAGTTGCCTTATGTAGATGACAAGTTTGGATAAGACAATGTGTGACTGCAACTGAGGAAAGATTATTTTTTTCTTTAGACTTGAATGCAATCAGAATTTAGCCCAAGAGTTCTTCTGTGAAGGACTTGTATCTCTTCCCAAATTATGAGCAATGACTTTCAAACAGAGAGTTTTTTATATTTGCAAAGGAAGTAATATTTGTTCCCTATCCTTCTTCATACTCTTCTAATTATTGTAATCATTGTATGAATCATAGGGTGTGCAGTGGATGCAAGGGAAAAAGGCTGAGTAGGTGCTCAGGTATTATGTTTTGTCCCAGGTACGTGTGGTTTCTAATGGTGTTGCCCAGTACAGAGCAGAACCTAGAGGATTTCAATAAACATGTTAGAGATCAGAACATTGAGTGGTTTAGGTATCACAATTTGCTCTGTTCCCAAGAAATCTGGCAGTGTTGTTTTTTTAAAGATAAAATTTAATGGGCTATAATTAATATATGATAATCTTTCAAAGGCCAATTTGGCTTTCTTTGTTTGCTCTTAGCATATTGCATTAGATGCCAGAGCATGCTGTGCTATTGGCCTAAGATGAAGAAAAAAGAGGCATATTCAGTGGTGGTGAAGCCAGTGATTTAGAGTGAAAGAGAAGAACAAGGTTGAATTTAACATAGAGGCCCAGGCTGGCAAGAAAAATGCAACTAGAAAAGCTCTCTGGTGAGAAAAGCAGAGGCAGAATTACAGCATCTAAAAGCCAGTCACTAGAAAAGAAAGAACATGAGAATGGAATTTAGATTGAAAAAATAAATAAAAATTTTTAAAAATCAGAAAAAGCCATTAGAATATAACTAATTTTTCCTTTTTTTTTTTTTTTTTTTTTTTTTTTTTTTTTGCCTTGAGACCCTGGGAGGGACTGAGTTCCAGATGTGTCTTTTAATAAGATAAATTCTTCATTATGGAAGTAGTTGAATAAAGCATGTGATTACTACAGCAATTTACACATCAGATGTAAAGTAGAATTACCTTTGCTCCATTTCTATGTAAGTGAAAATAAGATTTGTTAAGTCCAATACAAAATGTATGAAAGACTTGATATTGTATTCATCGTTCACCTCTTTGCAGTTAAAATATGCAAGGAAGTACAATTAACTAATGGAGGCTGATCTAGGTCAGTAAAGCCACCAACATTTAAGTGTTAGCTTTTAAAGAGATCTTTATGTGACAGAACAGCAGAGAGCTTTTGGAATTAAGAACATAGATATTTACAAACTTGTGAAACCAGGGTCTTAAACTTCAGAATCCATAATATCATGCAGGAGATTGGATATCTTTTTTGTTATGAATAGTCTCAGATTGTGACTCATTGAGCTGATAGAAGCCCTAGAATGTAAGTTTATTACAAGCTCCCAGGCTCCCAGTATGAAACTAATGTGAGTCAAAAAGTCACACTCTGAAAGACATTGTCTGAGAGGAAATGTAGCCTTAAATTAGCCTTGAGGTAATTCTTTGCTTATAGCCTTCTCAGCAATGAAAACCTCTAGAATCCATTATAAGAACTTGTAGAAGACAGTGTGGCAATTCCTCAGGGATTTAGAACTAGAAGTACCATTTGACCCAGCAATCCCATTACTGGGTATATACCCAAAGACACATGCACACGTATGTTTACTGCAGCACTATTTACAATAGCAAAGACTTGGAACCACCCCAAATGCCCATCAGTGATAGACTGGATAAAAAAATGTGGCACATTTACACCATAGAATACTATGCAGCCATAAAAAAGAGTGAGTTGATATCCTTAGTGGGGACAAGGATGAAGCTGGAAACCATCATTCTCAGCAAACTAACACAGGAACAGAAAACCAAACACCACGTGTTCTCACTCATAAGTGGGAGTTGAACAATGAGAACACATGGACACAGGGAGGGGAATAGCACACACTGGGGCCTGTTGGGGTAGGGGGCAAGGGGAGGGAGATCATTAGGACAAATACTTAATGCATGAGGTACCTAAAACGTGGATGCCAGGTGGATGGGTGCAGCAAACCACCCATGTATAGCTACGTAACATGGCCCATGTATAGCTATGTACTTTTTCATCAACTCTCATGTAATTGGACTTCATTGTACCTGTTTAAGGGATATACTAACACATGCAATGTACAGATGAGTACACTAAATATGAGAGAGGTTAAGTAAATTTTTCATGGCCACAGAACTATTAAGTGATGGAATTGTAATTCAAAATTAGTTCTGAGTGACTCCAAACACTGTATTCTCCCCTTCTCACTATGATGCCTCCCAGAATAAATGCTCATATTAATAGCAGTGTGTTTGCATTTATTATCTGAGGAGATGGTAATAATAAGCCTATATCATACTATTTACCCCCAAGTTAATGAAATTTTCCTCCATATTCCATATGATGAGCTAATTATGCTCTTATGAGTCATTGGAAAATTCTGTTTTATTCATTACACTATTGTTTACTGAGTGTCACCTATGTACCAGAAATTGTAGGCACTAAGCAGACTAGCAAGACAAAGTCTCTGCTTTCTGAAACCAGCCTTAATTTATTTCTAATCACTCTGTACATGTAAGCCAACATGCCAGATCACTGGATCCCCCAATCATAGTTTCTGGAATACAACCCAAAGCCACATAAGTATTCTACCAATGCCCAGATGGAATCATTTCCCTATATTAGTAAATAACACAGAAGTTCTGTTACTTCTAAATACAAAATTTATTTTAAATCTGTACGCTTCTCTTTGTCTTAACTCCCACTGGATCCAAGCCATTATTTCCTCTTCCCTAGATTAATATCATAACTTCTCAGCAACCATTCTCTGTGGTTCCATGTTTGCTTCTACCCAACCCATTTCTAACACAGCAATATAAACATCAATGAAATTAACTTTTCAAAAATCTCAATTTACTCTGGGTTTCTCACAACTTCCATTTCACTGATTCTGTATTAATCCGTTTTCACACTGCTGTAAAGACATACCAGAGACTGGGTAATTTATAAAGAAAATGAGATTTAATGCACTCACAGTTCCATGTGGCTGGGGATGCCTCACAATCATGGCAGAAGACAAAAGTCATGTTTTACATGGTGGCAGGCAAGAGAGAATGAGAGCCAAGTGAAAAAGGAAACCCCTTATAAAACCATCAGGTCTCATGAGACTTATACACCACCACAAGAATAGTATGGAGGAAACCACCTCCCTTTCAATTATCTCTCACCAGGTCCCTCCCACAATACGTGGGAATTATGGGAGCTACAACTCAAGATGAGATTTGGGTGAGGACACAGCCAAACCATATCAGATTTATTTCCATTGCTCTTTTTATACAAACTTTTACTTCTGACAATGGCCTACCAAGCTCTACATACCTAGTACCTGCCTAACTCTTCAAACTCATTACGAATCAATCTGCCCACTGCATACAATGCTTCATTCACTCTGGCTTTTTAAAATTTACGATCCAGGAAGTCAAGGCTTTTCCAGTTTTCAGTCTTTGGACTTGTTTCTCTGCCTACGCCATTGTTCCCCTAGCAGAGTCCATGCCCATTGGCTTCACTGCAGTATCCACAGTATCTGTTATAGTGTCCAACACATAGAAGGAACCAGACTAATATATGGAGAATGAAGGAATAAAATATTAAAGATTTAAAAGCTTACTATAAATCTGTCTCTAGAACAAAATAATACTTGGAGCTTTCTGAGATGAATAAAAATACAAAATGTTTCCAGATAACATATTGATCATTATACAGGTAATACTCTAAATGATCAAAGGGTAGACCAAGATGAAAAAATTTTTAAAAAATACAGAATCGGGCTGGGCGCAGTGGCTCACGCCTGTAATCCCAGCACTTTGGGAGACCGAGGAGGGTGGATCACGAGGTCAGGAGATCAAGACTATCTTGGCCAACATGGTGAAACCCCGTCTCTACTAAAAATACAAAAACTAGCTGGGCATGGTAGTGCGTGCCTGCAATCCCAGCTACTCAGGAGGCTGAGGCAGGAGAATTGCTTGAATCAGGGAGTCGGAGGTTGCAGTGAGCTGAGATTGTGCCACTGCACTCCAGCATGGGCAACAGAGTGAGACTCTATCTCCAAAAAAAAAAAAAAAAAAAAAGTAAAGAATCTAAACTGAAAATCTTATTCCAGATATTTCCTCTTTTACACATCCCAACACACATTGCTGGTTTATTTAAATAGCAATTTATTCACATGCTCATTCATTTACCTTTTCATGAGTACATTTGTTTTTAGTACTACCTCTTAAAAAGAAAAGGTAAAAAAAGTATTTATTCTGCTGCCAAGCATTTTAGCATGAAGTAGAAAAGTTATGGCAGGGACAAAAATAACTCAAGTATAAAGTTCAGAGCAAAATGTGGTTTAAGAGCTCTATTGATAAAATGCTTTGGGAGATCAGAAAGGGGAGAAAAACCTCTGGAGAAGAGATGGGGTTATTAGCTATATAGTTTCCCCTTCAAAAAGCAAAGAAGGATAGGATGTGTGTGTGTGTATATACACATCAAGGTGAGGGACACCATGAGAAAGTATACAAGGAGGGAAGTATGGGGAAATTTTATTTTTCTTGGAACATAAAAGACTTCAAGGAGAATAGTTTAAAAATATAAACAGATGAGGATTGAATTTAATTATACACAGTTCCAAAAGGCATTACCAGGAATTGGATTTTAATTCTGTGATTAACAAGGAGTCATGAGCATTTCTGGAGCAAGGAATGGGGTCATCAAAGCACTGCTTGAAACAGTTAAGGTAATCTTTTTTAAATTTTTTATTTTATTAAATTATTTCTCTTTGAGGTACTCACCTAGCATAACACTCACCATTTTTATATGTAAAGTTTGTTAGTTTTTAGTCAAATCACAAGATTGTGCAACTATCACCATTATCTAATTCCAGAATAATTTCAGCACCCAAAAAACTAGCAAATTGTTTTCCATAGTAGTTGCATCATATTACATCATCACCAGCAATGTAAGAGAGTTAATTTCTCCAAATCCTTGCTAACATTTGTTATTATCTATCTTTTTAAAAATTATAATAATTATACTGATGTTATGTGGCATCTTGTGGTTTTGATTGGAATTTTTCTAATGAATAATGATGTTGAGCATCTTTTTATATGCTTATTCAACTAGAATGTCTATTCAAATTTTTTGCGAATTTTTAATTATGTTATATGTCTTTTTACTGTTGAGTTGTAGGAGGTTGTTTTAATATATATTTGGACTTCAAGATCCTTATTAGAGATATGATTTATAAATATGTTGTCACATTCTGTGGTTTGCTTCATCATTTTTTTGGTAGTGGCCTTTGAAGCACAACAATTGTTAATTTTGATAAAGCCTAATTAATTTATTTTTTCTTTGGTTTCTTCTGCTTTTGATGTCATATCCAAAATCCATTTTATAATCTAAGATTACTAAGATGTACACCTTCCTTCAGATCTGCCAAATAAAAGTCATTTATAAAAGTTTTTATTTTGTTTGCTCTTATAGTCAATAGCTGTCATATTGTTAGACTACTTAGCTTTCTCTATAGTTCAGTAATAAGGATGAGTAAATGGTTGTGTTTTCTAAGCCATTTTTCACCGTGAAACTAAGTTGGTTATTCATGAGTGCTACTGATCCCTCAACAGTGACCATCAGAGAATAACAAACTATACTGAAGTGCAAACGCTGGATGTTTGGCTGATTTATTAATTCACAATGGTCAACCTCAAGATGTGCACAGTTTAAATTCTTGTTGAAACAAAATTAGAAATAACAGTAAGCGAGGGATCTAAAGAGTTGTTCTGAAATATGCCAAACCATGACTGTTCTATCCCCAATCATTATAACATTTTTAACAAGAGTGATGTCTTTAATCTCTTTTCCTCTCTGTCCCTAGAGTTAGAAACAGTTTGATATCAGTAGAGTTGGCCACATAGCACATCTGTGGTCTCTGAGCAAGTGTTTCATTTTTATAATCCCTCCGGGTCCCCAAAATTAGAGTCAGAAAGAGATAATAAATTTTCCCTCTACTTACTAACTGTGTGATTTAGACTACTTAATCTCATCAAGGGTGTCCTTGTCTGTAAAATACAGGCAATGATACTTACCTTGTGGAATGGCTGTGAAGAAGAAACATGATAGAAAACATGTAACCAAATATCTGATACACAAAGCACGTTATCTAATGTTGCAATCATTTTGTTATAAAGATAATATAGAGTTATTCCTTTATTAGCATTTTGAAGAAAAAATTAAGCATACAAGCTTTTGAAATGATGATGCAAATGGAAAATATGGCCAGTTCAAATATTTATGCTCATAAAGCAAAATAAATTTCTTTGTCTTTTTCTTTCTACTGGTTAGTTCTCTGTTCTTTTTAGGTCTTAGGAGTCAGGATACAAAATGAAATGCACATGGAATTGTGTAACGTTTTGTGATTATTACTTTCTTCAAGTTGGGGCAATGGCCACAAATACATAAGGATACTGGGGGTTCTGTGTGTACTTGAAATTTACCATCTACAAGGTTACCTTATTCCCAGGGCAAAAGATACCCACAGGGTGCTTTTGGACTCACCCTTATCAAAGTCTCACCTCTCACTGAGATAGGAAAATACTTTCTAGATGGAAGTCAGTACCCTACAATAATAATAGCTGGGCTTTCTCTGTGTTACTGAGAGATGGCTAATCCATTCTAGATGGGGAATCTTTGGGCCCCTTACCTTATTGAGATGTTTAGTTGTTCCCACTAAAGCTATGTGAATTCATCACGGACCTTATCTCATATGTTCAACACCAAAAGAGCACATATCCTTACTTGAAGTCAGCAGGAGTTTTCAGAAAAAGAGGAACAGTTGGACATAACAGATTAAAGGCACGAACGTCAACTCGTCCTTCTGTCTCCATGGTCTGGATGACTCTATCCATTTAGTAGCAAATGTTGAGGAGTAATTATCTTTCCACTAACTTGCTTTCAAATGCCAGGAGGTTATAAATATTCTTATGGGAACGAAACAGCTTGAAGAGATGTAAAAAGGAAATAAGAGGAAAGAGTGATTCTCTTCTGATGCCAACTATTATCTATGCCCCATGGTCTTGAAATTTAACTGCTTAAGGTGTCTCAGTTTCCTCACCAACAACATGAAAAAAATCAAGTATAAAACTTTTAAGGTCTCTTACAGCATGTGAGTAATTAAGGAGAAATATTCTTTGCCTTATCATAAAATGAATGAGATTAAATGACATCAACGTATATTCCTGGCCAGTAAACAGCAACCAAAAGGAGAAAAAAAATCAGTGATGAGTAACGATTTTCAAGAAATGCTCATTGAAATGGATAACAAGAAGCATTCAACAAGAGCTCAAGATAAATGAATGTTAATGAACTACAAAAAGGGCTCAGGATTACTTATTGAAGAGAAAAGCAAGAGTAATAGGCCTCAGGCATTTTGCCCTACTTATCCCTGGTACTGCAATGCTCCCATGGCTTTTCTGATTGAACTACAGTGAGGATATTTTAGAGGAGACTTGGATTGATGCAAGTACTTTCAACAATACTAAATAATGTAAAATTTACAGGTAAGTTAAATGTCTTGTATTATGTGACTAATTTCAGGGAGGGGATTTTTGAAGACAGTTTTCTCCACTAGTATATCACATAACTGCGTTCTACTTGATCTGTTGTGAAACTGGTAAACATTGTCTTCACTGTTAGCTGAACTCCTGTAGTCTATAGCACAACGTTTAGCACTTTATAATTTATGAGCATAGCTTTTTTGTGTGTATTTTCACCACCATTGACCTTTGTAAGTTCCTTGATGGCAGTTAACAAATTTGGTTCTACTATGTTATTCTCACCAAGACCTAGCTCCAGTCTGGTCAAGGAAATATTGATCCAAAAACAATTGTTAATTATCTCTCAACATTATGGAGTCAAGAAACCAGTCAAAATAAACAGACATTTGGGAAAGGACTATTCTGAATGTGCTCACATTGGGAATTCTCCCTCCATGCTAAATCATTATCCAGTTGACAGAGTCTTTGGAAAAAATATTATCCTGCATTCACAATGAAGATTCATTTTTTTATGCACTTGTATTGCTTCTTCCACCACTGTGACACGGTTCGAAGTTTTCCTTCTATTCTTTTTCATGTTACTAGAATCTGCATAGTCCCTATGGATTTATAAAAAATTCTACCAATAATATCACTATTCATTATGTTCAGCTCAGATTTTCCTGGGAACATGTAACACTCACAATTTGGCTTCTAATATATCACCCAAAGGAGAGATGACAGTTTGAAGATTATCAAAATTCAGGAATCTTGTTTCTACTGCACTTCATTAGGTGTATGTGATGAGGTGTGTGGGGGAGGGAATGATTGGATATATGTTGTGTGTTTTGGAAAGCCACTTTACCTCTCTTTCAATGTTTTTGTCCATCAAATAGAGATTATAATACCTTATCCATCATTCTTGGTGGTTGTGGAGTTCAGGTGAGAAATGAGGTACAGTGCAATAAAAACTAACACTTAACTATGGCTATTAATGCAATGTTATAGGTTATTTATTATAAATAATTGTTTAGCATCTATATGGTTTTGCCTTTTAAATCATAATGGTAAAATAAATGTTAAAAATGACATTTTAATGTCAGACAGCTGTGGACACAATAGCTCATTTATTTACTAAGTACGTGAGCTTGGGCAAGTTGCTTAATTTTTTTTTTTATGCCTTGGTTTTTTCATGTTTAAGAGTAAGAGTAATTGAGTTTTCTGAAAGTTTAACTGAGATAATGCACTCATATTATTTAGTGTGGCACAAAGTAAAGACTGAAATATCAGATATCATTATTGATTTGGAAAAGTAAGTGGAAGGAATAGCCTTGATACAAACTTCCTTTTATAGCAGATTTGAACAATAGCAGCAACATTTAACATTTTTAATTAATAAAACCTTAAGTAAAGTTTCATTTAAGTTTTAAATTTGTAGCCTTAGCCACAATCAGCATCTGAGAGGACAAGGAAGTGCTGTTTACAATTTAAAAACATATTCTTTCTAAGCGTGTTGATGGTGTTGTGGTCTGCAGCCATAAAGTGCAAGAGCCAAGGGGATTTGACTGTCTCATCCTATCTATGATCTGCCCATTTGGGAGTCCAACTCAGCCTCTGAGAATCAAGTTCTCCCATGTCCATTGTAGGCACTGCTGGAACATAAGAAGAAATAGATCAAGCTCATCAAATCAAATACTCTGAATTCAATCCCTTCCTCGTCATGCAAAAAAAAAAAAAAAAAAAAAAAAGGTCTATTCTGTATAATCATTTTGGATTTCGATGAGACTTGCATAAAGCAAAGAAGGAAAAAAAAAAACAAAACAGGTGGCAGTAGTTCATTGGAATGCAAAGGTGCTAACCAGGGCCTCCTTTCATCTAGTAATTGCCTCATGGTTCACAATTACTATCTATGCCAATTATAACAAGATAAATGTCTTTCCATGTGGTAGGGACTGAAAGACAGCTGCTTGTTTACAGCCAGTCGTTGAAGTGTCTGTAATTGTCTGAGGTTTTTAATGCAAGATAGAAACATTTAACAACAACAACAAAAAGAAGGTATCCCTGTGACTGACACAAATTAAGATGTGAAACATAGATCATCATGCAACTGCGACTATGATTGTATTGCCCATTAGCAAACTGGAGATTTCATTAGCAGCACAGCCCCTTGAAGATCTAAGACAAAATTGATGTGAGTGAAATGCAGAAAAAATATTAGATAGAAGGTGATGAAGAAGAGAGCTTTAGGGAGGTGGAGGGAACCCAGTTGCGGCAAGGAAGTGTGCATTAGACATTGAATTATGCTTCAATTTTAATCTTTCCACCTACACTCCTTATGGTCTCTCCATGTGGCTCATTTTTGTTCTGACTTTTAAGTTAAGCAACTTAACATTGTAAATTAGAGAAAATTTTGTTTTGTGTAGGAACATAAAGTTAGATGCCTGTAAAGGGACTCAGAGGTCAGCTTTTGGTGATTGTGTATATCAACTGACAAATAGACCTTTGAGCATATTTGCTCTCTAGGTTGCCACACCTGGTTTCTAGTCTCATGGAAGGTCTTTATATTGGATTACAAGAACATTGTGACTGCAATTCACAACTAAGTATTTCAGAAACCCAACAGGTTTGCTATCATCTGACAAAGATATATCATCATGGAACAAGTAGTTTGTCCTATATCAAAGAGGAGATATACAAGACAAATAAAGATTAAATAGTACACTCTTATAACTGTAAACCATTTTAGTTGGAAAGAGATTAAAGCTCTTTCTGCATCTTTTCTTTAATTTAGAGATCTGTGCTAGTGAATTTAGGTGAGTAAATTCTTGTCATCATATTTTGATTTGGGAAATTTATCTTTTAACATAGTACAGCTGCAGAAGGCCAACAAATCAGATCCACAAAATTTTCAAAAGTGTACATATACTTAAGTAGATCATATGTGTCAGTGTTTGTGAATCCATAATTGTGTGACTATATGTATTTGAGTGTATGAGTACAAGCGTGAGGCTGTGAGTATATGTTTGTGAGCTGTGTGAATATTAAGTGTAGGCTTCCAGTCTGTTAGTGTGTTTGTACATATTCATAAATGTGTTTGAGTATATGTGTATGTATGAAAGTATATGTGAGTGTGTATGTTTATATATGTGTATGAGTGTGTGCACATTTCTGTGTATGTTTGTGTATGTATCTGGTCTTGGATTATAATTCAACCACTTATTGATGGTAACTTCTCTAATCTGTTAATGATAATGTGACATAATGTATGTAATAATCTTTATAAAATCTAGAGTACTATGCAAGTCTACTTCATTATTACAGATACATAAAACATACTATTTTACAGCTTTAAGACCGGAACAGTACTGTATGGCAATCACTATACTCTCTGAATGCCTGTATGTAGTCAGAAAATGCAGTCTAAAATGTTTATCCATATCTGAAATGTAACTTTTATATCCTTTCTCTCATTCCTAATTCATAAGACTTCCTTTCCTCGTATTTCTGAGAAGATATCTTTACAACCATTAAAAATGAGCTCTTCTGCCTAGTCTATTTTTTTCCCTTTACTTGGGACCAGTAACTATAACCAACCTTGCTATAAGAATTTCCCATTAATAGTTTGCAGTTGTGGAAGAAGCTGCTCCTCTCTGTGTGCAAACCTGGAACAAGAGTTGCTTGTACATATATAAAAGCAGTTCAAATACGATGGTTCTCCTTTCTTAAAAACATAGTTAAAATTATCCTTTTGCAGGTGACCTCTTGAATTCTAAAACAAATTCCTTTTAATGGCAATCTTTTCCATGAGATTCAATTTAATGTTTTTTAAACCCAGGTGGTGTGATGGTGTGAGTATATCTGCATAGAATATAGATAGAACTGTTCTGAGGCATGCGTTGCTCACTTTAAAAAATCAAGACAAACAAAAAAGTCTTAAACTAGGAAGACACTCATGCTTCTTAGAGATTTAGTTTAGCTTCAAGAGTCATTAAATACCAAAGAAGGTGGTTGTATATTTAATCAGTTGGAATATTTTGGATTGAGTTGAGTCAATATTAAACCCTTTGATTTTCTAAAATGTCATACTTTGTATAAATTGGGGATGTTGAGAAAGAAGGTGACAAGCAGTGTATGTACTTTTAGTTTCAGGTTGAGAAGTCTTTCACCACAAGACTTTCCCTTTATTTGAAGTCCTTTTTCTTGGCTAAAGTATGGAGGCTGAATAGTCTGATCAAAGTCTAAGAAAACTGCTGCTGTGAAATGTGTGTTTCAGCTGAGAACTGCTGTTGAGAGACTGTCATTCAGTTTTAAGCACAATGCTAAATTAATTCAGTGAAACGTTGATTAGTTCTTAGCTATATGTAAAATCTCGGTCAATGTTGTTTTTGCTTTTGTGCATGTGTACACTTGAAAGACCTCAGGATGCTTTATGTAGTAGATATTCAGTAAATACTCACTTATTCACTGCCTGACTAATCCCACGTTTCTTGATTTTTTTAAATATGCATTCCTTTGAAAATTTGGCAGAACCATTTCCTAGAAAAAGCCATGTATAAACACATACACAGTGAAGAATTAGAGATCTCCTAATACCTCTCTGTGGATACACAGAGATTCATCAACCCCCATGTACATCCCCTAAACCAGTTCAAGTCATACTTTTTTTTTTTTTTTTTTTTGAGACAGAGTCTCACTCTGTTGCCCAGGCTGGAGTGCAGTGGCGTGATCTCGGCTCACTGCAAGCTCTGCCTCCTGGGTTCACGCCATCCTCCTGCCTCAGCCTCCCGAGTAGCTGTGACTACAGGGGTCCGCCACCACGCCCGGCTAATTTTTTTGTATTTTTAGTAGAGACGGCACCATGTTTAGCCAGGATAGTCTCCATCTCCTGACCTTGTGATCCGCCTGCCTCGGCCTCCCAAAGTGCTGAGATTACAGGCGTGAGCCACCGCGCTCAGCCTCAAGTCATATTTTAACACAAGCAGAAACTGAAACCAAAAGATCAAATCACTAATGGAGGCCTGGTATCAAATAGCAAGTAGTTTCTGTGGTAAGCTGGGGAGTGTATAACCTCCTCTAAAAGGGTTTCCTTACTTCATTCTAGCCAATTTTTGGCAGGTAGGAAAGTCAGTCCAGCGCTCTCAGATTTCCTGGTATGTTAAGAGAAGCCTAAAATATTGTTTGTTTAAATGCAAAATTTCTTAAACAGTGACGACTAACTCCAGTTATTTACAAAATATTGTGTTGACCACGCAAGCTGTCCTAATAGCCTATTTCTGGTAGTAGGCCAAGAGTTCATTATTACTGTTCCAAATATTATACTTTATATATGTTTAGAGTTTGTCATTCACATAACAAATATTCGCTAAGCTTTATTATATTCAAAATCTTAGGCCTCGCTCTGTAAAATGTGCGAGGGTGAATACAGGAATATTTGATATCCCTGAACTTAACACAGAAG
This sequence comes from Homo sapiens, assembly GCF_000001405.40. Classification (NCBI taxonomy): domain Eukaryota; kingdom Metazoa; phylum Chordata; class Mammalia; order Primates; family Hominidae; genus Homo; species Homo sapiens. The sequence continues at coordinate 41,039,358 of NC_000011.10, read as the reverse complement.
TGTTAATACTTTGTACACAAAAAAGGTCATGCAGATATTTATGTGGGGAAAACACATAATAATATGGAAACAATTTTTAGAAATGAAACAAAACAAGAAGACAGTGTTCTGAGTTCTCTGAAGGTTTGCTGAATTTCTATCACGTTAATCAATTTTACCTGGCATGCAGTAAGGTTATATACGACCCCTGTGGAGTCCATAACTGCCCAGCCATATGCAGAAGAATGAAACTAGACCCTTGCCTTTCACCATATACAAAAAAATAAGAAGGATTTAATGATTTAAATGTAAGATCTCAAACTATAAAAATCTTAGATGGAAACCTAGGAATACCCATCTTGATATCGAGCCTTGGCAAAGAATTTTTGGCTAAGTCCCCAAAAGCAATTGCAACAAAAACAAAAATTGACAAGTGGGATCTAATTAAACTAAAGCTTCTGTACAGTGAAAGAAACTATCAGGAGAAGGGATGAGGGGAAGTTGAGAGTGACCTTCTCTTTCCTCTTGTTTTTTCAAATGCCAGGGTGCCATATTTGGGGTTAGTATGTCCTAAACTCCATCAACATTTTAATTAAAACACTTTAGGGGGATGAGATTTTTTCATGCTGAGTGTATGTATGTATGTGTGTGCACATGTTTCTAGTTTATATAAGTAAATGTACATTTCTTGTGTTTCTGAGTTTATGAGCTTGCACAAGTCACCTAGTGACAGTCTCTAAATGTTAGAATTGCCAACGGTTTCCTTAAATATTCTATTTTTGATTCTCTGTCATTAGAACAAACCAGTCTTCATCTTGTAGAGTACATGATAGTGCCAGACTTAGAAGTAGGCAGCGACAAAACTTTAAGCTGAAATTAGAACTGGGAGAAGCAAATAAAGTGAGAACAAGGCTAAGGAAACACCTCACCCAAGGAATTTATAACCTGGTGGGAAATTAGCATTGAAAATGTAAATGAGGTTAGGGAAATTAAGAGGATTAACTGGCTTATAGGGATTTATACAAAAATAAAGAGAAGATCACTGAAAACCTTTGGGATCTGATCCCCCTCAACAGAATTAAAGCTGGTTTTTAGATGTGTGTGTATTTCTCTTGTTTTGCTGCTACTTCTAATTTGAAGGTATTGGAGCAGCAATGACAAATTGTTCTCAGAGACTATATTTGCTCTGCGTACCTAAATGTGCCACCTATGTCCAGAGGCGCACCTGAGGAGGCTTGCCTGCCTGACTGCTTTCTTGTGATTTGAATTGTTACGAATGGCAGCTGGCTGGGATTCCATTCCCAGTGTTTTTAGATTGTCTCGTAGACACAGACAACATGTTAGAAATAATAATTTTTGTGCATAGTTCTTCTGTGGTGGTTGGACGTTTTCGTCAGTGTTGACTGAAGAATAATTGAGCTTTAGGGCATATCATCTAAAAAATGTAAAACCACTCAAAAAGGAGGAAATAAATGTGGGTAAAAATCCAGGCAAACATGAATGCATACTTACAGACTGACCCAATTATCTATTTAGTGGGTGCTGCCTACACAGCCAAAACACCTAACTGGATAGATTAGAGGGAAGATTAAATTAAGTACTCCGAATTCAGGTGTACTTCAAATTAAAGCCAGTCCACTCACCTACTATATGTGTTATCTTGAGCAATTTAGCTTTTCTAAGTCTCAGTTTTCCTAACTAGAAAAGGGAATTTGTTGGGTTGTTTCAACAATTAAATGCAATTAAATGAGATAGTATGAGCAAATGTCTTAGTGCGTGTGTGTGTGTGTGTGTGTGTGTGTGTGAAAGGAAAAGAAGTAAGAAAGTTCAGCAAGCATGTATGCTAGATGGCCAAAAACACATAAAGAAAATCTAGGGTCAGGCACAGTGGCTCACACCTGTAATCTCACACTTTGGGAGGCCAAGGCAGGAGGATCACTTGAGCCCAAGAGGTTGAGGCTACAGTGAGCCATGGATATGCCACTGCACTCTAGCCTAGGTGACAGAGTGAGACTTGGTCTGAAAAACAAAACAAAAAAATAAATAAGAAAATTTGATCAATCACTTTCCATTGAGGCATTATCAGAAAAAAAAAAACCCATCAAAGATAGGTAATTGGGAAGAATGCATCTAATCAAGTGACAACCATGAATCAGGAGTTGATTTAGAAATATTTTCTAATTTAATTTATAATGCAACGAGTAGATAATATTTTGTTTCTCTTGTACAGAAAGGGGCAACCTGAGAGAAAAAAGCCTTTGATGGCCCAGCCTGCGTAAGGAAAAGTTATGAAAAACTTTTAAATGGATCAAAAAGATTACTGGGTATTTTGAGCACAAAACTAGGCATTGTTTAATTGGGTACCACTCCAGGTTATTTGCTTCTATTGTGTTTGAGCCTTTCATTGTCTTTGAGCTATCTTATAAGTCTATAAATTGTAAAAACAGTGATGCAAATGTTTTGTGCCCATAAATGTGCAATTGAATTCTTTCCTTTGAAGCAACAAATGATTTCTTGACCTTCCCCCGCTAGTGAAAAATCTAATTGTGTATCTAGTCATAAATTTATTTAACCAGTTCTGTTTGAATATATACGTGTGATACTTTGAAATCTCTTTTCAAACTACTGTGACATCATTTAGGTTTCCTTATTAATGAATGAATTAAATAAAATCTTTGACATTATTTTATATTTGTATTTAATTCATGATTTTACCTGTTTAAAAAATGCTTCCTTCAACACCTGTGTTGGTTGGTGCTGAATTTGAACCTCAGTCTGATGTTAAGACAAAGAGAAACAAAAATCTAATTTAAACTTCTTTTTCCACCAGAAGGAGAGCAGATTCCAGGTTATTATCAACCCTTTGAATTATTGAATCTTCTTGCATCAGCATAAATAGTTACAGGAACCCACTACAAAAGACCCTATGGGTTTCTTAAAATGAAGTAACAGTTCAAGGACATCTGGAGCTGAGAGAAAGGAAGAAAGTGAATGTAAATAATGATCAGAAATTCTGTTCCCTTTGGGTCATTATTCACCTTTCCAAGTCAATTTATCTGCTATAATGCCTTGAAAACACTTTTTAATCATTGCCTAGCATCTTAAAAAATCTAAGATATTACCTGAATTAAGTCAAAAACCCAGAATGAATTTAAGAATGAAGGCTACTTGAATTTCACATGCCTCTGAAATAATTACCAAAGAGTTTATTTCTGACCATAATTATTGAATAATTATTCACATTCCAACCCTCATAGAAATCTCTTACCTTCTGATATTTTTTGTCACCATGTTTTTTTTTTAGAAAAACAACAAAAGACAAAATTTTTAAAGGAAGTTTTAGCCAATTTCTCCTAAACGTAAATTCCAAGGAGTTTGTATAGTTACATTTCTATATTTCAAGAATGCAGAGTCCTCTAATGGGCTCTAATATTTATGAGTTTCCCTAATCTTAATTTTCTATCATTTCTCTTAACTGGTAAATATTTTGTCTTTCTGCCTACAGATAGTTTCAAGAATGTTACCACTATTTTACCTAAAGCATGCACAGATTACATTATTTAAATTAATATTTTAAATTCGAATTTCCATTCAATTCTACATATTTATTGTCTAAAAATACTTAGCTCTTTGGTTTCAGTTTCCTTATTTGTAAACAAGTAGATTTGGTTTAGAAAATGTATTATTCCCAATTCTAACATTTCAATTATTTTGATAATTGGTCTATATATGTGTGTGAGTGTCTATTCATCCTGCTTCACCTCAGTTACGCTCTCCCCAGAGTCCACATTTAAAATATCACAGCCATTAAAAGGAACACGATCATGTCCTTTTCAGGGACATGGATGGAGCTGGAAGCCATTATCTTTAGCACACTAACACAGGACCAGAAAACTAAACATCTCATGTTCTTACTTTTAAGTGGGAGTTGAACAATGAGAACACATGGTCACAGAGAGGGAAACAACACACATTGGGGCCTGTTGAGTAGGAGAGGGGATGCAGGGGGAGAGAGAGCATTAGGAAAAATATCTAATACATGCTGACCTTAATACCTAGGTGATGGGTTGAGAGGTGCAGCAAACCATCATGGCACATGTTTACCTATGTAACAACACAGGTGTTGAAGGAAGCATTTTTTATTTATTTATATATTTATTTATTTATTTATTTATGTATTTATTTATATTGAGATGGAGTCTCATTCTGTCGCCCAGGCTGGAGTGCAGTGGCACAATATCGGCTCGCTGCAAGCTCCACCAAAGGAAGAATTTTTTAAACAGGTAAAATCATGAATTAAATACAATTATAAAATACCTATGTAACAAACTTGCACATCCTGCACATGTACCCTGGAACTTAAAAATAAATTAAAATTTAAAATAAAAATAAAAACAAAATAACATAACAACAAAAAATAAAATAAAGTAAATAAAATACCAACGACCCCCAAAAAATCAAAATTACAATTATCAAACATATAGTATAAAATAAAACATGACAGCTTCATGAAACCATGAAGGAAATTTTGGATATACTTGTTCTCAGGCAATGTAATTAATATTAGAATATTTTTCCAATATAGAAACTGAGAACAAAAACTATGATGTGGCATACTTGACCACTATGAAATCAGACTGTATAGCCGCTATGCTCCATCTGGTTGGCTAAAAGAGAAGAGACCAAACAATCCATTGATACATATATATATATCATATATATATATAATAACTCTCACCTCATATATATATATATATATATATATATATATACGTCACCATATTTTTTTAGAAAAACAACAAAAGACAAATTTTTAAAAGGAAGTTTTAGCCAATTTATATTATATATATAAATATATATATACACACATATATTTTGTATATATATGTGTATATATATATATACACACATATATATATATGGTGTGTGTGTGTGTGTGTGTGTGTTTGGATTGTTCATATGTGTCTTAGTCTGTTTTCCATTCCTATAACAGAATAGCAGTGGGTAATTTATAAGGAATTTCTTTTTGTACAGTTTTGGAGGCTAGAAAGTCCAAGAGCACGCGTATCACTATCATCTTGTGAGGACTTTCTTGCTTCATAATAACATGGCAGAGGGTATCACAGGATGAGAAGGCAAGGCAAGTTGGCCAGGGAGAGCTTGCTTTCATAATAAAGCCACTCACAGGATAAAGACTTGTTCCTATGATAGCAACAGTAATCCATTAAAGAGGGCAGAGCCCTCCTTATTCCATTAATCCAAGTTTCCAACACATAAACATTTGGAGGACACATGTAAACCATAGCAATGTGTCAACAAAAATGATGACTTCGAAAATAAAGGTTTATTAATGCTAAAATAAAATAGAAATAAATACCTATCAACTCAATAACATCAATTTTACTAATTTGGTAATTTTCTTTTATTTTTTGTCATTCTTAAAAATCATAGATTCTAAAATGATTTGTAGGTTAAATTTTTCTCATTTACAGTGTTCACAGCCACAAAATTATGCCCAACTCTAAATTGTGTACTTTTTGACAAATTAATTTCAAAAGAAGTTTTGATAAAATACTTTCAATGTTTTTATTTCAAATATTGTATTTACACATTATCTTTAATGTGGGATATTGGTACATTTTAATGTGATTGATAAGATGTGGAGGACTTAGAAGAAATGCCCTAAAAATAAGTGCCTTGGCTTCCCCGGGTCTTAAAACAACTCTGGGCACTGCCTTTTACAAAAGTGCCTCCAGATTGGTTTGGATATATGAAACCAGTGGACAAATGCCCAGTTTGTCTGGGACTCAGAGGATTCCCAGGATGTGGGGTATTCACCAGAAAGTCTCAGGTGAACCAGGATGAAATGGTCACCCTGTATATAATTTTCTGGGAGCATCACGGGATAAGTGGAAGCCCAGTGATTTGGCTGAGATGTATCCCAGCTCAACCCTGTACCTTACTCATCCATAAGCTTGTGGCTGTCTGTGTTCTGATTCCTTCCTTATTGACCCGTTTCTTTTATATTGACTAGTTTTGCTTTATATTTTCTCTGTTCAGTGCTTAGGCATACCTGAGACTCTAGTTAATAACCATTTCACCTTCATGCTTGTGACTTCTTTCATCTTCCCATGTTCTAGTTTTTCAGACCAGTTTCACTATAACTAAATTCTGAAATGACTTCAGGATTTTTTTTCCTCAATATTCCCCTTGAGGAGCCTAAGCACGTAACAAGCCAGTTAGATCTCACTCTCATAGATTCTCCGGCCCTAGGATAATCATAAGAATGAGGTTGTGATTGGAGACAGAGACTAACAATTAAGTATGTAAAAAATAGACCCTTCTGTTTTAGAAAGTGTGCTGGTAATGTTTCATGGTATCAGCTAAGGATGAATATTTTTTCTAGTGCAAGAACAAGGAATGAGTTTTATAAAATGCTAATGAAAATGATGCTTTTTATGAAAATGATGCTTGTATGTTGATTATGACTGAATGAGTGAATAAGTTAATAGTTTACTTGGATCAACAAAATGAAATTATCTTCATAAATGCTTGATTAAAATGAGTAAAGCAAATGCATTCACCATAACTAATTTAAATTATAACCCAGATGTGAAAATTTATTGCAATGTATTACTGCTTGTGTTTTTTTTCCCCCTTTTTTCAGTTACTAAATGATTAGTGACATCTATAATATCTATTGAATAATAATAACTGGGTTCCCTTCACAGGCTACAGATTTTCAACATTTTAATATCTGTACTATAAAGTGACATTGGGCCAGTCAGACCCATTGATGAACCAATTTTGGAAAATATCATAAAATTTCCAAAGATTTTATTACAAGCAGTCAATATTGCAAATTATAAAACAATTTTTATCACAGTAGAAATGTTAAAACAATAGATCTAAAAAAAAACCACACACACAGTTGAAAGTTTTATCAAATCCTTCTCTGTTAGGGTTTATAGGGAACCTTCAGGTTGGGGTGAATTTTTCAAGGATGTTTTGGAATTACAAAGTTAGATGAGTGTTAATTGCATAATAAAAAAGAAACATCTAAGTTATTGCTTCCCAGAATTGTGATGTATATGATCTCAACCTAAAGATTCAGCTCCAAATACTCTTGACTCAATAAGCACAAATCTAACTCAGGCTACCCCATCAGGGGGTCTGAGATTAATCTGGGGCAGAAGGATTGGAATTGAGTCTGGAATGAACTCCTGGGTTCTCACAAGTCCATCAAACTGCAGCTTTCCCCAAAAATTCCCATTGTGTGTTTCACATGCCCAGGTTATTTTTTCCTTCTGTTTATCCCTGGTTTCCTTCCTTGAGCCCCAGCTCAACTGGAGAGCTCTCAACCTAGGTGGGCCTTGAACTGCTATGCCACAAGGAAATTTTGTGAAGACATAGGTTTTTGTCTCCAACCCTGGTGTACTTTTTTAACCAAAGTTATCACAGTACAACCTGCCTGTATCACCTTCACCCAGAGACAGCTTCTGGCATGTATCCAGAATCAGAACTCTGGCATGTTTCCATACCTCTGTAGATTGGGGAACAGCCCAATTTATGCTGCTCTTTCTAGAACTTGGCTACTTAGACTGATGATTTTCCAAATTGAGGTGCATATCTGTTGCCAACTGGCATTTGAATCCAAATTTTGCCTGATCTTAGCTTTCTCTTTTCTACCCACTGGATTTAGTAAGCATCCAGCATGTCCCAATACCGAGCTTGAATTGATTTTAAAATGGACCTGGAATAGTTTATTTTGTGCCAAGCTGCCACAGTGGGTAGTATAACATTCAGGGGACCTGAGTTATAACATTAGATCTATGATTTGTCCACTGAATGAACTTGTCAAGCAATATACACCCTGAGCCACTTTTTCATCATGCGTAAATTATAATCTCTAAAATGTCTGTTTTACAGTTTAAAGGATGTAACATACATAAGTAGTCTTTTGTACTGTATAATCATTAGATATTTTATTTTTATTTAGCAAAGATATACCGGGTGCCCATAAGAGATTAAGCACTACACTAGTGCTCGTCATACAGAAGTGAATTGGCACAGCCCTAAGAGTCTATAGTCCAGATAGGAAGCAGAATGGTAGCAGATGTTATCAATAACTATAGTAATGGTAGCTTCTGTAGTAACTGTGGGCCATTGCTCAACCTTCGGCCTTTTCAGCCACACTGTACAAATACCTACTAGCCATTTTAAATAAAATCAACTTCAGGTGGAGAGGCCTTCAGCTCTAAGCAGCCACGTGAAAGCAATAGCATGAGTTTTCTTAAAAGCTACTTGGTGTGAGCAGTATCTTGGACAAAGTTCTGCATTGGTAATTTATACCAATGTGTCTTACGTTTTCTTCAGCAAGCCTAATTAAAGTGAGATAAGGAAAAAGCAAGAGAGAAGCACAGGGTTTTCAAAGCCAGAAAAATTTTAGGAGGGCAAATGCATTTTTAAGTGGTTTTAAACCTAATAGCTGGCCTCATATATAATGAAAGTTTTAGAGTGTGTATAACTACATATATAATATATATGTATGTGTATATATATATGTGTGTGTATGTGTGTGTATAACAGTGCCCCACAGATTTATATACATACACATTTTATTTCTCATATTCTGATTTTGGTTTTGTTCCAAGTACACTTATGCATATTTTAAGTAAGAAATGTATCTTGAAATCAAACACGATGGTAGAAAACAAGGTCTACTATTTGAAAGGTTTCACCAAGCGGCTGATGATTTAGCTACTCAGTCTATGTCTTCTTACTGCTTTGTTGGTGTTCGATGGCAAGAAAAGAGTTATGATTGTCACTTTAGCATGTTCTATGACTTTTGGTTGGGAGGTTTACACAAGGTCTCTGGTGTTGTGAAACGCTCCCTCCTGCAATTCTGTCTAGGCTTTTGATACAGTGAAAGAAGGTCAGTCCCTAAGGGTGTCATTGAGGGTTATGATACAGGTCTGAACATAATCAAATGCAAAATTTCAGAAGCCTTGAGGATTTCTTCTGAGGCTTCTTGCACAGAATTACTCACCTATTTTCTCCCTTAGGTTTAATATTTTGACTCCGTTCTCTTGAGGAATAGCTGCATAGCTCTGCATGCAAAAATAATGAATGAAAATGCATAGAAAATATGTCCCATTGTTTTCTGCACAGCTCTGCCTTTTTCACTGCTGTTTTTCATATTTCAAGCTAGCAGTTACTTATTGCCAAAATTAATTATGCATATTTTTTCTTACAGCCTTTATGATAGATGGCAATTTAAAAAGAGATGAGCACTGAATTGCAAAATGTACATACCAAGTTAGTTACCTTTCTGGACGCTATTTTCCTTTTGAAGTTTGTTCACCCTGCAGTATCAAGCTTCCCTTCTTGGCCTGACAAATTTCTATTTATCCTTGGATGGTTCCCAAGAGTTATCTTTCTTATGGACCTATTTTCTCACTTTCTTCCTACATACCTTGGCTTGTGTTGGCTTCCTTGTGTTTTCCCGGACCATCTTTTCCACACTTACACCATTTATTCATTTACACATTATTTAAACAAGCGTATATTGAATGATTATAGTGTGCTAGAATATTCTATGTTGACATTACCTATTTACAATAGTCTTCCACACAGTTAAATCTCTTACATGCAGAGATCAAGTGCGATTTATCTTCTAATCTCCAGGTATCAGTCCTGTTCTACAAACAGTAGATACTTAATAAATATTTGTTGTTATGAATCACTGATAGAAGCTGCCGAGCAGTCTTACCAAAGCTAATGTAATTACAAGGTTAAATGAACCAACATTCTCTGTGTTACTCTTAAATCATTTGATCATTATAATTTGTAAATATAGTTGTATTCAAAATTGAATTGAACACATAGTCATCACAGAAAGTTAAAACTAAAAATGCTAGCAGTCTAAATGAAAATGGTAATGTCAGTGCTCTCAAACCAGCAGCTGTTGAGCAATATACCCCTTAGAATATATTTTGCTTGACTGATAGGCCCACATATTGTTTTAAAGGACATAAAACTAGAGAGGTGTTGTGCTTGTATAAGCCTATAAACAACTTATCATCCACTGCCTTACAGACTGCATATGCTATGTGTACACACCTTAAAAGTCTTTGAGTTTGGAAACTCCTCCTATCTGGTTTACAAAAATGCTACTACATGTAAAACCTGCTGCTTTGTCAGCACATCTATTCAATCGTAATGTAGTCGACTAGTTTGGGAAATATCTTAGCTACTAAAAACAGGCTTTTGCATCAACTGTACAAACCATGTCTTAGTTAAAATCTCTTTTGGATAAAACAAACAGCTAATTGTTAAAGTATTTCTGGCAGTGTATTTCATAAGTGCATAAGTATATGAAGACATATATACGTGAATGTATATACATATAAATGTGTGATGCTGAGTCTCATATCTGGATAAATTATCAATTTATCTTATAATCATGTGTCTACTCCACACCTTCTCTATGGACATCAGAGGAGGATCTTCTTCATCCCATAAAATAATTTATAGGAAAATAATATCTTGTTTCAGTAGAAAAGATCAAGTAATATATTTGCCCCCATGGGAAAGAAAAAAAAACATTCCAAGCATAAGGGAACAAACACATGAATAAAGAGTCAGAAAAGTAAAATTATTGGATAAATTAGCAACTAGTATGTTGAAAGACACTGGAGGAATTGAGGCCCTCTTCAAGGCTTTGAATGGCAAGGTGGAGTTTAGACTTGATCCTGTTTCATTCCCATTTCAGTGTGTGTGTGTGTGTGTGTGTGTGTGTGTGTGTGTCGTGAATACTAAAAATATGTCCTGTTTTAGAAAGGAAAGTGATAACATTGTGTAGAATAAATTTAAGTGAGAGAGAAGCTAAAGTTAAGTAGACAAGAGAAAATGAAATTGCAATAATTCTGAGGCGAAGCTGCTGGAAGTGGAAATAGAGCAAATAGATGGATTTTGAGAGAGTATACATTTGCAGATTAAATAGAAAGAAACATAGATTCTTACTATTTAATCAAAAGTCTATTTTGAAACCAAACTTTTCAAGACCTTGGCCCCATCTCTTTGCCAATGTTTGTAGAATATTTTTTTAATGCTTAGATTGATATTTGCTTATCTGAATATGCTGGAGTTAGTTACCAGGTTAGTTAGCATTTAAATATTTATATTTTAATCATAAAATATAGCTTTAAAAAAAAATGGATGATCCTTCCAGTTTAAAGAATGACATTTCTAGAGGGGATTACATTTGGTTAAAATAATTTTTGTTTATGTGAATTGGTTTCCTCAACAAATGGCATCCCTTTGTGCTAGGCCATGAGCAGGTCACAGTGGCTAGGAGTTTTCTTCCCTCATGCAGCCTACCTTCCTTATAGATGAGGATTCTCATCATTAACTTCTAAATTACTGTTTGAGTTTTAATTAATACTTTAATTTTTATACACTGTAGATTAAAAACACCATTCCAGTGGTACTTGAATGAGATAGCAACATGAAGAAAAACTAAATAATTCAAAACTATTAGAACTCTCTCTCAAGAGCAATTGTGAACAAAGAATACAATGCCCAATGCCTGGGTATTAAAATAGCAAATTCAAAAACTCCATGGCCCTCAACAATATTCACATTGGGTTATCAATATTCTATTACTCTGTCTTTAGGAAAATTGCCTAGACTATTCCTATGATTGTTGAATTTTAGTAAAATAGTTGTTTTCCTAGGAGAAAGTTACAACAAATAAATAAACTATATTTACTTAGCTGGAGGTTGATGATGCCTATGGAATTGTAACTGCATAAAAATGTTTTAACGTTAAAATTATTGTGATGATTTAACTTTTCTTATTAACTGTTGTTTGGTGACCTTATTAGTTGTCTACATCTACGACATATGAGTGCATTATTTCATAACCTTCTGAGTGCTAAGTTTTAGATTGTTTTTTAATTAGCATTTTAATTGCTCATCAGAGTAATTGAAGACTGAGTCAGAAAATGGAGCATTTGCTATTCCTTTGGTACCTGTCAACTCTAAGTTTTCCCAAGGTCAAGTACCCTCCGGTAGTACTAATACAAGCTTGCTTTGCTTTGAAATTTTTGACATGATATGACAATGCTTCGGCTATCATTTTTGAGAGTAGGGGATTTTTCTTCCTTCTTTTTTTCTAAGTCTTTATTTTAAAAATATAGTAATTGTATTGTTATGCAGTGAAATAATTAGAGACAAATAGAATATCCCCTGTGATCTAGGTTATGTCGAATTAGGCACTTGCTACATTATTATTTTTGTTACAAAACTACTTACTGAGTGCCTTCATGTGCTTCACAAGCACTAGACTAGCAACAAGTAAGATAAAAATTCTGACTATCAAGAGAAAAGAGAGAGTGTGCGTTTGGTTCCAGAACATTGCAATAAAGGAAGTATCTTAATAAATCCAGTTGCAAAAGAAATTTTTGGTTTCTCAGTGCATATAAAAATTATGTTTACATTATACCATAGTCTGTTAAGTGTGCAGTAACATTCTGTCTGAAAAAATTACATCCTAAATTTAAAAATACTTTTTTTTTTTTGGTAAAAAATGCTGACCATCTTCTGAGCCTACAGCAAGTCATAATCTTTTTTTGTAGTGGAGGGTCTTTTCTCAATGTCGATGGCTGCTGAATGGTGAAGGTGGTAGTTGCTGAAGGTTGGGGTATCTGTGGCAATTTCTTAAAATAAAGAAACAATGCAATTTGCCACATTAATTGACTTTTCCTTTTATGAAAGATTTCTCGGTGGCATGTGATGCTGTTTGATAGCGTTTTACCCACAGTAAAACTTCTTGCAAGTTTGGAATCAATCTGCAAACTCTGCCACTGCTTTATCAACTAAGTTTATGGAATATTCTAAATCTCAAGAAATCACCTTCTTTGCTCATACGTAAGAAGCAACTTCTCATTAAAGTTTGATCCTAAGATTGCAGCAACTCAATTGTATTTTCAGGCACCACTTTTGATTCTAATTCTCTTGCTTTTTCTACCACATCTGCAGTTACTTCCCTCACTGAGCTCTTAAACTCCTCAAAATCATCCATAATGGTTGGAATGAACGTCTTGCAGACTCCTGTTAATGTTGATATTTTGGCCTCCTCCCATGAATTGCAAATGTTCTTAACGGCATCTAGAATAGTAAATCCTTTTCAGAAGGTTTTCAAAATAGTTTGTCCAGATTTATCAGAGGAATCACTATGTCAGCTATAGCCTTACAAAATGTATTTCCTAAATAATAAGACTTGAAAATAAAAATTATTCTTTGATCCATAGGTTACAGAATGAATGTTGTATTAGTAGCCCTGAAAACATTAATCTCTTTGTATATCTCCTACCAGAGCTTTTGGGTGACCAGGGACATTGTCAATGAACAGTAATATTTTGAAAGGAATCTTTTTTTCTGAGCAGAAGATATCAACAATTGGATGAAAATATCAATAAACCATGCTGTAAACAGATATGCTATCTTCCAGACTATGTGGTTCCATTTATAGAACACAGGCATAAAACTTTGAAGCTTTGAAACTAGACATTGTCTTTTTCTCTCTAGCTATGAAAGTTCTAGATGGCATCTTTTTTCCAGTATAAGGCTGTCTCCTTGACACGAAATGTCTGTTGTTTGGTGTAGCCACCTTTGTCAATTATCTTAGCCAGATATTCTGGATAACTTGCTGTAGCTTCTACATCAGCCATCAGCACTTGCTGCTTCACCTTGCACTTTTATTTTATGGAGATGGCTTCTTTCCTTAAACCTCATTAACCAGCCTCCGCTAGCTTCAAGCTTTTCTTCTGCAAGTTTTTTTTTTTCTTTTTTTTTACCTTCAGGCCTTTATAGAAATGAAGACAATTAGAACATTGGTCTGGATTAGTCTTTCATTTAGGGAATGTTGTGGTTTGCTTGATCTTTTATACAGAGCACTAAAACTTTCCTCATATCAGCAATAAGGCTGTTTCATTTTCTTATCATTCATGTCTTTACTGGAGTGGCATTTTAATTTCCTTCAAGAGCTTTTCCTTTGCATTCACAACTTGGCTAATTGTTTGGCACAAGAGGCCTAGCTTTTAACATATCTATCTTGGCTTTCAACATGCCTTTCTCACTAAGTTTAATCACTTCTAGTTTTTAATTTAAAGTGAGAGACGTGCATCTCTTCCTTTCACTGGCAAACTTAAAGGCCATTGTAGGGTTATTAATTGGCCTAATTTCAATATTGTTTTGTCTCAGGGAATAGAGAGGTCCAAGTAGAGGGAGAAAGACAAGGGAACAGCCAGTGAGTGGAGCAGTGAGAACACACATTTATCTATTATGTATGCTGTCTTATAAGGGCTTGGTTTGTGGCACCCCAAAACAATTACAATAATAAGATCAAAGATCATTGGTCCCAGATCACCATAACAGATATAATAACAATGAAAAATTTAAAACATTGTGAAAATTACTAAAATGTGACACTGAAACAGGAAGTGAGCGCATAGTGTTGAAAAAAAAGTGGCACCAATAAATTTGCCCAACACAGGGTTGCCATAGACTTTCCATATGTAAAAAATTCAATATCTGCAAAGCACAATAAAGCAAAGAGTTATAAAATGAGATATGTCTGTAATCATTTATTTTATAGACGAAACAGGGAACTGTTTACTGAAATGAAACATAAATCAAAGATGCATCTACTAAATGGATCCTAAGATGAAGCCATATAATGCCGTAGCCAAGGGCTTAAATAAGACATAAGGTTGCTGAGGTGTGAATTTGAGCATTTTGACTTACTGCTATGTGATTCTTTTTGCACCTCAGTTACCTCAATGATGTCTGTAGATAAAGGAATGTGTCTTGGAAGACGACTGTGAGAATTAAGTGAATTAATATTTATAGAGGATTTAGAACCATCCCTGGAACACTTTAGTAACTTTATTATTTTGACAGTAAACACAAGATTAGCCCAGCTTTATATCTATAGTATGAACACCAAGATTCCATGGCAAAATTTGTGTCAAAAAATGAGCATGCTTTTATCAGTCCTGAAATATTATCCAGGTTATTCTTCTTGAGTTGAGCTGCGTAGCTACTGTTTTATCAGGATGTAAAAACAATTATATTTATTTCATATACCTGTTCTTGCCCACTGGCTAATATTACATTATATCTTTACACAGAGTGTTGAGGAAACTAACATCTATATCTAGTATCTACACTTAGATAAGAAATTAACTTGGATGCCGTTTGGCTTTCAGAAAGGACTATCTATATAATTTGGATGATAAGGTAGTCACAAGCAAAATACTGAATTATTAAAGAATTGATCTGAACGCAACTAGAAAAAAAATGTTAATTGCTTGTCCAGTTTGATTATATCAACACAAGCCAAGCACCTGACAAAGTAACAGGAGATAAATGATGAATATTCCATTAGTTTGTCCCGAACAGCAGATCTGGTTTGGGGACTGCAGAAGAAGCTATTTTCGTATCTTTTTTCTAAATTCCAACTTTTGTTTTTTTCTGCTGCTCAGGCCATCAATCCCTTGTCCCTACAACGTAGTCCTCAAGATAAGTACAATATTTTTCAACATAAGCAATTAATTTTGTCTCAATCCTATGTTAGGTGTGACTTAAAGGATCTTTGGAAAACTTCACTATCTTTTTTTAGATTGATTTGTAACACGCAATCTGAATAAGTGTATTTGCTGTGCAAACATAATTTTAATATATTCTCCTGGCTCTCTTCTCCCACCTTATCACTGTTCCTAAGCTCCTTATGCCTAGAAATTCTGGAGCTGCTCTGCTGAGAATGTTATTCTGTCCATGGGAAAATATACTACAGGGATATTTTTTTCCAGCATATGTCATTTAATTGTTAGAGCTTTATTTCATTTTTCAACTTTTATAATTTAGAGATAATGCTTTATCCCATTTAATTCTTTTACCATGGATGTGATTTTGTTGTTGCTTGGATTTCTCTTGTATACTCACTTTTAGTTTTATTCTGAATCTTAATATAATATTTTGTTTGCAGTGAGACTCCTACCAACTGCATATGACTGAATATTGATTTGACCAATATAACAATACTTGTCTTATGTTAGGAGGGTTTGTTTCTCTATTTAAATTTGTTAATATGATTTATATATTTTATCTTATATCTTTCAAGTTTTTAAGTGTCCATTTGTAGAACCAGTAAAAGACAGGGCCAGGGCTTGACATTGGGTTTCCTAATGATCTTGGTGATGTTCTCTTATGTCCTTCTATTTATTTTATTTTTCAATAAATTAAAATGTGCTTTAGGCTTTACATAGCTAGAATGTAGAGTTAAGATACATAACTTTGAGTTCATCAGCATCTCCTTCTGGATTTTTACATACAGATTTGTGAGTTAGTGATTTTCTGTGAGAAAGTGCACTGGCACTAACCTCTGACCTATGAGAATTTATGACTATCCATGTCTTCTGCAGTTCATCATTTTTCCACTCTGGCAGAAGAGTGTTCTCTTCGTTTTGAGGCATTTATAGCTTCTAAAATGTATTTTCCCAGTTCATCAAGTTGATGATGGGGGAAAAGTTGCATTTCTGTGTTTAAAATCACAAGTAAAAAAACTCTTCAGTTGCTTTCTTAAAGTATTCTTTTCCTAAATTTGAAATGCCCATCATTTTGGTCCACCAAAGCTAGACCAGTATGACCATTGACAGGTTACCCACATGTACAAACAACTTTTTGTCTTCTGATGGAAACAGGATGTGTACTATTATATCAGGATTTTTTTTTCTTCCTGGTACTAGCACATGACCTAACACCCTGATGTAGGTCTAATTTACATAATGATATACCATCTCCATCCTGAAAAGGGCTTTGAGGTAAACCATCATGGACCTTTCTGTAGCCCTCGAAACACATAGTCCAGCTAGCTCAAAGTTCTATGTAAAAGGCAAATCTCCTTGCTTACCCTAACCCAGGTACTGCCAGAGCACTCTAATTTTCCTCAGATTAAAGGTTCAGTTTTCTTTTCTTCTTTTTTTTATTCTAAAGTTCACTTTTTTTAAAGATAAAAACTAAGACTCCCAGAACCTAATGTCAACCAATGTTAATCTTGATAGTTTCCTTCTACATGTTCTGATCATATATATACACTTATATGTTCTGTATATTCAGTAAGATAAATTGCTGTCAGTAGATATATACATATATATATATATATATATATAAAACAAAATTGTAAGCTCATAAAATTAAAGTTAGCATAAGCATTCAGGAAGACATTCCTATGGAGAGAGTCCAGATAAGAAATGGTGAATATCGATTCAAGTCAACATGGATTATCTCACCATATACTGTGTACTCAGCACTGTACTAGCACCATGGAGATAAAACAAAACAGTTGATTTTCTTTCAAAAATTTCAATGCAAAGTATTGACGCAAGGAAGCCCTTATTAGTGAGAATATATGAAACTACTGCTTAAAAGATTCTATGTTTATGATGTGGTATACTATCATAAAACTTACTACATAATGACGATATGACACCTTCATGCATATAGAGGGGTGTGGGGAGGGGATGTTTTGTAAAAGAATACTTACTTCTGAGGTTAGTCACATAGAGACAAATTCTGTGTCTCAGGCAGAAAGCAAGACTTTTAAAGGGTTGACCTTGGTGGGATACAATTTGGAGATTTTTCTTTCGTTATCTGAACCATAGTATTAGCATAATTTCTCAAAAGGCATTCATGGGGGCTGTATCTTGAGATAGAATATCTAAAATGGTGGTGATATAATAGATTTGAACGTTATAAAGTAGGTAATTTGAGTTTTGTGTATTAACCTCTTATCAACCAGCTATCAAATGGCATTAAAATCTTGCATCCACTTAGGGTTTAGTATATATCTTTGAAATATTTCACTCTGCCTCATTAGTGTTTAGGGAAGTCTAGTGTAGGGTTTTTTGTTAATTTTGTTCTTGTTTACATTAGAGCTATAGGAAAGGAGAACTCTAGAGCTAGAATAGAGGTGAAGGTGGCAAAGGAAGAGAATCTCCAGGATCAGCTTTTTTTTTTTTATTTCTTGGAGATTTTCTTTTCAGGAATAAAAGTTGGAGATGCTGAATTAAATTTTCTTAAACACACACACACACACACTCTCTCTCTCTCTCTCTCTCTCTCTCTCTCTCTCTCTCTCTCTCTCTCTCTCTCTCTCAGATGCACGATTGGGAACAAAATAACAGGGACTTTGTCCCCAGAGCTTACATTTTACTGTGAGAAACAAATGGTAAATAAATAGCCCAACAGTTACTTAATTATAAATTGAAATGAATGCTGTGAAGGAAAAGGTTAGAGAGCAAGTGATGCAAATCAGCCTCATTTATTTCAGGAGATCAAGGAATTCTTATCTGATAAAATGACATTTCAGCTGAGGCTTGACAGATGAGTAGGATTTTTAACTAGGCAAAGAATAGAAGACAGAATATTCCCGGAAGAGGAAACAACACATTTAAAGGATTTGAGGTGAGACAGATACCATGGATTAGATTAGCTGATGAAAACCCAAGCAACTTGGAAGTCCCAACTAAAAGAAGAACAGAGTGAGATAGGGTTAAGCACATAGACAGGTGTGTTAGTTTCTTGTGGCTTTTTAAACAAAGTACCTTACAGGTGGCTTAGAAAAACAGAAATTTGTTCTCTCACATTTCTGGAGGCTGGAAGTTGGAAATTACGGTGTTGGCGGGTCCATGCCCTTGCTCCTAGCTTTGGGGGGCTGCTAGCAATACTTGCCATTCCTTGACTTGCAGCTGCATGACCTCAATCTCTGCTACCATCTTCCCTCTGCATGTCTGTTTCTTCACATAGCATTCTCCTCTATGTGTTTCTGTCTCTGTGTCTTCTCTACTTACAAGGACATCAGCATATTGGATTAAGGACCCACCCGTTCCAGTATGCTCTCATCATAATATGCATTTTAATTAAATATGCAAAGACCCTATTTCCACAGACGATCATATGCACAAATTCCAGAGGTTAGTGCTTTAGCTTAGCTTTGGGGATATATTAATAATTCTACCTACAACAGCAGGGTCCATAAGTCCTCATGAGAAAATTATTGTTTTATTCAGTAAAAAGCCATTAAAATGGTTTAAGGAGAGAAATTCTGTGATCAGACATATTTTGTACTATATAATTCCATTCACAAAACAAATTGGAAACAATAAAACCATTAGGGGAAAAATCAATCCAGTAGTTAGTTGTCAATAGTTAAAAGTAGGGGTTTGGGCAAAGATTTCATGACAAAAATGCCAAAAGCAGTTGCAACAAAAGCCAAAATTGACAAATGGGATCTAATTAAAAGAGCTTCTGTACAGCAATAGAAACTATCATGAGAGTGAACAGGCAACCTACAGAATGGGAGAAAGTTTTTGCAGTCTACACACCTGACAAAGGATTAATATCCAGGATTTACAAGCAACTTAAACATATTTACAAGAAAATGACAACCTCATCAAAAATTGGACAAAAGATATGAACAGACACTTCTCAAAGGTAGACATTTATATGGCCAAAAAAATGTGGAAAAAAAGCTCAGCATCACTGATTATCAGAGAAATGCAAATCAAAACCACAGTGAGATACCATCTCATACCAGTCAGAATGGCAATTATTAAAAAGTCAGGAAACAGTAGATGCTGGTGAGGCTATGGATAAATAAGAACGCTTTTACACTGTTGGTGGGAATGTAAATTAGTTCAACCATTGTGGAAGACAGTGTGGTGATTCCTCAAGGATCTAGAGTCAGAAATACCATTTGAGCCAGCAATCCCATTACTAGATACATACCCAAAGGAATATAAATCATTCTACTCTACAGACACATGCACATGTATGTTTACTGCAGCACTATTTACAATAGCAAAGACATGAAACCAACCCAAATGCCCATCAATGATAGACTGGATAAAGAAAATATGGTACATATACACCATGGAATACTATGCAGCCATAAAAAGGAATGAGATCATGTTCTTTGCAGGTACATGGATGAAGCTGAAAGCCATCCTCCTAAGCAAACTAACACAGGAACAGAAAACCAAACACCACATGTTCTCACTCATAAGTGAGAGTTGAACATTGAGGACACATGGACAGAGACGGGAATAACACACACTGTGGCCTGTTGCGGGGTGGGGGTGAGGGGAGGGAACTTAGAGGACAGGTCAATAGGTACAGCAAGCCACCATGGCACATATATACCTGTGTAACAAACCTGCACATTCTGCACATGTATCCCATTATTTTTTAGAAGACATAAGGAAATAAAAAACAGTAGGGGTTTAGGATGGAGTACAAAGGGGCACTAGACAATTTGAGGGATGGAAGTAAATATTCTATATCTTGATTGTAATAGGTTTGTAAATGCTTATAGATGTGTACTCCTAAAAAGGGTAAATTTTACAGCATATAAATTGCACCTCAATATCAAAGAAATAATGAGAATGAACCCAGTTTCAACCCGAAAATGGTCTAGTTAAGAAAATTTTGCTACTTAGCTTAGGGTGGCAACAAGCTCCTAGCATTCACCACCACGCAGAGTCACCTGCATTGGAATCTGGTATTAATCTGTCAGCTCATTCCCACTGTGGCAGTTTGCTGAAAATAGCTTTTGGTAGCAAGAGAGGTGAAGAAAGGGGTTCCAAACCTGGAGCATATGCCAAAGGAGTGCCTTTGTAGAGGTTAAGGGGCCTTGGTATCAACAATAGAGAAGACAGGAATTGCACAGATTTCTCAAGAGTTTCTTCTGCTCAAAATAATCAAGGAGAAATAAAATGAAGATGCCGACAAAGGAAAATAAAAAGCTGAAATGAGAGTCCCACTGTCCTATTACGAGTTGTAAGTCAACCTGCTGGGTTGTGCTGAAGAGAAATTGGAGACTGCAGGGAGTAGTCTCCCCCATCCCCATCCCTGGTGGTTGTCAAAAAGTAGCTGGAGAAATCTACACTTCTGTAGCTGTGTTTTGCAATTTAAATTCTCTAAGAAAGATTTTGGTGCTGATCTAGAAGTGTTTAATTGACAAAAAGAGAAAAGAAACTTGCAAAAACAAGATGCTCTAGAACACGTGAATGTAAGCATTATTTTTTCTAATTGTAGTCACTTAAGCTAATAGTATATTTTATTTGGGGCAGGGAAGATTTTTCTAACTTATTTTGGTTAAAAAGAAAATATTATTTTTAAATTTGCAGTCTTAATGGGAGAAATAAATAACTAGCATATTTTCAATTTATTTTATTGCCCCTGGTCCATGGAATAAACTAATCTTTGAGAAAACATTGTAGAAATAATGTTGAGCCCATGGGATGGATTATCATCTTGAAGACCATTTCTATTAAGAACAAACATACTAAGGACGCATTAAAAATCCCTAGCAACTTCAGACCTCAGCATAATAAAAATCCAGAGCTTAATTATAGTTCTGTGAATTAATAAATAAGTGATCTTGTGCAAGTTAATATAGCTCTCTTAGATCAGATATCCTCTGTGTATTTTGCCATATGTTTTATATATTATATATACCCAAATTATTAATATATATTATATATATTCTGATTAATAATTTGAGTATAAAGATTATTCTATATAGAGCACTTAATAATGTCTCCCAGCTTTTCTTTCCCAATCTTTCTCTCCCTTACTTTTCTCCATAGTAGTATTATATAGCACATAATATTGTGTATTTTTCCTATCTCTCTAAAACAGAGTGTAAGAACCATGAGGAGAATAATATATTTACTGCTATAACCTCGGTCTCTAGATCAATGCCTGGTAATTGACACTGATTAAACAATTGTTCAATTAATGAACAAATGGACAAATGATTATTAGCAATAATACTATCCTCTTTCCGTGGTCAGTAGTATGTAAGATAACAAAGTGTGAAGTTTCTCAGCATTGCAATTTTGTAGATGTTCCTTGGATATAATCAAAGGCTTTGCCTTAGGTAAAAGTGAAAATAAAAGCTTCACAACCTTGAATTGGATGAAAACTTGTCCATGCCTAATCAAATGAATATAACAGAAATAAAAGATATCAGTAACTGAGAAGTGGTTGCAAAGCCTCTGATAGCATCCTGACCCAAATGTTTGTTCAACTACTTTACTTTGGACATTGCCTAATCCTCCAAAATATAAAGATATTTGTGAATAATGGAATAAGAACTTGTGAAATAATTTTATTTTTGCTCTTGTTCACCATAAGAAAGAAACAAGTCCTTAGTATCGGACAGAGTGAAATGCTCTCTTGATTTCAAATTCAGTCTCAGGTATCAACTGATCCTACCCCTGGAGAAAAAAATAAAAATACTTTACTCATTCATTGTTTTGATTGATATACACTAAAAAATTATCCGAGTTGTATGAGTTTGGCATTTCTGAAAATCCTTCCAATTCCTTCAAAAATGGCCACAATTTATTGGTATGTTTAATTAAATGGCACCTAATGATGCCATTTCTGGAGACTGTTAGGGGCAGGTGTCTCCTCTGGAAGAAAATCAATTCAGAGGACAAAAAATGTAATTCTGGTAATTTTCAAATCTTTCAGAGTCGAGTGAGCTAGTACAGGGAACACAGGGATTTAACCTCTGATTCTCCAGGCTGAAAACCTCTCTGTGTTCACTCATGATTATTGAAGCAAATACCCAGAGTATGGCCTTGACATCTCATGGCTGAACTGGACCTGCATCCTCTAGGATTCACTACTGGTACAACGCTCTAATAATTCCACCTGAGTGTCATGTTGCTATGAAAAGGACAATGTAAAGGACTAAAGACATTTGTAGCAAATAAGATCGCAAAAGGGAAAACATCTGTTCAAAGGCCTATTGTTTATTTGTGGTTGGGAAAGTAATTAAATCAGATTCTGTTCTTCCTTATCTGTTTTACTCTTCCTTATTAGTTACACAGTATATAAGATATATTACTTTAGAAATGCATGCTGTTGTTTTTTTCATTCTCATAGGCATCCCTGCTACCATGGTCTTTTTCCTTGGTAGTGCCACTCTCCTGTCATATAGTTTTCCAAAAATATTATCTTCACTCTTGCCTAAAGGGAATTGAGATACAGAAATGCATTAAACCCTTATGTGATTTCTTCTTATTTTTTTAGAAGAAACTGTCCTGAAGAGAATGCTATGGGCTAATCATTTTTTTTTTCTATACTAAGACAAATGTGTGTTGATTTGTTTAGATCTCTTTGCATTTATACAAATCATTTTCCATTTACTGCTTTCCTCCTTTTTTTCTTTGAAAATATAGATTGAGTTTGCACTCCAGCTACATATTCTTGATACTTTTTGTTGTTGTTGTTGTTTTTTGAGACGGAGTCGGAGTCTCGCTCTGCAGCTCGCCCGGGCTGGAGTGCAGTGGCGCGATCTCGGCTCACTGCAAGCTCCGCCTCCCGAGTTCACGCCATTCTCCTGCCTCAGCCTGGGACTATAGGCTCCCGCCACCACGCCCGGATAAATTTTTTTTTTCTTGTTTTTAAAGGAGAGATACTCCAGGTCCATGTATGCTGTTGCAAACAAGAAAGTTTCTGAGCACTACTGGTTTTAAAATTGCAAGAGGATCTCCCCCAAAATTTAATTTTCCACTTTGACGCATTTGATATTTTTTTCCAAATTTAAATTATATGAGTACCTCAGATCACTCCCTTAAAACACAGCTGCATGTCCTCACTGACATAAATACCTACAGATTATCAGGCCCGGCTCAGTGGCTCACGCCTGTAATCCTAGCACTTTGGGAGGCCTAGGCAGGTGGATCACCTGAGGTCAGGAGTTCAAAACCAGACTGACCAACATGGTGAAACCCTGTGTCTCCTAAAAATACAGACTGGTGTGTGCCTATAATCCCAGCTACTCAGGAGGCTGAGGCAGGAGAATTGCTTGAACTCAAGAGGTAGAAGTTGCAGTGAGCTAAGACTGTGCCACCACACTCCAGCCTGGGCAACAGAGCAAGACCCTGTCTCAAAAAAATTAAACATTAACAAAATTTTAAAATATATAAATAAATACCTACAGACTGTATAAAAAGGTCTTTCAATAACATTATTACATCTTTGTTATTGACAGTAAGTAAAATATAATAGTGTGATTGTAAATAAAATATAATATTTTAAATCTAAGAGAGTTGGTGGACTCCTAAAATGTTCATTCTACATTAGCCATTAGAAAAAAATTAGTACATTTAAACTAGAGAATGTTCAGATATGAGCATTTTTTCTGGCTTAGAAACTAGCTAGATTATCGTCCCAGTCTATTGTACTGCATGACAGTGCACATTTAGTCCTAAGTCATTTAAAATTTCTTCACTTTACTAAAATAAATTGCTCGTAATCTTTTGGTGGGTTGTGCACTGGACTTTGAGTCAGAAAATTGAAATGGTAATTGAATGTTGGCCCTGCCCTTGTGCTAGTTACGTGTCTACATCCGAGTTTCCTCAACTAAAAATGAAAACGATCTTTTTATCTAGGGTAACCAATGCATTCATTACCCCAGGACTTCTCTGGCTTCAGCCCTGAAAGTCCCACCGAGGAGACTGATCCCCCTCCATCCCAGGCAAACCAGAATGATTATTTACCTTACACTTTGCCCTGGTCCACAGACTTGTGGGAGGATAAGTATATTAGACAGCCCTTTTTGAACAAGGATAGTCCCTTCATCTAGAAGGGATTAAATACGTATTTGGCAGGCTTATTGTCAAAGTATGTTTATGAAATGTGTGGGCCTCCAGGTTTATCTTCCATTATAACCAACTATGTTTTCTACAACATCATGGTATCCAATAAAAACCTGTAAAAATCTTGGCTCAGAAAAAAAAAAAAAAACTGCAATAGAAAAAAATAATCTGTACTGTGATCAACAACACACATGCACTGTGCTCTTGGTACCATTTATTGCTTCCTATTTTAGGCAGACCCACCTCACTATGGAGGAGGAGATTCTTTGGAGGCAACTAGACCTGGGTTGGAATTTCTGGCCTGCTACTGCCAAGGTCAATAACCTTGAGAAATTTACTTATACCTTATATAATCCCAGTATTCATATGTGTACCCACCGAAATTCACACATTGAAATACTAACCTCCAAGGTGATGGCATTAGAAAATGGGGCTTTGGGGAGAAGATTGAATCATGAGGGTGAAGTCATCATAAGTGAGATTAATGCCTTTAGGAAAGAGGCCCCAGAGAGCTTCCTTGCCCCTTCCACCATGCATAGATGAAGCAAGAAGGTGCTGATATGGTTTGGATCTGGGTCTCCACACAAATCTCATGTCAAGTTGTAATCCCCAGTGTTGGAGGTGGGGCCTGGTGAAAGGCGACGCGGTCATGGGGGTGGATCCCTCATGGCTTGGTGCTGTCCTCACAATAGTGAATGAGTTCTCTCAAGATCTGGTTGTTTAAAAGTGTGTAGCACCTCCATCTCTCTCCCTCTTGTTCTGGCCTGCTTCCCCTTCACCTTCCAACATGAGTGTAAGTTTCTTGAGGCTTCCCCAGTCATACTTACTGTAGAGTTTGCAGAACTGTAAGCCAACTAAATTTCTTTTCTTTATAAATCACCCAGTCTCAGGTATTTCTTTATAGCAGTGTGAGAACGGACTAATACAGGCATCATCTATGAGACACCAGACAGTGATCTTACTGACACCTTGATCTTGGACTTCTCAGCCTCTAAAACTATAAGAAATATGTTTTTCTTCTTTATAAACCACCCAGTTTATGATATGGTTATTATAGCACCCCAAACAGACTATGACACAATATTTAGTAAAAATTCAGGGTTTTTTCTTTGAAGACTGTAAGACAGTGTCTATAAGGAACATACGTCAGCGCTAGCCTCACAGATTAGTTTTATCAAAAAGATGTCTATGTATTCATATTATCATTAATAATTGGGAGAACAGAAAGCCAGTCATTGATATTTGTAGTAGTTAAGCAGTGAAATTTACAGCTCAAAGGAGAACTCAAGTCACTGATAAGAAAAAAATAAATGCCCAAAATTAAAAACGTGCCATTTTAAAGCTAAGTAAAGACACAGGTTAAAAGCAGTGGATACAATGAGTAACTAGATGTTAAAAGTGAGTCCACGGATTCAGTTAAGCTCAATAGCTCAATTGCTAGGCACTGAATGGTTTGCCTGCTTTTTCAGTTGAATTTCACTGGGCAATCTTACGTGAATTCCTGTCCCCAAAGGAACTATGTGACTCTGTAATTACCATTTTCACCTACATTGTCTTCCTTAAAACAATCCTGTGAATTATGTATTAAGTGCACAAAGTGAAGAGACAACTCACAGAATCTTCAGAAATATGGGTGAACTATCCATATGAAAAAAGATTATTAACCAGAGTATATAAGGAGCTCAAACTCAATAGGAAAAAAAATCTGATTTTAAAATGGGCAAAAGGTCTGAATAGACAATTCTTAAAAGAACACATACAGATGGCCAATAGGTATATGAGAAAATGTTCAGTACCACAAATCATCGGAGAAATGCCAATTCAAACCACAAAGAGATATCATCTCACCCCAGTTAAAATGTCTTCTATAAAAAAAGAGACAAGGAATAATGGATACTGGTGAGAATGTAGAGAAAAAAGAACACTCATACACTATGGTGAAAATGTAAATTAGTTCAGCCGCTATGTAAAACTCTATGGAGGTTCTTCAAAAATCTAAAAATAGAACTACCATGTGATGTAGCAATTTCACTACTGGGCATATATTCAAAAGAAAGGAAATATAGATACTGAAGGGATATCTGCACTCCAACCTTTATTGCAGCACTAATCACAATAGCCAAAATATGGAATCAGTGTAAGTCCTAATCAGTGGATGAATGGATAAAGAAAATGTGATATATATATACACAATTGAATATTATTTGGCCATAAAAAAGAATAAAATATTTTCATTTTCTGCAACATGGATGGAACTGGATATCATGATATTAAGTGAAATAAGCCAAGCACAGAATAACAAATATAACATATTCTCACTCTTATGTGCCAACTAAAAAAGTATATCTTATGGAGAGAGAGTAAACTGGTGGTTAACAGAGGCTGAGAAGGGTAGGGGAAAGAAGAGGATAAAGAAAGATTAATTAATGGGTATAGCTATAGAGTTTGATCAAATAAATAAGAGCTACTATTTGACAGACCAGTAGAGTGACTGTAGTTTACAGTAATCTATTGTACATTTCAAAATAGGTAGAAGAGAATAATTAGAATGTTTCTAGCATAAAGAAAGTATGAATATTTATGATGATGGATATCCCAAGAACGCTGATCTTTACAAATTATAGGATTATATTTAATTATCCCATGTCCCTGAAAAAATATACACATCTATTAAGTATCAATAAAAAAAAAAACCCAGGAGGCAAAGGTTGCAGTGAGCCAAGATCACACCACTGCACTCCAGCCTGGGTGACAGAGTAAGACTCCATCTCAAAAATACATGTAACATAATATAATATAATATAATATAATATATAACATAGAATGATTTTTTTTTTAATTTTAAGTGCAAACTAGAGATTTTCAGGAATTAATGACCCACAAAGGCTACATAGCTTGTAAATGATGGAGTCTAGATAGAAACCCGGGCTTAGTGACTCCATAACCATTACTTCACTCACTATGTCTCAGGGGGCAATTTGGAGTACGTGGCCAGTTGCCCTGAGACACTAGAAATGTACCCATGTTGCATAATATTTCTATAATAACCATACACCCTTTGTTAAAGGGCAGGTTAAGAGCAAGTACTGTTTTATCTTTTCAAACTAACACGATTTTATTTACTTTATAGTGCAAATAACAAAAACAGAAAATAAAGTAGAATAAAAGTTGCAGAATCCATTTTAATAATTTTCATTGGATTGAAAGACCCAACCAGCTACAAAACACTAGAACAATTAGTATTCATATTTAGCTGACCATTAGCAGAAGATGTACTATATATTTGATCCATTTTTATTCATATCTGAAGAAAGCCTAATCTTGGAGTTTCAGATTAACTTGAAAAAAATAACATTATAGTGAATAATGGTGTTAGCCCCCATTAGGTAAATATCTATGAAGTAGTAGTGATAATGATGATGATGGTGATGATCATGAAAACAACAGCAACATTAATAAAAATTTGTTGTATATCATGTTATATAGTTTACAATTCAACTTCAGATATTTCCTCTGGTTGGATATCTATGGAATAGGAGCGATGTAAATTGTAGTTATAGTTTATAAAATGTAGTTACTCTTATAGTGTATATACCCAAAGAGGTCAAATGACTTGTTCAAGCCAGTAACAGCCAGACAGAGGGCTGAAACATTAGACTTCTAATTGTCCATTTTATGTTATTTTTATGAGACCTTCCTTTGGGCTCCAATATTTTCAATCCTTACATCTGACAAAGTAAGAGCATCCAAGACTCATTTGGCAAGTTTATGTTTCATTTCCAAGAGTCAACCTGTTACTGAATTTGCAATATGTTCACTGGATTCCTGCACAGGTAGCAGCCACAGACATAGCCATGTGCTGATAGCAATGGGGCAGGAAAGTCCTGATTCTCAGTGGAGGACTCAACTCTTAAGGAAGTTGCCACCATTTATTTACTTTCTAATCTCTCTCAAAAATATGATTTCACTTGCTTAGCCTAGACTGAGCCACAGTATGGCCAACATAGGACCTTATAAAGCAGTAGTTAAGCCTCTTTTGGAGAACTTCTCAGGCACAGCATTGTTTCACAGCATGTTATCCTTCTGGCTACATCCTTTGTTGCCAAGTCAACTCCACTTTCTTGCTCTATTTACACAAAATTATCCAAGGGCTTTGCCTGTGTATAAAAGTATTCTCAGTTCAGCATTTGAATGCCTGGTATATTTTCACTGCTTATTTTAAGATGCTATGTTTTAAAATGATTTTTTTAATCTAAACAGAAAACGCGAATTATGAAAGCAAGATGACATCATAAAATTCATTTAATTTAAAAAACAAAGTACTCAAAAGACTGCATGGCCTAGAAAGGCAGCAAAGGTGACTAACAAGTATCAACTGGATATTGGAATTGTGTTAATTTCCTAGAGCTGCTATAACAAAGTACCAAATACTGGGTGGCTTAAAATAACATAAATGTGTTATTTCAAGTTTCTGGAGGTTAGAAGTCTGTAATCACGTGTCATTAGGGCCATGCTTTCTCTGACAGCTTTGGGGAACATCCTTCCTTGACTCTTCTAGCTTCTGGTGTTTGCTGACAATTTTTGGCATTCTTTGTCTTATAGTCACATGACTTTCTCCCTCTGTGTCTTCACATCATCTTGCCTCTTTGCATTTCTGTCTCTGTGTCAAAATTCCCCCCTTTTTATTTAGACACCACTTAGTGAATTAGAGTCCACCCTAATGGCCTCATTATAAATTGATTACGTTTGTTAAAACCTTATTTCTATACAAATTCACATTTTGAAGTCCTGGGGATTAGGACTACTTCAACATATCTTTTTTGGGGGAACACAATTCAACCCATAATAGAGATAAACTGGAAAATGTGTAGCCTCTCCAAAAGGGTAGTAGTCACCCAGTTATAGTCTATGGCTCTGATCTGAAACTTTCTGATTTTTTAAAGAGAAACTATGTATTTTATGCAAAATATATGTAAGTGATTCAGCTTGTTTTATGATAGCTAAACTAAGCATGCCTGAGGGTCTGACTGAGGCTTCTGCAGGCACCCAGATTCTCTGATTTTTTTTTCTTGAATTTGTCAATTTATACATGAGAACTATAACCTCAATAGGCTATATGATTTGCCTGTGGCTACACAACTGTTAATGGGAGAGCAAAGCTCACAACCTCTTGCTCCTAATTTTGTTTTCTTCGAACAAAACATCAGTGTCTCTAATCCATTCTTGCTTCATTCGCTGTCAGTCTTCTTTTCAGCATTTAGTTACCATCTCAGATCCAATATGTTTAGAGAATTCTTTCTTTAACTTCTTCCCTAATTTTACTAGATAATGATACTCGAAAAATTTACACACATTGTTTTGGATATATATATTCAAAACATATATATATATTCAAAATATATATGTTTTAAACATTTTGAATAAATATATTCAAAACAATGTCAAATTTACTACATATATCAGAAAATATGTGTGTGTGATCAAAACAAAGAAGCTATTTAGCTTTCCAAATATCTATCTAAATCAGATAAATTTAAAAAGAATTCTTCTCTTGCTATTTGGCTATACCATTTTTCTTTCTTTCAATGTCTTTAAAAGTTGGCGTTATCTTTCATATAAATTTTTAAATTCTACTTTCTGTTGAGATTTTCCCCTTTTTAAAAATAGTTCAATTGAAGAAGACACAAATGCATAATTTATATCATTAAAAAGGCAAATCATACCCAGAATTAGTATCCTGAGGTTACTGTGAAGAGGATTTGGAAATGATGGGGGAGCCATAAAGGAGTTTTTGAATCTTAATGCCTCCAATTAAAAATAAAATAAAAAGGAACTAGGGCAGAAAAACCCAATACTTAAGAAAATTTACCACCCAACTAAGTGACAAACTAGACTCCAAATCCTAAATACAAGTTGGTATAAGTAAACCACTGGCAGATACAAAACCTCTGTGGTGTCTTCAAGGTGGGAGGAAGGAAAGGATGATAATAGCATATCTGTTAATGGTGCTGAGATTAGGAAAACCACTCAAACTCATCACAAAAGACTCTTTGGAAACATGGTGGGCCAACCTGAGAACAGCAGTTAAAACTGAGAAGGAGGTCTGCAGAATACAAGTGTGAGTGAGTGGACCATGATGGAATCAGTATGGGCTGTAAATTCTGAAAATTCAACAAATCGAACTAGCTCTCTTTAGTATCAATCTGTTACCAGATTACTGTGTACCCTGTAGCAAATTTTCTATGAACTTGCAAGGAAGAGTGGTAGGCGTTAAAGTCAGAGAGACGGGGGACAGATAATGTAGGGTTTTGTAGGCCAGTTAAAGAGTTAGGGTGGTTCTAAATGTAATGGAACAATGTTAGAGGATTTTAGGCAAGAAGTAACATTTATGTCTAAAAACATCACTTTACCTGTTGTATGTGGTATGGATTGTAGAGAAAGCAAAGAAGAAGAAAAGCATTTGAGGCAAAAGTCTAGGGAAGAGGCTGGTGGCTTGGAATTGGGTATGATTACTGAAAAGACACTCAAGTGGGCTACTCTTAGGTATGTTTTGGCAATAGTACTTGCTAATTGATTGGAAATGAAGTATGAAAGAATATGGAATATTGGAATACGAAAGAAAATGGAAGAATATGGAATACTGGGATATGAAAGAAAATGGAATATGAAAGAATAAGATGGAGATTGGATTTAAGTAACAAGATGGATAGTGCTGCTAATTATTGGAACCAGAAAGTCATCATCAGAGTAGGCTTTGGGAAGTAGGCGGACAGACACTAAGCATTCTGTAATAGCTGTATTAAGTTGGATATGAACCTTGAGTTCAGGAAGAGATTATGACTAGATGTCTAAATTTCAGAGTAATCAACACATAGATGGGTTAAATATTTTGTTTTTACACAAAATGGTGACAATGGCTAAATAATGTTCTACATTTTTAAAAATCTATTTAGAAAGCCTTTTTAAAAACAATATCACCATTATACATCACCTG
Source organism: Homo sapiens (assembly GCF_000001405.40). Lineage (NCBI taxonomy): Eukaryota > Metazoa > Chordata > Mammalia > Primates > Hominidae > Homo > Homo sapiens. The sequence goes on along the minus strand of NC_000011.10, from coordinate 41,007,642 downwards.
TTCAATGACATCATGGATTTGCCTTGTATTCTGCTGATGGACACTTACTTGGCTACCACGGTCATCTTTGTACATATATCTCTGCATATGTGTGGGTGTTCATCTATAGGAGAAATTCCTAGAAGTGGTATTGCTACATTCAAACATATGTGCATTAAAATTTTGATAGATATTGCCAAATACTCTCCAGAACAATATATAAAAATGTCTGTTTCCTCACATTCTTGCCAAATTGTATAATCCTTGGCAATCTGAAAAGTTTAAAAAAAAAAGAAAGCATTTTTGTTGTTTAATTTGCATTTTACAGAATAATTAGTGAGTTTGAGCATCTATTCATATGGTTTTAAGCTATTTCAATGTCCTTTTCTGTAAATTAAACTGCCTGTTTATCCTTTGCCTATTTTTCCATTGAGCTATTGTTTTTTTCTAGATTTTTGATTCTCTCTCGATGGAACGTAATATAAATATTTTCTAGATTTTTACTTGTTTTTGAACTTTTGCATTTTTTGGCAACAGGGTTTTTGAAACATATTTTTAAATGTAAGTTTGTGACTAATGTGATCATAGTCATCTATTCAAAATGACAACACTAGAGATGAAGTTATGAAAGTGGTAGGAGTTAATATATTCAGCTCTCATTCTACTGATTTGCTCAGTGCCTTTGGGGCAATCATTTAATCATATGCTTTCGTTTCTACCTTGTAAGATGAAAAATCACAATCTTTTTCTTACCTTTGAGGATTTCTTTAAGAAGAAATCTATGAATAAATATAAAAACACTATTCTGGATGTTAAATACTGTGAAAATATGAATTTGTGCATGTTAGGTAGGTTTGATAACATTGAATATAAGACATTGCAAAATACAAAGAATTTCCAGTGTTATTTAATCCTTGAAGCTTTTTCTTTCTCTAGTCTCTCTCTTTTGGTCTTTCTACTTTTCCCCCTTCTTTTTCTCTGCCTCTTCTTTCTCCTTTTCCTTTATTGTCTTGTTACATGGGACAATATTTCTATTTGCCATTATTCTGATGGAGAACTGAAATACACACTAAGCTAGACAAATATGTAAGATTATAAAGAAAATGAAGGCCTAGTCATCACTAGAGGCTCTGTCCTCTGTGTCCTTTTCAAATGACATCTGCTTGAAAGTTAAACATGCTAATGAATTATGGTAGCTAATTGGGGAGTGGCCAATAGAGATGAATAGATGAGAGATGTATTCCTAACTTTGTGAAATGGCCAAATTATGTGGTTGCCACAGCACTGGGGTAAGACTCTGCAACTCTGACAGCCAGCTCAAATTATCTTACTAACTAGCTTTAGATTAGTGATTTATAAAGCTGTCTTCTTATAAAATAAATGTTACAGCAATTACTTAATTTAAAACTGAAGCAATCAGAAGAATGTAGCTGTTTGAATGAGTGAAAAAGTAAACTCACATTGGGATTATGAATGACACACTCAGTCATAGCTTTCATGGATGCATAAAAACCAAATATGTCAACACCACTAAATTTTGCAGAATGCTTAAAGCATTTTTTTGTGTGTGAAACATATGTTGAAAATTCTTCTTCTAATTGTTTTTCAAAATTTTCTGGCTAAGATATAAAATTGTGTGACTAGTTTACTTTAAATAACTGAGAAGGAAGGAAGGAAGAGAGGAAGGGAGGAAGGGAGAAAGGGAGGGAGGGAGGAAATTTCACAGTCCAGTCTCTACTCTGTACCTGAAGGGACCAGGAAACATTATTAAGAAGTGTTTTCTCTCACACTAGGAAATGTATCTGTGTTAGTCTGTTTGTGTTGCCATAAAGGAATACTTGAGACTGGGCAATTTATTTTAAAAAGTTTATTTGGCTAGTTCTTCTGCAGGCTGTACACTAAATATAGTACAAATATCTGCTTCTAGTGAGGGCCTCAGGAAACTTGCAATAATGGCAGGAGGCAAAGGGAAGCCAGCAGGTCACATTGCGAGAGAGAGAGAGCAAGACAGAGAGTGAGAGGCGCCAGGGGCAGCTTTTTTTATTTTTATTTTTATTTTTGAGATGGAGTCTCACTCTGTCACCCAGGCTGGAGTGCAGTGGCATGATATCGGCTCACTGCAACCTCCACCTCCCGGGTTCAAGCAATTCTCTTGCCTCAGCCTCCCGAGCAGCTGGGATTACAGGCATGTGCCACCACGCCCGGCTAATTTTTGTATTTTTAGTAGAGACTGGGTGTCACTATGTTGCTCAGGCTGGTCTCAAACTCCTGATCTTAAGCGATCCACCCACCTTGGCCTCCCAAAGTGCTGGGATTATAGGCATGAGCCATCACGCCCAGCCAGGGGCGGCTCCTTTTTAAACAACCAGATCTTGCATGAACTTGTTACTGAAGGGAGGGTACTTCATGAGGCATCTGCCCCCATGCTTCAAACACCTCCCACCAGGCCCCACTTCCAACACTGGGGATTACATTTCAACATGAGATTTGGAGGGGATAAATGTCCAAACCATATCAGTAGGCATATGATGTGCATGTGAATCTATAAATACAAACATCACATCAGGGGGAGGGAGGTGCCAGCCAGATTTCTAACACTCATTTTAAGTGGTTTCATGTTATCTGACTGACTATAGAATCCTGAATTCTGTAATAATTATAATAATAATAATGAAAGTTATAAAAACAACAACAGAAAAACTGAAGAACTAAGCTGATTTTCCCAGCATTTTTTTCTGTTTTCTAACCATCTTTTAGCATCCATGATAGTTAGGATTGCATGGTTAAAATGCCACGTGATTTTAATAAGAGCCATTGGTAGTGTATACCTCCGGGGCTTCAAAATTCATACATTTAATTCTCTGTTTAATTTTTTTTTTCTGTGACACAGCCTCAGGAGGTCCTGAGAACATGTGCCCCCTCTGCTTTATTTTGTCAAGAAATACACAAAGTAATTTATGTGAATGAACACTGATGCATTCATCCATTCACTCATTGTTTACCTACAATAAGTCAACTACTGTGCTATGTAGGTCATGGTGATGTGAAATTGAATAAAGCATAGAGCATTCTCTAGAAGAATATATCATCTAAGAAAAGAGATAGTTACATACGTAAATTTTTACATTTAAGGCAATCAATCTAATGTGTTAGATGGTAGCATTTTTATTCTTTTAGCCTATTTTAGGAATCATGCATTTTTGTAGAAATTTTAACCCTTTCTCATGTATCTCTGGCATGGTGGTGTGACAGGGCAGAGGGAAAAAGATGGATGCTGATAATGTTGATGTACTTCCTACCAACCAAAAAAAGACAGATGGTCTTGTTATAGCAAAAGTTCAGGAAAGATGGAAGGCAGGTCATAATGAAAACTAGCAACAGATACAGGGGCCATTAAATTTGATGCTTGTAACATTGCTTGCTATGAATTTGAAACTGCCTAAGACCGGGAGTAAGTCTTGAGGACATTGAAAAGAGGACATTGCTAAATGTGACAAGTTCCCTCCCTAATGTATTTTTTAGCTAGTCTGATGTGCCAACCTACCACAGGCCTATTGACAATAGAAGTGAACAATGGGGTGTTCATGCCTCTTTGTAACCATAGCCTCTCAAAGAAAACTTCCTGTTTTCTATCCACTGGGCCGTTTTGTCTTCTCTTTGTCCTTGACACTTGTCCCCATTTTCTGCCCATAAGCACACTCTTTCTTTATTCACTAGACTTTGGAATGTGACCTTTGGAGTTCTCACTCTTTCAAGGATTCTGCTCAGCTTTATTCTATTGGCTCTTTTCAATCAGGAATCTCATGCATAAAACACCCTGATGTAAGGTACCCCTCAGAGCCAGGCAGACCTGCTTGGTCTTCAGCAAAAGAAAGGAAATGTATTTGGATTGCCAAGGGCACTGCAAATTGTGCACAGTGAATAATACTCTAAAGTATTTATGAAGGCATACCAGATGACCTCATGATGTCTCTTCTCTCCCTTGAAACTATTCACAAACCTAAAAATGTATAAATATTTTTCCTTCATGTTTTGTCTCTGTCTTTATGCATTTAGTGAAGCATATCAGAGGAATTGGATATGGGAAAAAATAGTGCCTTTTTATCTTGTCAATCCCTCAGCATAATTGTCGGTTGACATAATCTCAAATGGATCTCAAATAACCTTGTTGTAGCCTCCATACCGTATTCCCCAAGGTATCTGTGAATGTAGCATTTCCAAAAGAGGCAAAGTCTGAATGTCCTTTATTTCCCTTTCTTTATATGAATACTATCTTGTTAACATTTAGTATGTTATTTGAATTATAGTCATACCTGCCTCCATGTCTGTCTTGTATTTTTCCTTTTTCCTTCAACCAAGATCTTGCTTTACTTTACATATAGACATTTTTGCTTTCATTAAATTGAATTATGATTACTCCCTTTGAAAAAATGGTATTTAAAAATTAAAGAAATATCAAGAAAACATTTTTTCAGAACTGTATTTTACTTTTTAACTTGTATAATGGTGCTTTTATTTAGTTTACAGTTCTCATGTTAAAAATTACAACTTCATTGGCAAAATAATCATCTTTTGCATATTGTTTTGTTTTATATTTGTCACTTTTCAATGTTTTCATCGGAGAAGTAATATATTTAACTATGATAACTATACACATACATAACTATAATGTAACATAAATATTACACATGTATAATGTATAACAGAATACATTATACATAACTACAATGTAACATTTCAAATGAATATTTTAAAGTACCACCTTGCATTTGTTTTTCTATGCATATTTTAAAAGGTATAACCATCAAAGGCGTATGCTTTATCTTCTGCTTTTTTCACTTAACACATATCCTGAGCATTTCTCCATACTACCATGTGGCTGTCATACACACTGCATATTGACTTTCTACTTTTCTTCTGTGATGCTAGATGGTCATGAGGCTTACTTTGAACATAAATCACTTATCCATGCACTGAAATATTAAGGCATGCTACTACTCAAAACTACTAAATTGTTAAATTGCTCAGCATGAATAAAATACAATGCCATTATTTGTAATTCTGGCCTTAATTTGGTGATTTTTAGCTCTTTCTCACTACCTACCATGTAATGAGAAGCTCTTGATAAAGTTGGTAGCAAAAACAGAGATACAAGTGTGGGACATATGATGCTGTCTGATGACTGCCCAGAAACACAGCCTCTTCTTAGAAACCTGGCTTCCCTTGAGATTTGCTCTAATTTTAATAGGAGCTGCTCAGCAGAAGGATGTGGATCCAATGGCAAGATGGATGATGGGTAATTTGAGAACAACACTCAGAGAGCTCTGTGTCAACCTATGTTAACACAATGGCCTTAAGTTTATTAAAACAAAAAACCATTGGCAAGGTAGGGACCACCAAATTAGTCACTTCTCAATATAAGTTTATGGATTGCTTACATGCATAGTCCTCTTTACTCCATGAGACTCCATCAGAGGTCTGTTACTTAAATTGAAATTGTTTATTGGATAACAACTGTTAAATTATTTGTCTTTAATATTTAACTTCAGCATATACAAAAAAGGGGTTTCGAAGAAGAATTAAGGTAAATCTCCACTGCCCTTCCAAGAATTTGTACAAATGCTTTCTGATTATGGAAAAACTAAAATAAAGAGGAAAAAAACTCCCTAAATAAATCTAGGCAGTTGCCTGACTCCCTCGTTTAATGTAACCACATGTTTAGTAAAGGACAATTTATCTCAGTAACATAAATATCTACAGTGTCGGTAGGAATCCTGGATGGTACAAAAAAAAAAAAAAATGTCACAGACCATCAGAAGAAAGCTGAGCCCATTGACCTGAAAGTTTTGAACCTTGGAATGAGATTCAAATAGGGCATTGCCTAATCCATGTTCAAGGTGAAGAGTAGCCAAGCTAAGCTATGCTAAATCATCTCATCAATAAACGAGGTCTTTTCCAGAAATTTAATTTCACTTGATTAATATCTTGGGTCAACTAAGGGTTGCGTTAAAATTCAGCAGATATTTGCAATGTGGGTGGATTTTTTTTTTTAATTATGTAGAGTTCTCTTAGCTTGTCAGACAAAACAGACCAGATTTAAGACAGGCTGAGAAGAGTATGCCATGTTCAGAGACTTTCAAATGTGGTCTCACAGGGATCCTGATAGTCTGGAACTCTATCATGTTTCTCTATTAACTTCACTTGTCACCAACTCCCTTATTTGCATGTCTTAAGAAGATAAGATGTTTATTTATGTAGACTGAAAGAAGAGAGAACAAGATATTGCACAAAAGGATTTGGTTAGAAATTTAACTGATTTATGGCAATGGTCTCCTTCTTGCTCGATCTTAAGACATGATTCATTTTTCTGAGGAATCCTTCACTGAAAAGGGGAAACCGATACTGGACACTGGAGACTCCCAGGTTTTGAAGGCCAAGAGATAGGTCAATTCTAGTTAAAAATTGTGGTACCTATATGATCTTTGTAGCACCTCAGAGTGTCAATATTACCAATTGTGATTTATCTTTTTTTTAATCAGTCAAAAATATTAATTGGGCACCTCCTTTGTACCAGGTATTATACCAACTACTGTAAATTTAGCAATAAAATAACTCTGTCTTTCATATAATTTATTTTTCTATACTTTTAGATTACTACGCTGATTAACTGATGGCATATATTTAAATCTTTTAGCACAGTCCTTGGCACAGAGTAATTGCTCAATAAATGTTAATTTTCCCTATTTCTCCAATATACTATTTTTTCAAAATTCCAAAATAAACATCTCAATGCACTATGGGACTTTGGCACATTTCGACTTATCTTCTCTCTGCCAAAAGTAGGCTTACTAAATTATAGACAAGATTAGTACTGTCCATTTTAAATATAATATCCACTACCCATTCATTACAATCTCAAATGCCTACGCTGGCCAGTCGGGGAGACGAATGAGTAAAGCAAGTTAAAGTAAAACTGGCAACAGTGAGGGCTGAGCAGCCAGTAGGATGCATGTCCAATCCATAGGGTGCTCCAGCCAATTGTTGCCATGTCGATCAATAGGCCCAGTGTTGTCATAAGACCTAACTTCACAAGGGAACTAGGAAAATAATTTTATTATGTAAAATTTTTACATTATGAAGTAGAGGTAACTAATTAATAAACATATACAAGCACACACATACACACACATGCCCATGCAGAGAGAATATACCGATTCTGTGTACATCCAGTAAAACCAATCTATGGGCCACATATTTGTGACCTCTATTCTAATAGGCATTTTGTTTATTTACTTACCTAGAGAATTGATAATAATTAAACATGGATTATAACATATTTTCTCCCTTCCTGTAAGCCTTTCAAAATCTTTTCATTCTCCGCATGGGATGACTGTCAACTCTAATGAGTATCACAATTATGTCTGGAGTTTTTCAAAATATATTCCTGGAACTCAAGCCCCACTTATTAATTAGAATCTTTGTAATTGTAATGAAATAATCTGTTGTTTTAAAATACTCAACCAAATTATTCTGATGATGAGCGAGGCATGGGAACTATGAGCCTACAGAATAATTTTTTTAATTGTTTTTTTCTTTAGCATGCAAGGTTTTTTACAACCTTCTCTTTTCTGTTCCATAGCTTAATGTTTTCTCACCCTTGTTCTCCAGCCATTCTATGCTGCTTGCATTTCCATGAAGGTAACATTATTTTCATGCTGGATGTGTCTGCATGTAGCGTCCTCTTTGTTGCCTTTCTCCCTTCTGTCACAGGAAACTCTTATTCATCTTTCAAGCACCAGGTCCAATGTTACCTCTTTTCCAATGCCTTTCACGCTCTGCTAGGGAAACTCGGGTATTCCTTATTTTGTGCTTCCAAAAAACTTTAGGCTTACCTAAGTAAATGATACTTGCCATGATATATTTTCATTGCTTGTTGCCATGTGTTTTCTCACTCACATAGTGTCCAGCATATGGCAGGTTTCTAGCCAATATTTTGATTTAAAAAAAATATTGATCTGAATATAGAGTAGCAAATGTAGTACTTTTGATTTATTCTTAACTAAATTATTATTTCACCATCCTATGGGACGGTTGTTCCCTTAAGAAAAAAGAGTGAATCAGAGCCCATGTTTTAGGCACTTAATTTGCAGAGCTTAGTTTTTAAATAATGGTTTTGCATATTAATATTTGAGCTAAGACAAAAACAAATAATTTATGTTAGAAATTATTTTTAAAGAATTCTGCCATCACTTTGGAAATACATAATTTTGGAAATGCTACAAATTACAGACTGTCCGTAGTAGAGTTTTAATTTTTTTAAAATGTGGATACCTTTGTCAAAGTTTCCATCTCAATTTAAGTGTGCCATGCTTAGGAGTTAGAAATCTCTACAGAGGTGGGGGCTAGACACAGTGTGAGCGAGGTGTGCAGGGAATCCTGTTCAGCAAACTAATACCAGGAGACATTTACAGTCTGTAACAGTGGCCAGAGACTCAGACAGCTTTATTGACGTGTCATCAGGCTGAGAAGAAAAGGCACCGCAGCAGGGGTGACAAGGACATGTTCTGTGTGTTCATCGATCTGCAGTCTCCTATGGAAAACTCCACATGTTTCTGAATACCTTAAGTGATTTTATTGATGCAACTCCTGCCAGCTGAGAGGGGAATTGGAGTCACCACATTTATTCTTCATGTCATGTTGGCACTCTCATTTAAGAATTTAATACATACATAGATGATGCGGGAAAGGAGGGAGATATTAAGTATCTCTTCAAATCATTTGGGTTGGGTTGCTGGGGAAAATTACAACGCCCCAGAAATCCAAAAGAAGTATAAAAATCTCTCCTCAGTACATTATATGTGGCTGCTATAATGGCATTTCTGCAATCCTTTGTTACTGAAATCCTCTACTGCAGCAGGTGATGAATTTTGACCTGGGGAGCTAGTCAGTGGAGCAAAACTGTTGTCCAAAAAGATGATACAGAAAGCTGATAGAATTTGAATGCGTGTCTAGTTTGTGATTGGGTATGTTCATGGAGCAGTTGAATTAGGACATATCAGTAGATCATAGAGTCATAGGCCTAATCAGGACTTTGAATAATTATGTAATCCATTTTCCTGTCTCCAAAGAGGAAAATCCTTATATTGCATGGAGAAAATAACAAAATAAAACCCCAGAGATGTATAAATCCATAAAGTGCAGTCAAGTTGGGTATCAATTTTAATTTTTTTTACAGTCTGAGATTTTTTATTAGATCCCAGATTTAGAACTGTATATTAGAATGGCATTATTGTGACAATTTTTTAATCCTAACATCTCTAGATTAGATAATGATATTTCACCAATGTCACATTTCCTGAGTGAGACTGTGGTTACATGGAAGAATGTCCTTTTTTTTTTTTTAAGTTCTGGGATACATGTGCAGAATGTGCAGATCAATTTTAATATTTTTAAAAAATATATACATATTTGTTTATAATTCCCTTGTATCAAATACTAGGTTCAGAATTAGTTTCTTACAGTAACAATAAATTTAGAATTTATTGAAACCTGAATTCAGAAAACCTGAATCTGGTTTTCGACCTCTCTTTTCTGCAGTATACTTTATCATTAATTCATCAGTTATTTCAGTCAACATTCTATATGCCCAGCTACGATGCTAGGAGTAATGTTCTCAAAGCAGTCATCATGGTTTAATGGAAAACTAAGTCAATATTTATTCAGATTATTTGGACAGCTCAAAGAAACACCTACTCCAACCTGTGTTAGGGTTAGTAAGGATGTGAGAAACCTTAAAAAGGCTCCTTGAAGGTGAATAACTGCAAGTTTGTATATTAATATACATCTCACAACACATCTTAGTAAATCTTTATAACCATTGGTGACAGTGGAACAGCCCTCCCTGTTCTCATCTAGAAGGCTCTCCTCATCCTACATGCTACAGACCTACACATCATTCCTTGCTTATTTTTTTGGAATCATACCTTGCTTCCTTTTACCTAATGAAAAACAAAGACAAAAACAAACAAACAAAATACTCCTTTATTGACCCTTTGCCCACCTCTAGATGTAACCCAAACTATCACCTTTTCTTCACAACTAACTTTTTCAAAATAATTGCATACCTTTCCTTCATTCTTCACCTTATTGATAATCTGATTTCTATCCCTATTAATCCTCTGGAAGAGCTCTGAAAAAGATCACTTATGCACTTCAAGGAGCTATTGAGTCATTTTCTCTTTTGACGTCTCTGCAACATCTGACATCTTTGGCTACTCTCTAACTCAGGAAACTTTCTCTTCCTTTGGCTTCAGAAGTGCCTCTCTCATCATTCTCCTGTGGTTATGTCCCTTTACTGTCTCTTATAGTTTTCCTTCTTTTCACTCATATTATAGGTAATGGTAATCTCTGGAGTTCCATTTGTATCCTCATCTCTTCTCTCTCTTATTTTTCTTCTCACAGTATATACTCTCTTATTTATTGATTTGTTCAACTTCCAGTTTTTCAACTATCCCTAATATTTTCATAATTCACAAATCTCTATTATCCACACAGATATCATTGCAGAACTAAACCCTGACATCAAAATTTTATGTTGCATATCTTCACTTATGTATATACCATAAGCCTCTGCAACTCAGCAGGCCTAACACCGAACTTTATACCCCACTTGGGGTGATATAGTTTGGATATTCATCCCCTCCAATGTTGAAAAAAAGTTTGATCTCCAGTGTTGGAGGTGGGGCCTAGTAGCATATGTTTGGCTCATGGGGACGGATCCCTCATGAATAGTTTGGTGCTGTACTCACAGTAATTAGTGAGTTATTGCTCTATTAGTTTATGAGAGAGCTGGCCATTTTAAAAAGTCTGGTACTCCCTCTCCTCTTTTGCTCTGTCACTGACCATGTGACACTCCTGTTCCCCCTTTGCCATTTGTCATAAGTGTAAGCTTCCTAAGGCCCGCACCAGAAGCAGATGCTGGCACCATGCTTCTTGTACACTCTGCAGAACCATGAGCCAAATAAACCTCTTTCCTTTATAAATTACTTAACCTCAGGTATTTCTTTATAGCAACATAAAATGACTGACACATGTGGCCAACCTCTACTACAGGTCCTATCTATCCAAGGAATAGTACCATCAATTATCTTTTGTTTGTCAGACATAATTATTTCATCTCCTTCCAAAAGCACATCACATTATCTGTTGATTTTAGCTCCTTGATATTTGCCTACAGATAAGAACCATCAGTGAGTATTTCTAAAACCTTGACAATTTTTTTCTCATTAGTTTTATTTTTTTTAAGGCAGTGAAAAACCTGAAAATAGCTAGAATCACAAAGAGAACTGCTGGGCTAGGACCATGCCTGGGACAAGAGCAGAGAAAATTAGGGTCCATTGTCAGCACATGTGTAGAGTAAGTAAGTCTGCTACCCAGCCTCACAGTCATTCCTCTCTTATCTGCCTAATGCCTCTGATGCTCATTAACATAAAGAAAACAAATTTCATTTGGTAACTACAAATTATTTTATTTTGTTGTAACAACAGCATTGCCTGTATTTTCAAAGAATACTTCAGAATCATGAACACAAAGAATATTATTCCTATTGTGGAAATCTCATGAACAGTGGAACTATGTAATAAATTAATTTTAAAAGTGAAGTTTTCTTAGACTTTCTATCCTGTATCAAAAAATATCTAATACTCATATTAGAGTAGACTTTCATTTGATTTAGTCAGTGTTCTTTGGGCAAGAAATTCAGTATGTTGTACAAATCATAGCAGGGATAAACAAAGGTTACTAAAAAATGAATTTGGAGATATAGGCTGGGTCCAGTTGATGGAAAGGGCCTTGCAGACCAATGGTTTGGTATTTGTTCCAAGTGCAGTGAGATGCCTCCTAAGCTTTTTGAAAGCTGAGTTGTAATATAATTCTACCTGCTGGGTGAATTCTGCTTTTATATGAAAGAAAAAAGACAAGAAGCAACATATGATACTCCCTAGTCTTTTTTCTTACATATAAGAACATATAAGAAACACATATGGTATCTAAAATTAGATAGCAATAGACATCAAGGGAAGAAAGTTTGGAAATATGTTTTGAAGTTAGAACTGCCAGCTCTTTTGATGGATTAGACGTGATTAGAAAGGAAAAGAAAAGGATGAAAGATATCTCCTAGGATCTTTGCTTGAGCAAATGGGTGGAAAATAGCACCATTTTCATGGTGATTTAGCCATGTTGTTGGAGATGCCTATTAGGTAGCAAAGTGAAGCTATCTAGTAAGCAGTTGTTCATAATGCATCATTAGTTGTTATATATCCCAGCAGGAGTACCCTAGCCTGTTTAAGCACTTTTATATGAATAAGAACAAGGTATTCCCTCTGGGATGACATAGCTCTGCAGACACAAAGACCCAAAACCAGACAATGCATCATGGTTTATTTTTTAGAAACATTTTGCTGGGCACAAACTGCAAAGTCACACTTGGTTACTCTGATTCCTAGTGTACCTGCTTATATAACATTGACAATCAATCAAGAGAAAAAAATACTCAGTTCTCAAAAACACACATTAAGTTGTTGTTTCTAGAATGTTTTTGAGAAATGTTAGAATGACAACAACAAAGACTTCCAAATCATAGGTATATTCTGTATCAGTCCTCTCTGAATTTCACCTCTGGCCATTTTTGCTGCGTGTCTGTGTAAAGAAGTCACATTTTATGGTTGAGCCAAGTTTCTGGTCCTGTTGATTACATTAGAGAAATTGTGGAGGGGACAATGGGGAAGGACAAGATGCTTAAGAATTAAAGGTCATTGGGGGAAAAGGTTGATGAAGTAGTTAAAAAAAAAGTATAAATAGAGAGAGAAATCTTAAAGAGACAGTAAAGAAAAAACCGGCGAGAGTAAAGGAAAGAGCCCATCCAAGTTGGGATAAAAGGCTTAATATTTTGGCTTTAAAAGATTACTTATAATTATTAGGTAGAAAATTTAGTTGCCATAATATGTAATTTTTGCTTCCTCTGGGATGAGAATTTAGAGAGATGCAGTTTAGGGAAAAACTCAATTTGGATGAATTTCTGGTAGTAGGGGAAATTATATAACATACATCACCAGGGTTTTCAACTATGGGTAGGAGCAAGGTCCAAGTCTAAATTGTGAACCTCCAAGCCAGAAATTCTGAAAGGATCACCGTCACCCTATGTTAATTGCAAATGAACACATCTCTAGCAGAGTGAAGCTCCTACTTCTTTCACATCCCCCATTAGCTACAGTTCAGCCAGTGTTTATGCTTCTAGGTAGAGTATTGCCAACTCTCCGTCAGGGGAATGTCTGAATTGCCAGTTGGCCACAGATATCATGTTGCACCTCACTTTTAGGTAATAGAAATGCTGAGAGAAGAGTGATTGATTTGGATTTATTTGGATTTGAGTAATGCTCCATGGCGCACTCATGAATTTTATGAAAGAAGAACCTCACCTGGATATTGGTAAGATTTCATAATTCTGAAATGCAAAGTGTCACGCCAAAGTGTGTGGATGGCAAATCAATAGTTTTCAAAAAAATTGAGTAACACTCCACTACACATTGAACTCCTTAAAAAAAAAAAAAAAAGTACATTCCAATGGGTCAGAGCAAAAAGGAGCCGAAAGTAACAGTAGTATGCCCCATCCAGTTCCCGTTATCCACAGCAAGGGGATAATAGCTTTTATAATGTGCCAAGGTTCATTGTTTCTTGCTATTGAGATCACTTTGAGCTTTCTTCCCCAGCTTGTGCAAAGACTTCCTACCCTGTCATCCTCAAATTGTTATGTTCCTATGATGCTTTTACATTGTCTCACTGTTGCTGTCTAAGTTTCTAGTATCACTTCCTTGTCAAGGAATTCACTGTTAAATGAACCAAAATGTAAAGTCATTACTTTCTATCTTTTTGTCTCTGGTGACTTGTGTAACACTATGTTTTTCTGTCTGATATTCGCAATAGAAATATTAGATGTCAAAAGGAAAAAAAAAGATGGGAATAATACTGAGAAAGTCCCTGAAGGGGATAAAAACATTCAAACCTGAAATTTTTAACTGTGTCTCCTCTGCCAAAAAGGAAGTGAAAAAGCAATCAAAGGAGTGCCTAAAAAGTTTCAATGCAGGTGTCCTTTCATTAAAACATTTATTTTTAATTTTCTGTTTTGTTATAAGCAGATGACTTCAGCGGGTGTTTTTTTAAAGAACGAACCAAGCAATAACTCCACTAGAACTTTTCTTAATTTTTAAATTAGCATAAATATATTCTATATTATGTGTGGGCCAGTTCAAATATAAATTTCATGGGGTCCTCTAAGATCATCTAACTGAAGTTCATTTATTTGATAATTAAGCAAACTTAAAAACAGAAAAAATTATATGTGCCCAATATTGCACAGTTCAATGAAAGTAGAACAAAAGATATCTCCAAAGTCAGTATTTCCCTCAATAGCCCATTTAAGATGATGCTGCAGTACAACTGCAAAGCACATGAAATGAAATGAAGTATACAAAAGCAATGAAAATATACAAAAAATAACTTGGATTCATAAATACTTAGTCAACTAAAATTATTATTTTATTTTAATTGCCATAGTTCTCTAGTAAGTGTGTTAAATTTCATTCAAGCTTTGTCATGGATCGTTTGTGAGCAGTTAGGACAGAAAATTGTAATTTCCAGCAGCCAAGAAGACTTCTCTAAGGAAAACATAATGACACACTTATTTAATATTCTTCTTATCTAAAGTTCTTGTCTGTACTGGCAGATCAGGATAAAAGGGTTTCTATGGTATGTCAGGATTTCAGAGAGACATTTGACAAAATTGCTCAATATTGTTATGAGGAAGATGGAGAAATAAATATTAAATGAGAATACTAAACAGTAGACCCATAGTTTAATTTTAAATTAATGTCGTAGCAATCTTATAGTTCTTAATGTCTGTCTTGAAAAAGAGGAATTAGCTTTCCTTTTTGTGACTTCAGAGCATGTTACCAGGATCAATGGGGAAAAATCAAACAACGTAATTTCATTGGTTTTAAAATGTAATGAAGTTTCTTAAGAGGTAGTGAATTCTTCATCACTGGATATATTCAGCCAAACAGATAAAAACCTATCTGATAAGGGTCAGGAAAATATAACAGTTCTCAGAATGGCTGATGTTAAGATCCCGCCCTTTACATTCTCAGAAAAATACTGAGAATCCGAAAAAAAAAAACCACTTTTGTTTATGCTTTTGTTTTTATATCAGTCAATAAAATGAAAGTAAGAAATTTAAAAAGTTATTAATTTATATTAAAATAATGATAGTAATTCTATTATATCTTAACATAAATAACATAGTTCATGAAAATACTTATTTTCAATAAAATTTAGTGGGAAGAGTGGCATTATTTTACAGTTGTCTAGTTTAATAGAGGAGACCTGAATTCTCATATATTCTCATCAGTCAGTTCGGATATGTTTTTTATCTGAGATGCTGAAAATGGTCTTCCATTACACAGATATGTGATTTGAAGGGAAGGACAACATTTTAATTGCCTTTTCGGTTAATTGTGGATATGTGATATGTGAAAACTGAACAAGTGGATGTTTTTAAAAGGTTAATTTCAATGTGAAATATGAAAACATACCAATGAGATTTTCATATCTTTTACATCAGGCACCCCCAACCCCTGGGCTATAGACCTATACCAGTTGGTGGCCTCTTAGGAACTGGGTTGCACAGCACCAGTTGGTGGCCTGTTAGGAACTGGGTTGCACAGCAGGAGGTGAGCAGCAGGCAAGCAAGCAGAGCAAAGCTTCATCAGTATTTACAGCCAATTCCCCTCGCTCACATTACAGCCTGAGCTCTGCCTCCTGTCGGACCAGCAGGGGCATTAGATTCTCAAAGGAGCACAAACCCTATCGTGAACTGTGTATACCAGGAATCTGGGTTCTGGTTCCATGCTCCTTATGAGAATCTAATGCCTGATGATCTGTCACTGTCTCCCATCACCCCCAGATGGGACTGTCTAGTGGCAGGAAAACAAGCCCAGGGCTCCCACTGATTCTACATTTTGGTGAATTATATAATTATTTCATTATATATTACAATGTAATAATAGAAATAAAGTGCACAAATAAGTGTAATGTGCTTGAATCATTCTGAAACCACTACCACCAACAGTCACTCCCAGATCTGTGGAAAAATTGTCTTCCATGAAGCTGGCTCCTGATGCCACAAAGGGTGGGGAGCATTGTGTTACATTATAAGGCATTAGCCTAACTTGCCTTTTGATCTTTTACTCATGCCTGATTTTATAACATCATATATTAGTCATTTGGAAAATATTGATTCACTGAGTTATACAGGTTTAAATGTTGACAAATTTTATTATACAGTATTAAAAATCACATTTATTAATGCTGTCACTCATTAGATTTTTTTTTTTTTTTTTTTTTTTTTACATATTGGGAAGCTGCCAGGTTCACTGTGGTGGATACAAGTCTTCCACAATTCTGATTTTTTGCTTTGAAAGATCACATTTTATCATAGTGATAAATAATGTCCATTTTCTTTTTTTTTTTTTTGTAATAGACTCACTTTGTTATTTTCTGAGAAAATGACTGTTGGTAGCCATTTCTGAAAAACCATAGTTGCTATATCAATGATTTCATCAAAGTAAAAATTGTATTCCATAAAAAACAGGAACTAGTCCATCTGACAAATCAACTGTACAATTTTTTTTCAGAAAAAAATCTTTGTACTTCCTTGTATAAAAAAAAGCACTTCTTTTACATTTCATCACACAGAATACTTAAAAAAATGTATATTCAAAGGTCAAACTTTAATCAAATTGACATTTTTTGCTCCTTCATTGCGGCAGTAAAAAAGGCATTGTTTTGCTACCAGTGTATGTATTTGAAATACAGAGACTGCTAATTTAGTTTGTGTTCTTCTCTTGATTTCTGCTAAGGCACCATCAGTTTTATCTACCACTGCTCTATTATATCATCATTGAGAATGTCAACGCAATGTAAAAGGCAAAGAATGTCTTAGTATCATTATGAATATAGTTTTAACCTCATGGGATCCCTAAGAGGATCTAGGGGAACCCTAGTGTTCCATTAATTATGCATTGAGAACCACTGATCCAGTGATTAATGCACAGAGTCTGGATTCAGACTCTTTCAGTTTGAATTCTAGCTGTTCTGCTTAGTTTTGTGAACTTGGGCAAGTTGCACACTTCTAAGCCTATTTCCTCATATATAAAATGGGGCCAAGCATAATAACTATCACATAGGTAGGATAGTTGTGACTATTTAAAGCAAAATGTTATGAACCAAACAGCATCATTACTTGACTTATACATGTGTCAAGAATACTCATATATTCATATATATATATATATATATATATATATATATATATATATATAAAACTTGACATACTATTCAAATATTTTGATAGATTTTATTACTGTGCTGATAGTGGTCCAGTTGTAGTACTGTAAAAGGAAGTTAGGTGTGTGATTTGGACTAGCTAGAAATTACAATCACCCTCAGTATCCTTGGGGGATTAGTTCCAGACCCTCTTACCCTGCAGATACTATAGTCTCTGCATACTCAAGCCCCTTATATAAATAAGATTGTGTAGTATTTGAGTACAGCCTACACACATCCTCCCTTATACTTTAAATCATCTCTAGATTATTTATAATACCTAACACAATATAAATACTATGAAAGAGTTGTTATAATGTATTGTTTTTATCTGCATTTTTTTATTTTTTATTTTTTTCTGAATATTTTTAAACTGCAGTTGGTTTAATCTGTGGATGGGAAGGCAAGGATATGGAGGGCTGACTGTACCTTTAAAACACATTAAATGCTAAGATTCTCTGATTATTTTTGACGTGTGAAAACAACTACCACTGCAAAACTTATAGCTGCAGCAAGAGATATTTTGGGGGGAGGAGATTAAATCTCCCCCACCCACAAAATCAACCCAGATAAATACAACAACTGAGTAAAAATAGTAAGCCTTATTGTGAGATCAACTTCAAGCCTTCCCCTTCTAACCAGAATGTTATGTATAAATCCTTCCTGAATAAATACCTAGTGACATACTCTTACTGTTTTCTAATTTTTTTGCGGTGGAACACAGACGTCAGTGAGGGCTGTAAAATGGGAGTTCCTGGCTTTGACTCCCAGCCTAGCCTCTTATTAGCAGTGGGAATATAGGCATTTTCCTTAACCATGGTGAACAGCAGTTTTTTCATCTGAAAAACGAGAACAGCATTTGCACCTACTTCATGGAGGATGTTTGAGGATTCACATTTTTAAAGTGCCTAGAACAGTGCCTGACACAGAACAGTCATTCAAAAAAGCACTCAAGATACTACTGACAAACTTTAAAATGTCTAATGAGCAATGCATATATTTCATGAAACTGTCCTAGGCTCAAGATATCAAAAATAAATGAGCTTATTGTGTGTCCTTTGAGGCTCTTAAAGTCAAAAGGTAAAACTGGCTTTAAACAAATGATCAGTCAGCATAGGTTATACGGAAGGTGTGGCAGAGAAAAGAGTGATATGTTCAAAATATTTAACAGCCAGTATGTCGTGAATACCCATCAAGAAAACAAATGAGGCCAGGCGCGGTGGCTCACGCCTGTAATCCTAGCACTTTAGGAGGCCAAGGCACACGAATCACCAGGTCAGGAGATCGCGACCATCCTGGCTAACACGGTGAAACCCCGTCTCTACTAAAAATACAAAAACAGAATTAGCCGGGCGTGGTGGCAGGCACCTGTAGTCCCAGCTACTCGGGAGGCTGAGGCAGGAGAATGGCATGAACCCGGGAGGTGGAGCTTGCAGTGGGCCGAGATCTCCCCACTGCACTCCAGCCTGGGCGACCTAACGACACTCTGTCTCAAAAAAAAAAAAAAAAAAAAAGAAAAGAAAAGAAAGGAAAACAAATGCTGGGTTGTTTGCACTGGAACAGGTACTTGAATCCTGAGTAGGCATTACCTCTTCATTGCTGGATCATAGGGGATTCAACCAAGCAGAATAACCGCAGTATCAATGACCACATATATTTGCTAATGTGCATAGGCTCAGCGTAGTCATACCCATGCATATTAGCAAAATTTGTTCAGAAGGCATAGTAAGCTTAGTTTTATTGGCTGATGACTGGATTGTTTTATCCCCTCTACTAAGAAGGGAGTACTTTCCAGACTGAAGCAAAGAAATTCAGGGGATTGAACATAGGAGTTCCATTTCTGGCTTTGTATGAACTTAGACTGAGTAACTTCAAGAATGAGCCCATATTATAACAAAAGACAAAAGACATACTCCCTTTGCAACTAACCTTTATAACTCAGAGCCAAAGTACCAAGTTCATTGTGGAGCTGGGACCGTGGGAGTGAGAGGGAAGAACTGTAATTGAAATGATGATGAGAAAATATCTCCATCTTACTCAGCATAATTGTTGCTGGGGAGCCTTTGAGTCATTGCTGCTAACTTCACTTTTAAAAAATGCTTTACTCCTGTGAGCAAAAACTACAGGAGCCAGTATATCTATAGAGGAACCAGCTGTACTGGATCCTGTCCTGCAACATATCAAAAGCCTTGTGAGGTCAGTTACCTTTGCAAAATCTCCCAAGCATTGATCCACATAGAGGCACAAAGAGTTCAGCTGGGTTTTTTAATCCCACAAGGAGTCAGAGGCATTGGCACTTAGCAAATCCTCTTTTAATTTGCTCACTGAGAAAATTCAATTGAGACATCATTAAAAGACAAGAGACCAGCATGGCACTATTTTTCAAGTCTGTCTTTGTGCTATTCACTGCATTTCATGGGGTGGTAAGTGAGGAGCAGAATTATATTTGCTTGCTTCTAAATAAGCTTCTGCAAAAGAGACCACGATTTTTTTAAAACAGAAACTATATATATCATATATATCTCATATATATGAGATATATATATATATATCATTTATATCTCATATATATGAGATATATATATATATATATATATCATTACCCACTTGTACCTGCAGAGCCCTTCTCTCAGCAGTAGATGACCAGTTAAGCAATGTTATAGTTCCATGCTCCGATACTAGATTCAATTTGGAAACCCCTGGGGGAAATTAAAATCCTGGATGAAGCATGCCAGTTAAAAAGCACGTTTTTCTGAAAAGTGATTGGAAAACAGGCAGAGCAAGAATTCCCATGAGCTTTTGAACCAGACGGTTAAGAGAGTAAATCCAAATTCAGCCTTTTGTTATTTCAGCAAGTTATTAAACTCTCAGTTTCTGTTTTCTCATCTACAAAACAGGAATACAGCTGCTTCACAGGTGTTTAATAATAAATATCCAGTTTATATCAAGAGTCTGGCAAACTTGTAGGTATTCCCTGAGATTTAGCTTCTCCATCTTTTTATGGACATGGTCAAGGGCAGTGGTTTTCGTCAACAGCTGCTTGTGTTGGAATCCCACTTGTACCAAAGACTAGAAGGATGACCTGGAGGGAGGAATACCGAATGTCTTCTAATACATGTTTGTTCAGGTATGACATTAATTTAATAATGTACCCTATGTCAGAGGGTTGTTATGGGAACTATACATAGTGTCATGCAAAGCATGCTTAGAGTTCCCAGGGAAGAACTGGCACCCCATCACTATAGCTGATGTTGCTATTAATTATCCACCAAACTGAAGAAGGTAGTCATTGGTTTTGCCTTTGCAACAGTAGTATGTTTTTTGACAAATTGGCAGCTTTCTCATTCGGATTGTTTTTGTACTATATGATCAGGAGGATTCAAAGAAAATATTAAATATTTCCACATAAAATACACAGATATATAGATACAGATATTTGTTACAGTGTAGCCCTGCTCTCAAGGTTAGTGGAAAATACTCTAATTCTCATCACTGTTCTTGTTTTTTTATGATGGAACAGCAAAGATACAGAGCTAGTAGTTTTTATATTCATAAATTATAAAATCATATCGCCAGAGTTTTCTCAACTCTGCCTTCAGTCCCAGTCCTTTCTCTCCCTCTCTCTCTCTGTCTTTTTTTCTTTTTTGTTCTCTTATTGCCTAAGCTGGAGTGCAGTGATGTAATCATGGCCCATTGCAGCTTTGATCTCCATGACTCAAGTGATCCTCAGCTTCTCAAGTAGCTGAGACTGCAGATGTGTCCCACCACACCCAGCTAATATTTTTTATTTTTAGTGGAGATGCGGTCTCGCTATGTTGCCCACACTGGTCTCAAACTCCAGAGCTCAAGTGATCCTCCAGCCTTGGCCTCCAAAAGTGTTGAGATTACAGGTGTGAGCCACTACACAGACCCAGCCCCAATCCTTTCTGTATTTGATTTGGACTTTTCACCTTTTAAACTCATGAGTCAGACATTTCTTTACCAACTTTTTCCCCCACTCCACCAATCACAGTGGGACTCACTCTTTTCACCATGTCCAGAGCCTTCTGAATCAAACTTCTTTTATATCATATCACTTTGGCTTTATTTTTATTTTGAAACAATTTCAAATTCACAGAAATGTTGCAAATATAATGTGGAAAACTTTCATATATAGTTTAACTAGATTCACTAGTTTTACTCATTTTGCTAATTTGTTTTATAGTTGGTCTGTGTAAAATGTATATAAATGCTTACACGTATATTAATTATTATAATAAAAATTATATATGTAGTTGATTTTTAAATACCTTGAGAGTAGGTTAAATTTATCATGCTGTTTTACCCCTTGACTCTTAACAACAGCACAGTTTTCAAGTTCAAAATATTTAAGTGACACAATGAATACTATCTATTCTACAATCCATCTACTTGTCAATTTTTTAAAAATGTTCTTTAGGCCGGGCGCGGTGGCTCACGCCTGTAATCCCAGCACTTTGGGAGGCCGAGGCGGGTGGATCATGAGGTCAGGAGATCGAGACCATCCTGGCTAACAAGGTGAAACCCCGTCTCTACTAAAAATACAAAAAATTAGCCGGGCGCGGTGGCGGGCGCCTGTAGTCCCAGCTACTCGGGAGGCTGAGGCAGGAGAATGGCGTGAACCCGGGAAGCGGAGCTTGCAGTGAGCCGAGATTGCGCCACTGCAGTCCGCAGTCCGGCCTGGGCGACAGAGCGAGACTCCGTCTCAAAAAAAAAAAAAAAAAAAAAAAAATGTTCTTTATAGCTTTCTTTTTTTAACCCCAATATTACCAAACTACAAGAAAATAAAAAAGAAAAAGCCATCTTTGTTACCATAGTTATGATAAGGTACTTTTCCCCCCCTATTAACTGAAACACAAAACAACAAAAACAAAAAGGAAGATAAATGTATCTTTCAGTCACTCAGCGGAAGAAAAACCCATAGACTCATAACTGTGTAAATTTTAATGACTGGCCATTCTTTCTGTAATGTGTACAAGGAGGAAAAAAGCATGTATCTCAAAAGACAATAGTGATGAAACTGAATGTTACTGTTTTCATGCTAAACTAAGCCCATTAGGTAAGAATCCTGAGAAGTATGAACAAGCCACACAGAACTCTTGGGTCTCCTCCCCCTGCTTGTCTTGCTCTTCTCTCCTTCAAAAGCAGGTGCAGCTGGAGTTTAATTAATAAGTGTCAGTGAGAGGAGGCTGAGGCAGGAGAATCGCTTGAACCTGGGAGACGGAGGTTGCAGTGAGCCGAGATCGCACCACTGCACTCCAGCCTGAGTGACAGAGCGAGATTGCGTCTCAAAAAAAAAAAAAAAAAAAAAAAAAAGTGTCAGTGAGAACAGAGTTGTCGTGATAATGTGATGTGGTCTTTAAGTCAGAAGTTTTTTTTATACCAATCATGGCCACTTATTCTGCCTCAGGATCAGTGAGTAGTGGGTGTCAACCAACTTCCCTCCATGAAAGTTGATGATTCTATTCTCCCACAAATTTTTATCATACTCCAATTTATACAGACATAGCTCTTCATCTAGTCCTTCTAACTAAACGTATAAAATTGTAGCAATATTGTAATTTAGATGTAAATTCTTTGCTATATTGGAGAGATCGTGGCAACTAATCCAGATCTTGAGAAGGCAAAATTCAAATGCCATTCTCCTCTCTCATTCACCCTACTTCTATTGCATGGCTACAGGACCATTGCATTTGCTAGTTAGAGAAGTAAAGACCAGCATGTTTAACTATTACCTGCTCAAATGTCATGTCTGTCTGTCTTTCTTTCTTTCTTTTTCTCTTTCTTTCTTTCTCTTTCTTTCTTTCTTTCTTTCTTTCTTTCTTTCTTTCTTTCTTTCTTTCTTTTTTCTTTCTTTCTCTTTCCTACTTTCTTTCTTTCTTTCTTTTCTTTTTCTTTCTTTCCTTCTCTCTCTCTCTCTCCCTCTCTCCCTTCCTTCTTTCTTTCCTTCTTGTCTTCCTTTCCTTTCCCCTTTCCTTTCCTCTTTCTTCCTTCCTTCTTTCCTTCCTTCCTACCTTCCTTCCTTCCTTTCCTTCCTTTCTTTTCTTTCTTTCTTTCTTTACTTTTTTCTTATGCTTCCATATTATTTTGTCAATAGTACTGTTATAGGATTGAACATATCACATCCCAATAATCCAATTAAATATGTTATTCTCCATTAGATGGTCAGCTTGCTCATCTTTATGAGAATACATTGTCCAGTATAGTAGCAACTGGCAACATGTGCCTATTTAAAGTTGAATTTCCATGACAAAATTAAATTTAAAATTCCTCACTTAGCTACATTCACATGTTCCATAGTCACATATGACTAATGACTACAACATTGGGAAGAACTGAAATAGAACATTTTCATCAATATAGAAATTTCAGTTGGACTTTTTAATAATATCTATTCTGAATGGTGTGAAATGGTATCTCATTGTGATTTTGATTTGCATTTCTCTAATGATCAGGGATGTTGGGCTTTTTTTCATACACTTATTAGCCACATATATGTCTTCCTTTGAGAAGTGTCTGTTCATGTCTTTTGCCCACTTTTTAATGGGGTTGTTTTTTCTTGTAAATTTGTCTAAGTTCCTTATAGATGCTGGATATTAGACCTTTGTCAGATGCATAGTTTGCAAAAAATTTTCTCCCGTCTTGTAGGTTGTCTGTTTACTCTGTTGATAGTTTCTTTAGTTTAATTAAATCCCATTTGTCAGATTTTGCTTTTGTTGCAATTGCTTTTGGAGTCTTCATCCAGAAATCTTTGCCCATGCCTGTGTCCTGACTGGTATTGCCTAGGTTGTCTTCCAAAGTTTATATAGGTTTGGATTTTACATTTAAGTCTTTAATCCATTTTGAGTTAACTTTTGTACATGATGTAAGGAAGGGTTCCTGGAGAGGCTCTGGAGAAAAAGGAATGCTTATACACTGCTGGTTTGTGTCGTGCGTAAATTAGTTCAACCATTGTGGAAGACAGTGTGGTGATTCTTCAAAGACCTAAGGACAGAAATTTGACCCAGCAATGTTATTACTGGGTATATACCCAAAGGAATATAAATCATTCTATTGTAAAGACATATGTATGCTTTTGTCCATTACAGCACTATTCACAACAGCAAAGACAGGGAATCAACCTAAATGCCCACTAATAATAGACTGGATAAAGAAAATGTGGTACATGATACACCATGGAATACTATGCAGTCATAAAAAAGAACAAGATTATGCCCTTCTCAAGGACATGGATTGAGCTGGAGACCATTATCCTTAGCAAACTAACACCAGAACAGAAAACCAAACATGGCATGTTCTCAATTATAAGTGGGAGCTAAATGATGAGAACACATAGACATATAGAGGGGAACAACACACCCTGGGGACCATTGGAGGGCAGAGGGTAGGAGGAGGAAGAGGATCAGGAAAAATAACTAATGGATACGAGGCTTAATACTGGGTTGATGAAATAATCTATAGAATAAACACCCATGACACAAGTTTACCTGTGGAATAAACCTGCACATCTTGCAAATGTACCCCTTAAGTTATAATGAAGGTTTAAAAAAAAAAGAAAATTTCAGTCAGATAATTCTAGTCTAATTTCTTGCTATTCAAAGGGTGGTCCACAGAATAGCAGTGGCAGCATCTCTTAGAAATGCAGAATTTTGAGCCCCATCTCAAAACTAATCTGCATTTCATGGTATTACAGGCTGATTGGCATGCATATTATAGTATTTAAACCACTGGTCTAGTTCATTATCATACTATGCAATGTGTTTGTTTAATTTATAAACAAATGGATGGAAATATCTTCTTTCATTTTACATGTAAGAAAAAAGGCACTCAAAGTCAGGTGACTCTGTTTTATATCAGCCACCAATTTTTGCTTAACATTCTTGTTTCCTTTTCAACACCACTGTATTTTTTAAGGAGAATAAATGAAAGATTAGGCTATGTAAAATATGTAGTTGATATATGGTTGAGCAGAGTACTTTACATTTTTCAGCTACTGTTTAGGGTACCCTATTCATCAAAATATATTTGCATGTCTCTACAATCTACATCTGCCATTTCTTAGCTGTTGATTCTAGGGGTGACAGCCATGATATTGTTTCTTGATGCCTCAAGAGAAACACTGAATGATTTATCCAGTAATATTTTGGGGAAGTTAGTCATGGGGAATTTAAATTTGATTGAATGCAGAAGTGTAGATATATTATTTCTCCATCTTCTAGGATCTTGAGGGAAAGAAGATGTGTTAGGAAAATATTTCCTTTCTTTAAAAATATTATAGATATTAATCTTTAAGGCTTTGTTGTTTAAATACTTTGCCAAGTTGAAGGACTTGTATTGAGATAAAGATTTTTAAAATAAAGATTCTCATTACTTATCTGTGCTGATATTATCACCTTGGCTAATGGAATATTGTAACTACTTTTTTAAAAAATTGACTTTTGTTTTCATATTACTTATCTCCTTTTACTTGGGTGGGTGGGTATATTGGGTTTACCAGTGTCATCACCATAGTTTTAAGGGGATAGTTTGTTTCCTATATTCCAAGGAATGATCTCTAAATGATGGTATTTTAAAAGCCCCTCTGTATGTATGTGTGCATGAATATGTTTGTGACTTCGGCCCCAGGAAAACTTTTGTCTGGACACTATCCTTTTCCCAGTTTGAGTCAGAGAGTTGAGAAGCCACTTACAGTGGTAGTGAGGCTCTAGTGTAGTAGGCTGTAAACAATAATACTCTCCTGAAGAAAGCAAGGAACAAATATAGACGCTTGTCGCAAATTAGTTTTTTTTTTTTTTTGAGACGGAGTCTTGCTCTGTCGCCCAGGCTGGAATGCAGTGGCGTGATCTCTGCTCACTGCAAGCTCCGCCTCCCGGGCTCAAGCGATTCTCCTGCCTCAGCCTCCTGAGTAGCTGGGACTACAGGCGCACACCACCACGCCAGGCTAAGTTTTGTATTTTTAGTAGAGACGGGGTTTCACCATGTTGGCCAGGATGGTCTCCATCTCCTGACCTCGTGATCCACCCGTCTCGGCCTCTCAAAGTGCTGGGATTACAGGCGTGAGCCACCTCGCCCAGCCGCCAATTAGATTTTTCAGCCACATATATTTCAGATGGTTTGAATCCCAGCCCCCATACCCGACTAGCTGTGTGACCTTAGGCATGTTATTTAATCTCTTTCTGCCTTTGCTTCCTCAGATGAGAAATGAAGATAATAATAGTAATTTCCTTATAGAATTATTATAACAATTAAGTAATTTAATACAAATTAGATTTGTAGAGCCTGATATGTGTTACTGTTTATTACGTAGGCTCTGCTCACTCTGAGCACAGAGCCTACATGCTAATAACGTTTGCTGGGTCTAGGCATTTATATAAACTTGAAGAGATTCTTCAACATCTTTTGAATATATCAAAATAAGGTATGAATTAAGAATAAGCCCTTGTTTTATGAAGAGTAGTACA
Organism: Homo sapiens; assembly: GCF_000001405.40. Taxonomy (NCBI): domain Eukaryota; kingdom Metazoa; phylum Chordata; class Mammalia; order Primates; family Hominidae; genus Homo; species Homo sapiens. The sequence goes on along the minus strand of NC_000011.10, from coordinate 40,980,748 downwards.
TACTGTTTATGATCGTTTGATAGAGATATATCACAAACTGTCATGAAATACGAAAGAGAAGGTTCTTAGTTTTCTTTACAGTTGGGGAACTAACCATAACCCGCAAGTATTTTAATGAAAGGAAGTCTCAGTTTTTGATCTGTCTTCATCCATTTTTTAATTGCTTAGACTTTTTTTTTGTCTTTACTTGAGTTTTTGCCTAAACTCTGCTCTGGTTCTTATTTACATACCCCAGAAATGGACGGACGGTGTATAGTGCAGACTATGCTAGGAGGTCTCAATTTCTCTTCTCCAGCATGCCCAATTAATACGGATGACTTCAAAACTACTCTAAATTGAATTCGTTCTAGACATTTGAAAGAAATCTATACTACATGTTGCCTTCTTGCTCTCTGCAGCAAGCGGAGAATATAAATATTTTTTGACAACAACAAACTTTTCTTGCCCAAGAGAACATTTCTCCTTTGCACTTGTCCAAGTCATGGCATTTCCTATGTGGTTCCATTAAAAGTCCCCTTTTTGAAGGAAACTGATGGCATTCCCATTTTAGTGCTTTTGTGACCAATATTAGGAAGGTTGCTGATTGTCCAAATTATAATGGAATATGTCCAAAAATGCATCATTGTATTATTGTCTGTAGCTTGAATGAATGGCTTTGTGAGCTAAATTTATGTCTGGGAAAGCTACAGGACAGACACTTTCCTTTCATTTCAACCAGATGGGACTTCCTTTTGTGATCGAGATATTTAAATGCCACCTAAATGTCGCAGAAATTTCTCCATCCCTAAGAAATTTTATAAAATGTTTCATTGATTTTCTTGTTATATTTCTCCACAGAGAGGAAGCTGATAAATATAAAATATGTCTATAAGATTCACATCAAGAAAAGCAGAGATAATCCAACCCTGCTGTTTTACTGAGATAATAGTTGGATGGATATTTGAAAATCTCATTGTATGTGGTCCAGACAAGGAATATGTTTCATTAGGTGAAACACATAAAATGGCAGAAGCATTTACTCTGATTCCAAGATAGAAAATTTTCGTTTATCTTTGATTTCACCTCACACTCGATTGTGGTTTCTTAGAAACTTTACCATTACTAAATGCTGACAAAGATGAATTCGGGCTTCTCAAATTTTCATTAACATTGACGGTACCTAAAATCAGACTTCCAAAATCTAAGAAGCCACAGGATGTTCATAGATGTGATTAATTATCCAGTTCCCTACACTGGGAAAGAAATGGTGGTAATGAGAGTTATAGGCCAACTGACTCCAATATAGCCCTGTTGTAATGTAAGCCAAGATCAAGTTTACCAAAATTTTGTAGTCTTGATGAAAGGTATTCTAATTCATTTGTTTACCTATAGATTAAGTCATTAATTTATTGACTATTCAAAAAATATCTATTGAAAGAGTACTAAGAGCAGGGTACTGTAATATATTAGGCCCTAGAGTTTAAATAAATGATACAGATATGACATACATCCAAGGAATTGATAGTATTGTAGAAAAAGCTGACAATATTTTTGTAATTATGAGGGAAGATACTGCATTCTATGAGAACTTATGGCAAAAGGAACAAATCTCATATGCCTAGTATGAGAATTCAGGAAAAGCTTTTCTAAGTTACTAAGCTAAGAAGTAAGATTGAGGGATAGTTGATCAGGTCAAGGGTTACAGGTCAGAGGGGACAATGTACAGATTATCCTAGAAAGAAGAACTATCATATTCAAGGATTGAATTGTATTTAAGTATAGTGAATTCATATATGTGAAAGAAGCTGAGAATAACTGAAATCAAAAAAGGAAAAAGAGATGAGGCATGATGGCTCACCCCTGCAATCCTAGCATTTTGGGAGGCCGAGGTGGGCGGATCACTTGAGATCAGGAGTTGGAAACTAGCTTGGGCAACATGGTGAAATCCCATCTCTACTAAAAATACAAAAAGAAAAAAAAAATAGCCGGGCATGGTTGTGGGCACCTGCAATCCCAGCTACTAGGGAGGTTGAGGCAGGAGAATCGCTTGAACCTGGGAGGCGGAGGTTGCAGTGAGCTGAGAGTGCACCACTGCACTCCAGCCTGGGCAACAGAGCGAGACTCCATATCAAAAAAAAAAAAAAACAGTAAAAAGAAAGAGGGGCATGAGACAAAGTTATAGTAGGATTTATCAGCCTTAACTCTATTGATGTTTGGGACAGATAATCTTTTGTTGTGAAGGGGGCTGTCCTATGTACTGTAGAATGTTTAGCAATATCCCTGGTCTCTACCTACTAGAAAACAGTAGCATACTCTTGACCATTTATGACAATCAAAATTGTCTCCAAATATTATAAAATATTCCCCGGAGTGTAAAATTTCCTTCCAGTTAAGAACCAGAGAGTAGGGTCAAGAATGAATCAAAGTTAGGTGCTAGTTGGCTTTGCCAGTACCTTACTAAGAATTTAAAGGTTTGTTTTTCTGGACAGTGGAAACTCATGAAAGATGTTAACTTGGAGAGTAATGTGATAAGATTTGCAATGAACAAAAATTACTCTGATTACAAATGTGAGCCGGTGAATTGTATAAAGACAGGAGAAGATTTGGAAGATCAACGGAGAGCCTAATGCAATAATAAATGGAAGAAATAATGGTAGTTTAGACTAAAGAGTTGAAGAAAGAGAAATGGAAAGATTTGAGGACTCTGTCAGGGATAGAAAATACAGGGTTTGGTGATAGATACATTGTCAGAAGAAGAATAAGAAGGAATTAGGTGGCCATGACAATATTTTATGTTAGATTTCAATGTTTGCCTTTTATGTCTGTACGTTTTTTTCCTGTGTGCCTTCACATGTCCTCTTCTCCCTGGTGACTTCCCACAATTCTTCAGCACACCCTCAGAATCCCAAGACATTCTGACTTGGTCAGCAGGTAGAAGATGTTAGCATTGATTGAAATGATTAGCACTAGGTTTGTTTTACAAATAGAAGTTTTTGTGGAGGGAGTAATGATTGAGTTGCATTTGGAATTTTTTAAGTTTTGAGGCACTTGTCAGACAGTCAAATAAAGCTATAAAGCAGAAGTAGGGGACAGAGTTTAAAACAGGAATCTGGACTGAAAATATAAGGACAAAGTCATTTTCTCCTTGGATCTTAACTACTTGTCTAGAGAAGAGTTTTTTTCTATCTCAACTATAGTTGAGCCTTATAGTTGAGACTTATAGTCACTGTGTCTTCTTGGAAGACACAGAGTCTTAAGTCACAGAGACTTATAGTCACTGTGTCTTCTTGGAAAATGACTTATAAATTATGTAGAAATTCTTTGATATACATAGTGTAGAGAAATCTTTTAGTGGACATCCTACAGATACGTTGAAAAAGCACAAGTTTGAAAGTAGATATTTGACAACAAAATTGGTGGTACATGCAAACTCCACTGACTTGAGTATCAGAAATCAAGTGCCACCCTGGTTATCAGATACTCTAGGCAGTGGTCCCTGGCCTGTTAGGAACCAGGCCGCATAGGAGGAGATGAGTGGTGGGCCAGTGAGCAAAACTTCATCTATATTTACAGTCTATCGATCCCATTACCACCTGAGTTCTGATTCTTGTCAGATCAGTGGTGGCATTAGGTCTTCATAGGAGGGCAAACCCTATTGTAAAGTGCACATATCAGCAATCTAGGTTTTGTGCTCCTTATGAGAATCTAATACCTGATGACCTGTCACTGTCTCCCATCAGCCCCAGATGGGACCATCTAGCTACAGGAAAACAAGCTCAGGGTTCACACTGATTCAATATTACGATGAGTTGTATAATTATTTCATTATTATTACTATGTAATAATATTAGAAATACAGTGCAAAATTAATGTAATGTACTTGAATCATCCCCAAACGATCCCCCTGCCCCAGTCTGTGGAAAAAAATTGCCTTCCATGAAATTGGTTCCTGGTGCAAAAATGTTGGGGACAAGAGCTCTAGGACATATATTTAGAAGGAATGACTTCTCTTACAGTCATTCAATCATTGTTTTTTTCTTTTGGAATCCTTTTTGTATACTCTCTCTTCTATTGTTTTGCCTTCATGACCAAGGAAATAAAACACTGTAGAAAACCTCTGCCATTCCACAAAAATCACATTTTGTTAGATGTTGGACTCCATACCAATTGGATTTTGAAAAAGTATTTTTGGTCTCACTAGTTTGGTTAGTGCCTTTCTCTACATGCTAAAGCCTTTCTTCACTTTAATTATTTTTGCTGTATACAGCTTTTGATCACCAGTAGCATCACGCTGGTGACAAACACTGTGTGACCAGTGTGCACAAAATGAATGACTTGCTGATCTGTGGCATCACTGAAAATGCCCTCAAGCCATGGTCTTGTTTTCTTCAGAACCCTTGCTTATGAATACACAAGAACCCAGGAGATATTTTCTGAGTGATTATAGTGGTAAATAAATCCAGGTGAATGTTCTCCAACAGGCAAAGGGAAATCAGCAAAGTAGCATGCACAGCATTGCTAAGTCAGTTCACATCCTAGAATCCTTTCCCCCATTTACCTGAGCTGCAGCACTGTGAGAAAGCCAAGTGCAAGGAGATATCATGACTCTCATTAAACAAGTGCATACGCAGTATAATGTAAAAAATCATAAAAAGTTTGTTAAGCAATATAATCCAAGCAAAGAAATACCTAATTGGCAGGATGACTGTGACCTTCTTTCTGAGTGAATGCAGTGTTCATTTTCAGTGTTGCCATTTAAATTTATGGAAGGCTTTACAGTCCCAGACTATTATTTTTCCTTTTGAAACTAAGGCTATGCCTGATGAGACACCTCTACAAAGGTCTAGTGGAAGTATCAGTAGTGGAAATAGTATGTGCCATATTAACTTGGGTTCAGATCAGCAAGTATTGAAGTATCAAGACATTCTCTAAGCTTTCAAGGAGCCTACAAGATTGAGAGGGAACATATTTTATATAAGCTTTGAAATCTGCCTGGATCCAAATCCCAACTGTGTAACTTCTTCTCAGTTGGCTCATAAGTAAAATGGAGATGATGATAATAATCATTCTACTGCATGGAGCTGTGAAGATTAAATGAGTTCACCTCTGTGAACAGATTAAAAATGCTATATTGGACTTTGTTATTATTCTAGTTGGTAGAGGCTAAGCATATTTATGGTAATAATACAACACAATGCAAGATAACGTATTTAGCAAACAAGCAATAAAGAGATGAGGCTACTTAACTTCATCATGAAAAGTCATCCTGAGGTAGTATTTTAAAGGATGAAGAGAAATTGGACAACTGAAGAAAGAGCATTGAGAAATAATGAGAAGGCAGGGATTGTATCATGCGGGGTCAAGCTTATTGTATTAGGGTTCCCCAGAGAGACAGAACCAATAGGGTCTATCTATCCATAAGTAGTTAGATAATCTAGTACTAAGCCAACACTGTGAATTCACTCAGAAGGAAGATCACAACCATCTGGCCAATTACGTGTTCCTTGGCTTGGGTTATATTTATTCACAAACTTTTTATGACATGACTTTACATGATATCACATATGTGCTTGTTTAATGAAAATAATGCTATCTCCTTGCACTATAATTAGATAGACATCTATAGATATTAATGGATACATAGATAAAAGTATAGATATAGATATATGAAAGAGAACATATTAGGTAAATTTGCTCTTGTGGTGATGGAAGCTGAGGAGTTCCACAACAGGACATCTGCAGGCTGGAGACCCTGGGATGCTGGTAGCTTGGCTCAGTCCGAGTTGAGACACCTCAAAACCAGAAAAGCTGATGTTGTAATTCTCAGTCTGAGGGAAAAGGCTTGATAACCCAGGAGGCTGCTGGTGTAAATCCTGGAGTTCCAAGGACAGAAAGCCTGGAGTCCCAGTGTCCAAGAACAGGAGGAGTAGAGTGTCCTAGCTCCAAGTGCAAGAACAAGGAAACACTTTGCTCTCTTTTTCTCTTCTATCCTGGACCCCAGCCAATTTGATATCCACTCACACTGCAGGCAGTTTTCCCCACTTAGTCCACTGAATCACACTGCAATCTTTGCAATGTTCCCTGGAAACACCTTCTCAGACACACCTAAGTGTAATGCTTTACCAATTCCCTACGTATTTCTGAATTCAGTCAAGTTGACAGGTAAAACTAACCATCACACTTATAATATTGACAAGCTTGAACTTTATGATGGAAGGATAAATGCATGAGTTTGTAATTGTTCTAAAGTAGGATTTATGTTGTGGTTGTATCTTGGCTTTGTTTATTAATCCAACATTCACTTTGAACAGACGTTGTAGCATTTGGCATCATTTTAATGGTAATATGAGGAAGCTGTCCTCTGTTATCCTCAGTTATACACTGAATGTTAAGGTGCATCAGCCAGTAAAACATAATATAACCCTGGAAATAGAAATGTACTAAATTCTGAGCCAGGAGGCCAAGAAAATCTTCATCTGGTAGAGATTAAAAATCAATAACAAGAGAGATTAGTCATAAGAAAATGTCCTTCTGAAAGAGTAGAACTCACGTCAAATGTTAATAATTAAGTGGATGAATATTCCTTGAAATTAAGTTAATCCAAAGAAAAGACTCTCAAATTACCCTGTAATACTTCCTATATGGGATGAAAGAGAAAAATGTGAACATTATAATGTTCATAAGTTTAAAAATACTTTCTAAACCATTTATAGCAGCTCAGTTGTATAATAAAGCATTTCCCCAGGTGTTCAAATTCCAGCCTTGTCACAGTGGCTGGTTTGCACACATGGCCTTGTGGAGCCCTCCAGGTAGTGACTTAGAGACCACCAAGGAGACTGGAAAAAGAGGCTCCACAATCCCTACTTCATCCTGAAATGGGCTCGGGGCTGTTTTATCTATTATATGAGTATTCCACCTAGACAGTTGCTTGAAAAAAGGGAATAAAATTAAAAGGCTTTAAAAATCAACAATGGAATCAAATAATTTCCAACATATTGTCTAAATTAAAAACCAGTCTAGTTATAGTTTTTATCTTTGCTCAATTAGCTGATTAACTCTCTAACATTAATCATATTTCTAAATGATGATTTTTCTCCTAGTATTAGAATTTACACTATTTTTTAAAATAATAATAAACCAGGACTTCTATAATAAAATATTAGCTTACTTTGCCATATTATATTTTCTAAATCCTTCTCTGGGCCAGCTCCAGTGGCTTTTCTCCCTCTCCACATCTATTCTCTTCCTAGTGATCTCTTAGAACTTTCTGTGGGCTCCAGAGCCAGTTACTAGTTGATCAAATAAATCATTTTGGGATTCCTCGAGAAAAACTCTTCATATTTCTTGACAAGGCACTGTTTTGTCTTGTCTGACAATTATCCATATTTCTTGTTTTTTTGGTTTTTGTTTGTTTCCTTTATTTTTTTCTTTGCCTAAGTAGTGATCTGTCTTCTTATCAGTTAGCTCTGCAGCTAAAGTGGACTAGCTTTCTTCTATCTAGTAGACAACCACAAATCTTCAGTGGAGACATAACTAGTGTATTAGTTCATCCTCACACTGCAATAAAGAATTACTCAAGACCAGGTAATTTGTATAGAAAAGAGGTTTAATTGGCTCATGGATCTGCAGGCTGTACAGGAAGCATAGCAGCTTCTGCTTCTGGGGAGCTTCAGGAAACTTACAATCATAGTGGAAGGTGAAAGGAAAGCAGGAATGTCTCACATGACTGGAGCAGGAGCCACACACTTTTAAACAATCAGGTCTCAGGAGAGACTCACTGGCAATGATAGCACCAAGGGGGATGGTGTTAAACATGAGAAACTGCCCCCATGATTCAATTACCTCCCACCAGGCACCTCCTCCAACACTGAAAGATTACAATTTGACATGAGATTTGGGTGGGGACACAGATAGTAACTGATATGGTCTGGCTCTGTGTCCCCACCCAAACCTCATCTGGAATTGTAATCCCCACATGTTAGGAAAAAGACCTGTGGGAAGTGATTATATCATGAGGGCAGTCCCCCCATGTTGTTCTCATGATAGCGAGTGAGTTTTCATGAGATCTGATGGCTTCATAAGGGGCTTTTCCCAACTTCGCTCTCATTCTCTCTACCACCGCCTTGTGAAGAGGTGCCTTCTGCCGTAATTGTAAGTTTCTTCAGCCCTCCCAAGCCATGCTGAACTGGGAGTCAATTAAACCTATTTCCTTTATAAACTACCCTGTCTGGGACAGTTCTTTATAGTAGTATGAGAACAAACTAATACACTAGCCATATCATTTTGCCCTGGCCCCTACCAAATCTCATGTCCTTCTCACATTCTAAAACATAGGCTTGGTGTCTTGGTTCATGCCTGTAATCCCAGCACTTTGGGAAGCCGAGGTGGGAAGATCACTTAAGAACAGGAGTTCAAGACCAGCCTGGCCAACATGGTGAAACGCTATCTCTACTAAAAATACAAAAATTAGCCAGACATGCTGGCACATGCTTGTAATCCCAGCTACTGAAGGGACTGAGGTATGAGAATTGCATGAACCCAAGATGTGGAAGTTGCAGTGAGCCAAGATTGCACCACTGCACTCCAGCCTGGGTGACAGAGCAAGACTCCATTTCAAAAAAAAAAAAAAAAAATTATGGCTTCCCAACAGTCCCCCAGAGTTTTAACTCATTCCAGAAGTAACTCAAAAGTCCATAGTCCAAAGTCTCATTTAAGAAAAGGCTAGTCCCATTCACCTATGAGTCTGTAAAATAAAAAACAAGTTAGTTACTCCAAAGATACAATGGAGGTACAGGCATTGGGTAAATACTCCCATTCCAAAAATGAGAAATCAACCAAAACAAAGGAGCTACAGGCCCCACGCAAGTCTGAAAACCAGCAGGAGAGTCATTAAATCTGAAAGCTTCAAAATAATCTCCTTGACTTTCTGTCTGACATCCAGGACATACTGGTGTAAGAGGTGGGCTCCTATGGCTTTGGGTAGCCCTGCCTCTGTAGCTTTCCAGGGTTTAAACTTCATGGCTGCTCTCAAGGGCTGGTGCTCAGTGCCTGGGGCTTTACCAGGTGCAAGGTGCAAGCTGTCAGTGGATCTACCATTCTGGGGTCTAGAGGGTGATGGCCGTATTCTCACAGATGCACTAGGCAGTACCCCAGTGGGAACTCTGTGTCAGAGCTCCAAACCCATATTTTCCATCTGTGCTACTCTAATAGAGGTTCTCTGTGAGGACTCCACCCCCAAAGCAGGCTTCTGCATGGACATCCATGCTTTTCCATATGCTCTCTGAAATCTAGATGGGGGCTCCCAAGTCTTAACTCTTGCATTCTGTTCCCTCCTCCCCCAGGCCTAACACCACGTGGAAGCCAAACAGACTTACAGCTTGCTCTTCTGAAGCAGTAGCTCAAACTGTATCTGGGCTCCTTTGACCCATGGCTGGAGCTGGAGTGGCTAGAATGCAGGGACCAGGGTCCTGAGGATGTGCAGGGCAGAGAGGCCCTGGGCCTGGACCACCATAACATTCTTCCCTTCTAAGCTTCTGGGCTTTTGATTGAAGGGGCTGCGAAGTTCTCTGAAATGCCTTTGAGGCCTTTCCTCCATTGCCCTGGCTATCAGCATTTGGCTCCTCTTTACTTATGTGAATTTCTGAAGCCATCTTGAATTCTTCTCCAGAAACTGAGTTTTTCTTTTCTACTGCATGGCCAGGCTGCAAATTTTCCAAACTTTGACACTCTACTTCCCCTTTAAATACAAGTCCCAGTTTCAGGTCATTTCTTTGCTCACACATGTGAGTATAGGTTGTTAGAAGCAGCCAGGTCAATTCTTAAGTGCTTCACTGGTTAGAAATTTCTTCCACCGGATACCCTGAATCATCACTTTCAAGTTCAAATTTCCATAGATCTCTAGAAGAGGGGCACAGAACAGCTAAACCCTTTGCTAAAGCATAGCAAAAGTGACCTTTACTCCAGTTCCTAATATATTCCTCATTTCCATCTGGGTCCACCTCAGCCTAGACTTCACTGTCCATATCACTATCAGCATTTTGGTCACAGCAGTTTAACAAGGCTCTAGGTAGTTTCAAGTTTTCTCTCATCTTCCTGTCTTCCTCTGAGCCCTCCAAACTCTTCCAACCTTAGCCCATTGCCCAGTCCCAAAGTTGTTCCCACATATTCAGATATCTTTATAGCAATGTCCCTTTGCTCAGTACCAATTTTCTGTTTTAGTCCATTCTCACATTACTATGAAGAAATACATGAGACTGGGTACTTTATAAGGAAAGGAGGTTTGATTGGCTCATGGTTCTTCAGGCTATATGGGAAGCATAGTGGCTTCTGGAGACCTCAGGAATCTTACAATCATGGTGAAAGGTGAAGGGGAAGTAGGGATGTCTTACATGGCCAGAGCAGGAACCACACACTTTTAAACAACCAGAACTCCAGAGAAATCACTATCACAATGACAGCACCAAGGATTGTGCAAAACCATGAGAAACTGCCCCCATGAACCAATCAGTTTTCACCAGGCCCCTCCTCCAACATTGAGGATTACAATTCAACATGAGACTTGGGTGGGAATGCAGATCCAAACCTTATCAATTACCATCTCTTGGTTTGAGGTTCGCTAGAAGGCTCTGCTGATTTTGACTGACCTCATTCACACGTCTAGAGTCAGCAGGGGTCAGCTGGGGAAATTACAAAACTCAGGTCTCTGCTTCTCATAGCTCTGATTCTCCAACACATTAGCATTGGCATGTTCTTATGATACCAGAGAGCCAGGAACACACTTAAAGCCCAGGCTTGAACAGGCAGACACTCACTTCTGCCTTGTTCTATTGATCAAAGCAATGACCCACCGCCCATCTCACAGGATAACACAACTTTGGCAAACTGAAGGGGATAATGTCTGTTCAACTGAATAGTATATTAGCTACAAAGATATTCAGGGTTCAATTCCAGGTCACTGCAAATAAAGCAAATATTGCAATAATGGGAGTCACAAAATTTTTAATTTCTGTGTTTATATAAAAGTTATGTTACAATATTCTATAGTCTATTAAATGTGCATTGTCTAATAAATAGTGTATATACCTTAGTATACTTTTTCCATAAAGTGCTAATAATCATCTGAGTCTTCAGTGAGTCCTAATGTTTTTGCTGGTTGGAACTCTTGCATTGATATTGATAGTTGCTGACTGATCAGGGTGGTGAGTGCTGAAGGTTGGGGTGGCTAAGGTAATTTTTTAAAAGAAGACAGTAATGAAGTTTCCCCCACCAACTGACACTACCTTTCATGAAATAGTTTTTTTTTTTTTTGTAGTGTAAGATGCTGTTTGATAGCATTTTACCCACAGTAAAACTTTCAAACCCTTCTGATGCTTTATCAACTAAATTTTATGTAATATTATAAATTATTTGTTATCATTTCAAAAATATTCACAGCATCTTCACCAGGAGTACATTTCATCTCAAGAAACCACTTTATTTATTTATCCATAAGAAACAACTCCCTAACCATTCAAATTTTATCACAAGAGTGCAACAATTTGATTACAGCTTTAGACACCACTTCTAATTCTAGTTCTCTTGCTGTTTTCATCATATCTGCATTTATTTCCTTCACTGAAATCTTGAAGCCGTCAAAGTCATCCATGATGGTTGAAATGAACTTCTTCCAAACTCCTGTTA